>NC_000004.12:151951684-152254714 GCF_000001405.40 Homo sapiens | reverse complement strand
AAGATACAATAATCTTTAATGTATATGTAACAGAGTGTCAAGCTACCTGAAGCAAAAACAGAGAGTGACAAGGAGGTATTGCTGACTCCACTACCATAATTGGAGACTTCAATATCCCTCTATCGGAAATGGACAGATCGATATAGTTTAACTCAGCAACACCATCAATCAATTGAATATAATTGGCATGTATCTATCTCATCAAACAGTAGCAGAATGCACATTCTTCTCAAGTTCACATGGAACATTCACCACGATAAACCACATTCTGGGCTGTAAAACACACCTTAACAAATCAATAGAGAATAGAAATCACGTAATATCTGCTCACAGACCACAATGAAATTAAACTAGAAATTAGAAAGATAGCTGAAAAATCCCAAAATATATGAAGATTAATCAACACACTTCTAAAGAATATGAGTTAAATCTCAAGAGAAATTGTAAAATATTTTGAACTAAATGAAAATAAAAACACAACTTATCAAAATTTGTGGGATACAGCAAAAGCAATGCTTAGAGGGAAATGTGTAACATTGAATGCATATATTAGAAAATAAGAAAGATCTAAAATCAATCATCTACGTTTCCACTTTCAGAAACCAGAAAAAGGAGAGAAAATTAAACTTGAAGTAAGCAGAAAAAAAAACAAACAAACAAGAATTAGACCAGAAATCAATGAAATTTAAATCAACAGAGAAAAATCAACAAAACCAGTTGCTGATTTTTGAAAAGATGAATAAAATCAGTAAACCTCTAGCCAGGCTAACTGAGAAAAAAAGAGAAAGGACACAAATTGCTAGTATCAGAAATGAAAGAGGGGACACTTAAAGGATAATAAAGAAATATATGAACAACTCTATGCACATGATTTGATAATCTAGATGAAATGTACCAATTCCTTGAAAGGAACAAACTGCCAAAACTCACATAAGAAGAAATTGCCAATCTGAATAGGCCTATATCTATTAAAAAGATTGAATTAATAATTAATAATAGAATAGAAAGCACCAGGCCCAGATGGGTTAACTGGTGAATTCTACCAAACATTTAAGAACTTAATGCTAAACGACGAGTTAATGGGTGCAGCACACCAACATGGCACATGTATACATATGTAACAAACCTGCACGTTGTGCACATGTACCCTAAAACTTAAAGTATAATAATAATAAAATTAAAAAAGAAAGAAAAAAAGAAAAAAAAAAAGAAAGACATTATACCAATTCTTCACAATATCTTTCAGAAAATAGAAGTAGAGGGAATACTTTCTAATTGATTCTATGAGGCCAGAATCACCCTAACACTGAGAAAGACATGACACAGAAAGAAAATTACAGATCAATATCTCTCACGAACATAGATGCAAAAATCCCCACAAAATATTAGCATATCAAATCCAATAATGTATAAAAAGAACTATACATCACAACCAAGTGGGATTCGTCCCAGGAATGCAAGGCTGGCCCAACACTGGAAAATCAATCACTATAATCCATCACATCAACAGGTTGAAAAATAGAAAGCACATAATCATCTTAGCAGCAGAAAAAGCATATGACAAAATCCAACACCGATTCATGATGAAAATTCTCAGTAAACGGGGAATAGAGAGTGACTTCCTCTACTTGATAAATAGTAGATTTAAAAGATAGTCTTTTTCACAAATGATGTTGGAACAACAGGACATTCACATTTAAAAAACTGAATCCAAGCACACACCTAAAACCCTTCACAAAAATTAATACAAAATGGATCATAGGTCTAAATGTAAAGTACAAAATTATAAAACTCCTAGAAGAAGATAAAATAGGAGAAAACCTAGATGACCTTGTGCATGGCAATTACTTTTTGATACAATATAACACTAAAAGTAAGATGCATGAAATAAATAATTCATAAGCTGGACTGTATTAAAATGAAAAACCTCTGTGAAAAACTTCATTGTGAAACACAATACCAAGAGAATGAGAAGACAAGCTACATACTGGGGGAAAACATTTGCAAAAAATATTATCTGATAAAGGACTGTTGCCCAAAATATACAAAGTATATTAAAACTTAACAACAAGAAAACAAACAATGCTGTTAAACCATTGACTAAAGACTTTAACAGACACCTCACCAAAGAAGATATACAGATGGCAAATAAGCTTATAAAAAGATGATCCACACCATGTGTCGTCAGGGAATTGCAAATTAAAGCAACAGTGAGGTAGCACTACACACCTATTAGAATGGCCAAAATCCAGAACACTGACAACACCAAAGGTCCGTGAGAATATGGAGCAACAGGAACTCTCATTCCTTGCTGATGGGAATGCAAAATGGTACAGCCTCTTTGGAAGATAGTTTGGCAGTTTCTTATAAAACTAAACATGCTCTCATAATACCATTCAGCAATCATGTTCCTTGGGATTACCTAAAAAAGTTGAATACTTATGTTCACACAAAAACCTGCACACAGATGTTTGTAGCAGCTTTATTTATTGCCCAAACATGGAAGGAACCAAGATATGCTTTGATAGGGAATGGATAAATAAACTGTAGTACATCCATAAATGGAACATTATTCAGCACTAATAAGAAACGAGTTATCAAGGAGCCAGCATGGTGGTTTGCACCTGTAATCCTAGTTACTTGGGAGGCTGAGGCAGGTGGATCGCTGGAGCCCAGGAGTCTGAGGATGCAGTGAGCTGTGATCATGCCATTGCACTCCAGGCTGGGTGACAGAGCAAGACCCCGTCTCTAAAACAAAAAAGAAGTTATCAAGCCATCAAAAGGCATGGAGGAACCTTAGATGATGCATATTACTCGGTGAAAGAAGTCAATCTGAAAAGTCAACATACTGAATGAGTCCAACTATATGGTATTCTGAAAAAGGCAAAAAACTGTGAAGACAGTAAAAAGATCAGTGGTAGCCAGGGGTTGAGAGAGGGAGAGGGATGGATAAGCAGAGCACAGAGGATTTTTAGGGTGAGGAAATTACTCTGAATGATAATGGTGGATGAATGACATTATTAGTTTGTCCAAACTCATGAACAAGTTTCACAAGAGTGAACCCTAGGTAAAATACAGACCCTGGGTGATTATGCTGTGGGAATGTAAGTTCATTAATTGTATCAAATATACATCATGATGGGGGACTTTGTTAATGTAGGAGCCTATGCACGTGTAGGGCAGTGGGCATATGGGAATCTCTATACCTCCCTCCTAGTTTTGCTGGGAACTGAAAACTGCTCTAAAAATAATCTAAAAAAGTAAAAGCAGTTAAAATTAATTTTGATTTAATTTAAATGTATTTAATGCAATATAGCCAAAATATTCTAATTTGAACATATAATCAAAATTTTAAAAATTGGGGCTTTTTTTTTGTCTTTGTTTTTGTTTTTAGAGACACTTGCTCAGTCTCCCAGGCTGGAGTGCAGTGGTGTGATCATAGCTCGCTACAGCCTCAAACTCCTGGGCTCAAGCAATCCTCCTGCCTTGGCCTCCCAAAGCACTGGTATTATAGGTGTGACCCATCATACTATCTTTCAAACCCGGGGTATATTTCACACTTGCAGCTCATCTAAATTCAGATAGCCAGATTTTAAGTGCTCAATATTTACATGTGGGTAGTGGCTACTACACTGGATAGTGCAGAAACACATCTGAGTACTAGAGGGGAATACATGAATTGGCCAAGATCATTTAGCTTGTCAGTACTGGAACCACATCTCTTGGCTCCCAGTCCAAAGAATTTCTCACACGTTCTGCTGTTTAAAAGCAATCCCCATTTAGCTGTTTCTTGGCATCTTAATTTTCATACCTTGGTCATAAAAAGCCCCTTCTAATCACAATTTTTTAATACCTTTTCTTACATTTTGCTTAGTGATTCTGTGTGCATCAGAATCCCTAGGGGGACATATTAATAAAGCAAATTCTCTGATCCCTACCTTCCACCCCTGCAGAAATTCTCATTCAATATGCCTGTGGTAGGACTATACAACCTGTCTTTTTTAACAGTTGTTCTTGGTACAGTACCATTAGTTCATGGGCCCATTTGGAGAAACAGCCTTCTAGCTTCTTAGTTGTTATACAGTCCTGTGGTTTTTATAAGGGAGATCTTACAAAGATTGCCACAGGGCATTCGGGAAGTTTTTTTTTGACGGAGTCTTGCTCTGTTGCCCAGGCTGGAGTGCAGTGGTAAAATCTTGGCTCACTGCAATCTCCGCCTCCTAGGTTCACACCATTCTCCTGCCTCAGCCTCCCTAGTAGCTGGGACTACAGGACCACACCCAGCTAATTTTTTTGTATTTTTAGTAGAGACAGGGTTTCACCGTGTTGGCCAGGATGGTCTCAATGTCCTGACCTCATGATCTACCCGCCTTGGCCTCCCAAAGTGCTGGGATTACAGGTGTGAGCCACTGCGCCTGGCCGGGAAGTCTTATTTCAAAAGCAGCTTCATCTTTCTTTCTTATATTTCTTGAGGGTGTAGAATCCTCCCAGCTCTGGCTACTCTTCCAAGTTGGAATATTTTCTTTATTGTATTTTCTGGAGCGTAAGATCCTTGAGGGAAGGATGGGAATCGCTAGTTTCCCATTTTTCACTTGGGCCTAGTACAGAGTGCTAGGAGTAAATGCTTGTTGAATGAATGAGTAATGAATGATGAATGAACAAATGCTGTAGGAGCTCTTTTATCAAAGGTGTAAAGCAACAAAGGCAAAATTCTTAGATTCTCCTAGCTTTGTTTATCCCTTTCCCTTTTGAATTTAATTGCTTTGGGTCTTAGTGACTTAATATCAGGGGGGTCAGAATAAGGAGCAGAAATGACAAGATTGTTAGGAGAGTGTTTTTAACAATAAGGGTATAGTAAACGTGTCGATAAGTTAGAAGTTGCTTTTCTGGGCCAGGTGCAGTGGCTCATGCCTGTAATCCCAGCACTTTGGGAGGCCGAGGAGGGTGGATCACGAGGCTGTAGGTCGAGACCATCCTGGTCAACATGGTGAAATCCCGTCTCTACTGAAAATACAAAAATTATCTGGGCATGGTGGTGTGCTCCTGTAGTCCCAGCTACTCAGGAGGCTGAGGCAGGAGAATTGCTTGAACCTGGGAGGCGGAGGTTGCAGTGAGCCAAGATCGCGCCACTGCACTCCAGTCTGGGAGACAGAGCGACACTCCATCTCAAAAAAAAAAAAAAAAAAAGAAGACGTTGCTTTTCTGGGTGATGCCTTGAAGGAGGGGCCGATCTCCTCTGTGTGGAGCAAAATGGGTCTTAGTCTAAATCCTAAAATAACTCTGGCACCTGGAGATGATAGAAAATAATTTATCTTTATGATCTGATCTTTATGGGATTGGTTTTCTTCATAGAGAGAAAAATGTGGAAAGACTGAGGCTAAACTGGTGGAATTTAACCTTTTATTGAATGCTTAAAACTATCTATAGGATATTGTTTTAAAAGATTAAAGTATCCAATTATTGTAATTGATTTATCTTACTAACTTCCATTACACCATCACCACCATCACCCCCTTACCACTACCATTCATCACTGTCTCTATAACCATCTTCCTCTTCCTCCTCTTCACTCTTTGTTAGTGTCTTTTTCTGGCCCAAGCCAGAATAGGGATAGGGTAGATCCTCCAAGACCTGTCTGTAAGCTCTGTGTAGCTAGGTGGGGTGGGCTGGAGTCAAAAGAGGCAAGTATACCTAGGAAAGCTGAATATAATAGGCTGTACATACTTAAGACTTTATTTTATTTTTGTTAATAAAAGAAAGTGATGGTTAATGGTTGTTTTACATCGACTCTTCAAATATCTATAAAATCAGTTGATGTTCCTTATGGTTAACAGCACAGACTGCCCCATAAAAATACCTGATTATATCAGAAGATAATACTGAATTATTAAGTCCTTTCCTTTTCCTCTTTATAAGATCTTACACACCTCCACTTTTCTCACAATACTGCTTTAAGTTACCCTCTTTGTACAGGCTCTAGCTTGGAGGGAATTCTTTGTCTCCAGCCATGTTGGGTCTCGGAGGACTTGACAAAGCCCACGGAGGAGCCTGAACTGGGCAGGTTTCCTCCAGCCGAAGGGGCGTGGGGTCGGTTCCATGGCTCTCCCTGAGCCTCCGGCCTGGAACAGGTCACTCTTCCTTCTACTTATGACCATCATGGCCTTTGTAGGCGACACTGAACATCTACACGGGATTCCAGCTGCACTTTCTCCTCTGGAGAATGGAGGAAGGCAGTTGCTACTGGAGCCCCAATCTCAAAGCATCCCAGAGGTGCCCACCATAGGCCCTGGCCTCTGCAATCCCATGCGGGGCTGGGGGCAATCAGAACAGGATCTGGCACACAATAAGGTTCAATAAATACTGTTGACTAAATGAATGGATCTGTCAAACTGACCACTTGCCAACCGCCTTCACCTGCACTGATTGATTTGTATATGTAAATTCATACATTATGTTTATATGTTGTTCTGTATTTAAATTTGGTTTCTTTTTTCTTCTTTTGGTTTCTTTCGACCTTCACTTCTTTATTCTCCTTCCCCTGAAAGCGCTGGTCCTGATGCCTGGTCACAGCTCTCTGTGATGTGAGCTGTGCGGGGTGAGGGCCCAGGTGCTGGCACATGAGGGGTCCGGAAGGCCCTCTCTTAGAAGCCTCCCCAGCATACCTGGGGCGGGGGGAGTCGAAGTGACCTCTTCTCCTCCGCATTAGCTCGGGAGCACCCCGGACACATTCAGGGGGGTCACTGCCAACGGGAACTCCACTTTTGGAGGATGTGGGGTGACATGGCCCCCTTGGCTTGCTCTTCCACATTCAGACGGAAAGGGAGAATTGGGCCTCCAGAAGCTGGGGCGGCAGCTGGAGGTCAGGCCAAGGCATTGGCCACCCCTCTCTGGCGGAGGGAGCTGGATTCCAGACTGCGTCTGCTGCGGCCCCAGGGAGATCAGGTGCTGCCTCTGCAGAGAGGCTCTGGCTCCGGGAATGCGGGCGGGAGAGAGGCTGCCAGGCTGAGTAATTTCTACTGACAAGCTCGCTGGCTGGGTCCCGGGGCCGCTGCATCCTGGCTGGCAGATGAATGACTTGTTCCTGTGTCCTGAGCTTGGGAGGCGCTGTCTTTGCTGAAGGTTATATTTGGGAGAAGGGCTGCTTGATGAACCAAAGAGGAGGCTGTAAAGAGGACACATCTGTGGCCGCCTCCCTGAGGCTCTGACGTTCAGAGGAGGAGGGCCAGCTTTTCCCACCCCCATAGCCTGCAGGAAGCTGGCCTGGCTGCACTGGTGGCCTCGGCCCGGGGACCCTGAGAGCTAGAGGCCTGTTTGGGTCCTGGTGACACACACTACATTGCCCAGTTCTATCCTGTGTGGGGTGCCGAGTCCCTTTGAGGAAGGCTGTGCGTCTGGTGAGACCCCAACTAGTTACATCAGTGGGAATGCAGCAGAACCCAGAGGAAACATGATTTTTGTTTTTGTTTTTTTAATTAGTTAATTATTATTTGTTGGGTAGAGATGGGGTCTCACTATGTTGCCCACACAGGCTAGTATTGAACTCTTGGCCTCAAGTGATCGTCCCACCTCAGCCTCCTGAAGTGCTGGGATTACAGGTGTGAGCCACCATGCCCAGCCAAAGCAAGCTTCTTGATGAGC
Source organism: Homo sapiens (assembly GCF_000001405.40). Lineage (NCBI taxonomy): Eukaryota > Metazoa > Chordata > Mammalia > Primates > Hominidae > Homo > Homo sapiens. Next base: position 152,247,076 of record NC_000004.12, on the reverse strand, counting down.
ATGTGTGGTGGGCACATGGAGGACAAATTGAAAGAAGCCACATTTCTTCCTTCCTTCCACACTCCGTAGTTCTTATCTCGTTCACAAGATCAGAGAAGCTCCGCATCGTCAGCAGTGCGCAGTGAGCTGACCCGGCAGGGGGGAAAACAAAGAGGTGAGGGTACAATGGCAAGTTGCTCCTGAATGCTGTGCTCTTCACATTCTGTACCCAGCTGTCCCCTCCGGCTGGGAGGCACCTTCCACCTGCTCAGTGCAGAACCTTCTTGTAGTCCCAGGAAACTTTGCCAAGCTTCGAGCAGTTGTGAGCACCCAGCCGTGCTTTCAGCAAGGCACTTCCTGCGGGTGCCGCTTCTGGTGTGCACCCCTTCTTTCTCTGGGTATCTTTAACTGCCTTCCACCTCCGGAAAAGGATCGAACACCATCTTTCAGAGATGATTGCATCTTACAGATGAAAGACAGGAATGTACCTGGTTTGTCTCTCCCTGATGGTATGTCCTCTTTCTGTAATAGTGTAGGCAATGAAAGACCTTTGTTCCTTCCAGACTTGTCAGGATGTTTTTCTCAGTCTCCATCCCATTGTCATCAGGACAATGATGTGGGGTTGCTTTCAACTGTGAAGCACCTCCATCTATGAAATTATTTCATGGCAGAGTGTTGGTATCCGCAGATTTAATGTTCTCACTTTCACAGTTATGTTTTTCCCTACCCCCAATCCTAAGTCCACTGCATGTAGAGTTTGCAGAGGTACAAAATTGAACTTCACTCAGGCGCTGATGTGGATGAACGTCCCTCTGGCTAGTGAGGGAGCCAGCCTTGCTGCCCAGCATCCACATCTTAAGTCTGCATTGTTGTTGCCTACTGGCCATTGGGTTTTCGAGGGAGATTATGAATTTAGGGGTTCCTAAGAGTCTTACAATATACAAGTTTACTATATGATCTTTTAGCTTCTGCAAAAAGCATGGAAAGGTGAAATAAGCAACCAACAAGGATAGCCTTCTACTGACAACCATTTGAGACACTGAATTCTCAAATATAAAAATGCTTGGAGTCTTGGGACTCTTGTCATGGGCTTGTATCATGGGTGTGAATGTCCTAATGAGATTTTTCTGGTCCTTCTTGTGATGATTTTGGATGAAGTCCCAGATCCAAATTCTATTAAGTATACATCATAGCAAATTAGGCTGTGGGGAGGATCTGGTGGGTTGACTTGCAAATCTGTGCAAAGTGATAGGCATTTTAGGCAGGAGGCAAAGGGAGGGGTGAAGTCCCAAGAATGAGCAGTAAGATGATCCTACGTGATCAGCTCAGACTTTGGCTCCAGAAAGTATTTCTTTCCTTCTCTCCCACTGCTCTGTTTCTGACACATAAATACAATCTTGGAGAGTCTTAATAGACAAATACCTTTAGGCAAAGTTTGCTTTATTGACATTATTTGGATGTTCTTAGTGAATAGCTGAGTATTGATCTGATGAGCTGCCAGTTACAGAAGTTGAGGCTCACCCTTTTTTTATTTTCTGGGTAACGAAAACCATTTGTGATATCTACAAACTACATTAACCTTGCCTAGATGAGACAGGTTTTCTTTTTGGGTTTTGCCTTTAAGTAAGTTCAAGCTCAACCCAAAAACAATTTAAGCCATTCATTCATTAAAAAATAGTTTATCAAGTAGGTTAGGCACTATGGAAATAAAAAGATATGAAGGTATAAAACCATGATTAAAGTCCACTAGGGTTCTGTTGAAAAGATCGTGTGTCCAAGGATCTATGATGGAAAACAGAAGTATTTAGGTAATTTAATGAAAAGCCATTCAAAATGGACATTTGCTAGTATGCAGAAAAATTAAACTTTTCTCCTTTTCTGTCAGCTCCTTGGTCTCACCCATGAGCACTTAAGATGAGGTGAGGCAAGATGAAATTGCACTTCAGTTTCTCTGTGAAGGACTGGTTTGAAGTTAAGGATTTTTTGTTTTTACTGCTGCTCCTGGTATAAACCATTCATGGGCTGCATTTCACCTGCCCCTTTCTACTTACTTGCCCCTCACAATCCTCTTCATGTTTTTCATTGAGAGGGAGAGGGTAAAGGAGGGGAGAAGAAGAAAGAGGAGAGGGAACGTCAGCTGCAACCAGGACTGAGCCTGGGGCTGGCATCAGATCCGGTGCCAGAGCATCAGACTGGATCAGGGCAGCCTGCAGCTGGAACTGCTGGGCAAGGAGCTGACAGGGCATGGTATGGGCAGAGAGGAGCAGGGTTGGGTGAGTTCTGAAGGGTGTGGAGTCAAGATTTGAAAGGAGTGAGAGGAGAAAGAGAAAGATAGACAAGGCAAGGAAATGGAGGGGCCTCTGTTTCTGTCCCTTGCTGCTGGTCCTTATACAACCTGCCTTCTCTACCTGGGCCCCTTCTCCCTTTGTATTGCTAGAGCCGACTGCTTCTTTTTCCAAGACTCCTTTTTGACACCCAAGTACCCCTCTTATGGCCCCAGACATCAATGCTTCCCCTCCTTGTGGTCCTCGCCACACAATATGCAGTCATCTCTTTCTTGTGGGTACCATGCCCAGGCCTGCAAGCTGCCCGAGGGAAGGGGCCTTGTCCATCGCATTTGCCATGCAATTGCAAATACAATGTTCAGCTCAGGCTATGTGTTCATGAATATCTGATGGGAGAATGTCAAATAAATGTCAGGCCCTGATGTATGTTGCTGGAAAAGGAAATGCATCAGCCCTTTCCCAGAGAAAATAAATTCCTATGATAAGACTTCTGCCCCATAATCCTTCATATATCACCAAGGCGAGCCAGCCACTTCCCATCCACTCCTATTTCTTCACTGACCTGGTACTGTACTGGGCAACTGCACACGGCCTTTCTAAGTGCACTTAGTGGATTGCTCCTTCCCAGTTTGCCATCTGGAGCCTTCATATTGTTAACAGAACATTCTTCAGACACTCATCAAACTCCCGGCATCAAGCACCTCTGTTCCAGCACGTGACTTCCTGTAACGGGTCCTGCCAACTTCTCACTAGTCTATTAAAAATAAAAGCACACCCAGAATGGCTCCCACGTCCCCTCTCCAGTGACCTCAACCCCATGACTAGGGAAACTGTGACTCAACCTCAGGAAAAAACACGGCTAGTGTCACTAGCAGAAACTAAGGATCCTCCTGGGCTGGCGCTGGGGATATTAATAAATCCAGTAGATTGGATCATTTGCCCCACCCGCTCTCTTTTCTTTAGGGAATTTGAATGTTCGAGTGCTTTAAAGTGGAGATAAAACGACCCATGATTCATGTTTCTGTCTTTCTGAAGAGTTTCCTTGTATAAGCTCCGACAACCTCTGCAGTTACTTGAAGGTTAATACTATTCTTTCCCAAAAAGGAGGAAACCATTTCCCTTTTCTATTCATTGCTTTCCTCCTTCTACACCTGAAAGGAGAGGTGAATTCTTTCCCCCTTTTCATTCTTAACAAGAGAATCTCTTTCGTACTCTCACTTGTCTGGAGATTTGAGCATTAAAAAAAAAATTGGTATAATTCTTCAGCTAATCCTTCAAGAAGACACTGCATGTATTTTTCCCCCTCTCTTTTGGTTTTTTTTTATTGGCTATTAGGCTAGCAAATTTTGGATTTGAGCAGTTCAGATCCTAGGCTAGCAACTTCCTGAGCTGATTGTGCAAAGCTCATTCACGAGAAAATGCCCTGAACTGCCTGGTCTCAGCACAGTTTTTTAAAAAACTCTGGTTCTGTTTTCTTAACTAGCCTCCAGCAGCTCTGAAATGGCAAGCACTAGCCAGCATTCATTCCCCTTGGAATTAAGGCAAAATCACTCACAACCTTGAGTACTTCCAGGACACCTGAGGGAGACTCAAGTTCTGGTACCCAGGAGTCAGGTAAAGTCCAGGAAGTGTGGTGTTCTTATTCACAGCAGACTTTCAGAGCACTGAAGGGCTTGGGGGCTTCAGGGTATTTTGTCTGTGACTTCCCAGCAGGACCCAGGACAAATGGCCATGCTCTGTAAACTACTGGCTCTGTGCTGCTGGTGGAGATACGGGATCCAGGACCCCAAATGTCTTATGAAGCCCAAGGCAAACTGAAGAGAAATTCCAGCTCCCAGAACTATCTATAGGAAAAGGTCTTGAGTTTTCAATTAAAATCTTTCTTTGAAGATTTTTGACTTGCATTAATTTCCAGAAAAAGTTCACTCGCTTTCCAAAGCAGTTTCCCTCCAAATGGTGGTTTGCTCTCTGAAGGGGAGTTTTAATACTGATGTCTGTCATTTATCTCTTACATCTTTCCTGAGAAGACATACTGTAAAAAAGCCATTAGGAAGCATGTCATATAATAGTTCCATCACCCTTAAAACATCTCCTGAGAGGCAGGGAAGGGGGCCTCTGAGAATGTATTCTCCTCCACCACTTCCCCTGTTTTAGAAACAGAGTAATAGAAACCCACATGTGTCCAGCGACGATGTGTGATGTCCAGTGTCAGGGCTGCCTCCTCCATTTGACAGTCTTTCTTCTCAAGATGATGCTTCTCTGCTCCCAAGAACCTAACTTGTGATTTTTCTTTGGTTTAAATGATTCTCACAGACCTCATTTCTATTTATATCACAAAGAGTCCCCCCACCCCCAACCCATACGTCTGGTTTTTGATTTAAAAATGTAATATAGTAACTTGGTTAAAAAAAAAAAGCCTAATACTATGAATTAACTTACAGTAAAAAAATTTCTAATTCCAAAGCCCCCGACCCCCTTGTTTCTCAGAGACCACCACACTTTCTTTAGTGTCCTTCCAGAAATATACTGTTTATAAGCATGCAAATGCATGTGTATGTACACACACACATACACACACATGAGTTTAAATTTCAAAGATTATTTTTCTAATAGAGAAATATAAAAAACCTTCAGAATTATATTAAATAAATTCTATAATTTCTAATGCTGGTCTGGCATGGGCAATGATAACAAATTCTATTACCAGTTCTCCATAGGAAAAGCGTTCTTTGTATTTTCATATATTCTATATATGAATATGTTCTATATTCATATGTATACATATACATCTATATCCTTTTGCTTTTATATAAATGTTAGTATATTATACACTTTCCTTGCTTTTCTAAAACTTTGTTTTATTTCTAGGAGATTGTTATTTCTCAATACATACAAATAAGCCTATCTTATTCTTTTATTAATTGTTACATGGCATTCTTTATTTTCTAATTGTTGGACAATTTAGGTTTTTCCATTCTCTTGCTATTGTAATACTACAATAAATATCCCCATGTAAATTGTCCAACATGTGTAAATATAGCCATGGAATAAATTTATAGAAGTGGACTTGTTGGGTCAAAGTGTATGTTTATTTAAAAATTTGATATACACTGACAAATTTTACTCCCCAGAGAAGTTGTTGCACATGAAACTTCACCAGTTATATGAGTGTTTTCTTACTAACATGGTATATTATCTAACTTTTTTGATTTTTATCAACTTGATAGGTTAAAAGTTGTAGCTCATTATTGTTTTAACTTGGTTATTTAATTTTAAATGAGATTGAGTATCTTATCTGTGTTGGAAAGTCATTTGCATTTCTTTCTTTGTCAGTTACCTTTTCATGATCTTTGCCCATTTTTCTATGAATTGTTGGCTTTTTTTCTTATCGATTCATAAGAGCTCTTTATATATTAAGGAAATAGACCAGTGATTCATGCTAGCTAAAGCTCCATTTTTCTTTACTTCTAATAACCACTCACTGCTCTCATATGTCCTTTTCCTTATTCTGTCTCCCACCCTGTCTCTCCTATGACTTCCTTGTATAATTAATTTGTCTCATATATAGGGAAAGGAAAGAAAGATGAGAGTCAGTCTTGCAAGGAAGGACACTTTTGAATGGCCAGTAAGTTTACATTTTACAAGATGCATATTAAGAAAATCTGAAGCCATTATCTGCCAACTATAGGAGTATCAAAAGACTGTTCTTCCTCTTGGTTGGTTCATGGCCACTTGGCAGCCTTGTATCTTGCTCATTAACTATAAATAACACTCACATTGAACACATTTTATAAACTTATATTTATGCCCCCTTCATTTTTTTTTCTCTTCTCTCACTCCTACTTCCAATTTTCTCTCAAATCGTGGTCATCACTTGTCCGGTGCAAGTAATATCTCTAGACTCTTAACTCATCATCTATCGAAGCAGGGTGATCCACATGCCGAGATTCTGATGGAGAGAAAGCCTCAGCTCTTGCTTGGGACTAGTCCTAGCCTTTTGTAGTAAAGTCCTTAGGCCACTCTTTCCTCTGACTGATTCAAGGATGTGGGGACCCCAGGGAAGTGTAGCTCCTCTCTCTATGGGTTCCTGTTGAGAACTCATCTTTCCAAATCATGGAAAAACCAATTCGACTTCAGCTAACATGGTAATGATTTGTGGGGAGCAGCAGAAATTCCCCTGTAATTATGTGTGAATTGATGTGTGATTTCCTAATGAGCTTAAGTGAAGAAATCATCATTTTGTGATAAATGCTTTATATCTTAAAATGCCAGCAACACATATCTAATAAATTCAATCAAACCACTCTCATTTATATAACATTTGCAATTATTATTTAACATGCTGGCTTTCTTTGCTGCTTTACTGCTTTGGGTAATTGCAGAGTCTGAAAGTTCCCTTTTTGTAAATAAAGCCACAGAAACTCATTATGTTGGAGTTTTTCTTAAAGCAATCATAAATGAGTTCATTTTGAAATGCATTTGCATGCTGTGCAGGCCAAGACCCCCTTATCAGAATATGTAGCCATTGAATGAGTTTGCTAAATCAGGGACATTTGTTCCCAGAATGAGTCGGGTCACTCTGAGACTGCAGCTTGGGCACTTAACCATGTCCAAACAAGTTGGGAAAAATATTTCAATGATTAAAAGATGGGCCCTTTTTACTGAAGATATGATGAGGGCCAGTGGAGTTAAGTGACATGACCAGAGGTCGCAAGGCAGCAGTGATAGAATCCAGCACAGAGGACAACATAACATATTGATTAAGGAATCAGTTCAAGATTCAGATTCTAGATGTGCTACTTCATAGCTGTGTGACCTCAGACAAATTACTCAGCCTCTCTAAGCCTCAGTTTACTCATCTGTCAAGTAGAGAGAGACCTATTGTTGGGAGGATTAAATGTGGCGGCCTATGTAAGAGCTCTAGGAACACTGCCTATCATATCACAAATGTTTGGCAAACAATTGCTAGTCATATAATTATTGATAGCTTCAACACTGATAAATATCAGCAGTAACAAAACTTACCCCTTCACCCTAAGCATTTTCCCTAGTGGCCAAGATGGTAATCGGTTCTGTTTGTGTCTTCTAAGGAGCTGAGAGGGTGGCAGAAGTTGAAAATAGTTTTATTCCTGGGGCCTAAGGTTATTTCCTGGTAAGTTGCACTGAGTAGGCTGCCAAATCCTAAATCTCCTTCACTTGAGATGAGTTAGAATTTGGGGTTTGGTAAATGGAGGCCCAAACTGGTTTTGAGACTCCTATAAAAATTAGTAGCAGTCAGCTCAAAGCTGGCAGGATATATTAGAAATCTACACAGTACTAGACTTCTTGGGGCCCCTTCTAAGAGACTCTGCCCCATCCACAGGCCCTGCTCAAGGGGCAGTTACAGGCAGCCATGTTTTGTGCTATGTGACTCAGCTCACCTCCTCCCTAGGCCACAGCTGATAGGACATGCATAGGCCTTTGACCAGGGGCAGTCCTTAGGCTTTGCAATGACATGGAAGACAGGCTGGACCAATTGTATTTCTTCACTCAGTAACTGAAACTAAACACCACCATGGTGGAACTGCAAAGGGATGAGATAGAACTGGATCTGAAGGGGCTCTCATGATCCTTGTGCAAGTTAAGACTGGACAGAAGCCAAGGGAAAGAAGAGGAAGGTCAGGGGAGTGAAGAAGAGAGCCTCCATGTGGAGAAAACAGGGTCAGTTGGAGAGAAACCAAGGATCTTGTTAATTCTGGGTGCAGTTCTGGTTCAGATGGTTTTCCAACTCCACACACAGTCTTTCCATACTTTGACAGACCCCGTGCCTTGAGGCAGCTTGACTTGAGTATGGGCTCTTCCTGTGTCCTCATAAGGGACCACTTCAAGCCTCAAGCCCAGCATGGGCTGCTGGAAGACAGCAGGAGTAGAATAAATACATAGGTAAGATAAAGGTCAAGACTCTTCTGTGGCAGCAGCAATATGGAGCATTGTTAATTATTCTGCAAGGAATTTGTTTATCCATTATTTTCCAGGTAACAGTGCAGACCTTGTAAACTGTAATAGAATGTTTGGTTTCTGATCATAAATGAATTTTAAAAATGTAAATTCTCAAGGTATTTAATTCTAATAGAATTCAAAGAACTTAAACTTCCATTCAAATAGAGAAATCTATTGTCCTTTTAGACAACTGGCTTTTTCATAGGTCCATCCAAGGACATTAAAGAAAACATATCTGAATGTTTCTTTGTTGGAGCCTGCCTCGATTTCACAGTGGCTCGTATTTTTTCCTAATAAACATCCCCTCTTTTCCATTTTTCCCCTGCCACCACAATACTACATTCTCTTCCACCTGAACTATTTTTAAAAAATAAATTTTATTATGCATATTTAAGGTATTCAACATGATATCATGGGATACATATAGAGAGTAAAATGGTTACTATAGTGAAGCAAGTTACCATATTTATCATCTCGCATAGTTACTCATTGTGTGTGTGTGTGTGTGTGTGTGTGTGTGTATTTGTGGCAAGAGCAGCTAAAATCTACTCATTTGGCAAAAATCACAAATACAATACAATATTATTACCTTTAGTGCTCATGTTGAACATCAGATCTCTGGGCTTGTTCATCCTATGTCTCTGCTACTTTGTGTCCTTTGACCTATTGAAGTATGCAGGTGGTCTCCCTAAGCTATGTATGTGGTAGGTGCTCATTAAGTGCTTGTTGCATGCTTCTGCTGTAGGCAAACAACCAAAACTCCTCAAAGCCATTTCTTCACAAAAGGAAACAAAACTTGAAAAAAAGTGTCTTATCATGGAAAATTTCCAACATATACAAAAGTAGAGAAAGTGGAACAATGAATTCACACATATCCATAACAGATCCAAGCATGATCAACTCAGGACCACTCTTGTTTCACATTATTTCTCTTGCCTCCTCTTCTTTCATGTGGATTTGGAAGCTAATCTAAGATATCACAATATAACACAAATATTGTTGTGTGTATTTCTAAAATAAAAGAATTATTTTAAAATATAACCGAAGTACTATCTTTACAATGAAATGAAATTAACAACAATTCCTTAATATTACTAACTATCCGGTGTTCCCAATTTCCCCAATTGTCTTATCAATATTTTTCTTTTTTTGAGACAAGGTCTTGTTCTGTTGCCCAGGCTGAAGGGCAGTGCTGTGATCATAGCTTGCTGCAGCCTTAACCTTCCGGAAACAAGTGATCCTCCTACCTCAGTCTCACAAGTAGCTGCGACCACAGGCACACACCACCATGCCTGGCTAATTTTTTTATTTTTTGTAGAAACAGGGTCTCACTATGTTGCCCCCGCTAGCCTCAAACTCTGGAACTCAAGAGATCCCCACACCTTGGCTGCCCGAAGTATTGGGATTACAGGTATGAGCCACTGCACCCGGCCCAGTGATTTTTATAGTTCATTTTTTGGAAGCCTATTTCAAATAAGCCCAACACCTTATAAAGGCTGATATGTTGCTTAACTGTTTCAATTTTTAAGAATGTCTCGGTCAGGCGCGGTGGCTCGCGCCTGTAATCCCAGCACTTTTGGGAGGCCAAGGCGGGCGGATCACGAGGTCAGGAGATCGAGACCAGCCTGGCTAACATGGTGAAACCCCGTCTGTACTAAAAATACAAAAAATTAGCCGGGTGTGGTGGCGGGGTAGTCCCAGCTACTCAGGAGGCTGAGGCAGGAGAATGGTGTGAACCCGGGAGGCGGAGCTTGCAGTGAGCCGAGATCGCGTCACTGCATTCCAGTCTGGGTGACAGAGCGAGACTATCTCAAAAAAAAAAAAAAAAAAAAAAAAAGACTGTCTCCTTCTTTTCTTCCTCCTCCTCTTTCATTCTCTCCCTCTTTTCCTTGCAGTTTAGTCTTTGATCTAAACTTTATTTCATCTTCAAAGTATTCCACAGTCAAGATTTTGCTGACTACATCTTTATGATGTACTTAAAATGTAATTTTATCCATTGTATTTTTTTTAAAATTGGTTTTTCGATCTAGAATGAAGTCTCAATAAGATTCAGGTTCAACATTTTGGCAACACTTTAAAGATGACATTGTGCACCTCCCACAAGAGGCACATAATGACTTTTTGTCTCCCTTTTTGCAATGTCAGCAGCCACTGATGATCATTCCTAATTCTATTATTCCCTCTTCATTTATTAACACATATTTTCTAAATTCGAACATTTTATCAGTGGTCTAGTTATCCTGAAATGTTGAGATGTAATTCATGCAGGAAAGGCAAGATAAATGCTTGGTTCAAAGTTGTTTGCTGGTTCCCTAGTTGTTTGTTGATCCATTAAATGTGATCAATGAGTTTCTTTCTCAAGTATTATTCTGGATTCAGGGATTTAAACATATTTGGTGTGTTTCAATCCACTGCAGTTTTTTTTTCCATACTGATGGCCATATTATTCCACTTTTGTCTCTGGGGAGCCTCTGCAAGTTGGCTCCTGGGTTCTTTTGACCTGGCTCCAGTGGTCTTTGATGTCTTGCGTGCTGTCTGATATAACAAGATGTCCCAGGCTCATCTTGTACAGTTCCTACCCTAGACCTGGAATTAGCTTTTTCTCTTGGAGAAATCAGTTATTCCCCCTGGTTCCTTTTAGTGGAAATGGCATTTAAAGACCACAATCTGGACGCTAGGAATATTCAGTGGTACAGGGTTGGTTTTTATTTCTGGGCTTTTTCAGAGTAAATATGCATTTTTTCAATCTATTTTTTAATTTTTAAAAAGAGGTTTTTTTTTTTAAAGAGCAGTTTTATGTTCTCAGAAAAATTGAGCAGAAGGGACAGAGATTGGTAAGAGTATGTTTAGCTTTGTTAGAAACTGCCAAACTGTCTTCCAAAGTGGCTGTACCATTTTGCATTCCCACCAGCAGGGAATGCGAAGATCCTGTTGAGAATTTCTGTTGCACCACATTTTTACCAGCCTTTGGTATTGTCAGTGTTAGGATTTTGGCCATTCTAATGAGTGCGTAGTAGTATCTCATTGTTGCTTTAATTTTCAGTTCCCTGATGACGTATGATGGGGAACATCTTTCCATATGCTTATTTGCCATCTGTGTATCTTCTTTAGTGAGGTGTCTGTTAAGGTCTTTGGTCCGTCGTTTAATGGGGTTGTTTGTTATCATCGAGTTTTAAGAGTTCTTTGTATATTTTAAATAATAGTCCTTTATCAAATATGTTTTTTGCACATATTTTCCCCAGTCTGTAGCTTATATTTTAAAGATAAAATATACTTTGAGTTCTTGCTGATACTTCTAATTCAAATTCAGGACTACAGAGTATTTAGTTAATCAATCCTACATTTTAAATTCATTGCAAATTTTTTTTTAGTTTGTCACTCATTTTCTTTCTTTTTTACTTTGCTTACGTGGCTTCTCACCATACAAAAGTGTTTTGTTATTTTAAGTTGATAAGTAATGATTTATTCATCTGTTCCTTATTTCATCTGAATTTTGAGTCATAGTTAGGATGGGTTTTCCCATTCCCATGTTATAAGAGAATTCATCCATATTTTATTTTAATATGTATATGGTTTCATTTTTATTTACCTTTAAATTTTTGACCCATTTGAAATTTATCTTACTGTGACTGGGTGAAGAAAAAATTCAACTTTATATTTTCTATATGGCCTTTCAGTTAACCCAACATCACTTACTAAAAAGTCCAACTCCTCCTTCTTGATATGCGATAGCACCTTATCATATATATATACAGTTCCACATGTAACTGGGCCTATTTCTGTCCATTGTGCCTTCTGTCCAGTCATGTGCCAATACCACAGTGTTTGAATTATGGATGCTTCAAACTATGCTCTTCTTTTTTCAGAGTTTTCCAGGTTATTCTTGCTAAAACAAAACTTTTGAGTGAGGACTGGTCTTCATCTCCTACTGGGGAGAGGCCCTATGCCTACCTTCTGAGATGGACCCTCGCTGAGTTGTCACTGGGGTTGAGAGGAGACATGAATGGTCTTTCTTCCCCTCAAGACAGAAGTTGGCAAATGATGGCCCATGGCCTCATCTATTTGTAAATAAAGTTTTATTGAAACATAGCTATGCCTTGGCATTTACATAATGTCCATGGCTGTTTCTGCGCTCTGATGGGGGAGTTAAGTAGTCAAGATAAAGACTGTATGACTAGGAAAACCTACAATGTTGAAATACTCTCTCTGGCCCTTTACAGAAAAAGTTTACCGACTCCTGCCTTAAGAGAGCACACTGGTATCCTAATGGGTCTTCTAGAGATAATGCTAACCCCAAAACGGGACCAGTGACATAATTTGTTGGGCATGGCACACAATTCAAAAATCAGGAAAGAAGTGCTGTTAAAGGTGCTAAAATATAAAGCTTTTTCCTACCTTCTGCGGTTTCTCTCTTCATTTGTCATGTTGTTTTTTATTTGCTTTTTAATGTCATTCTAAGTAAAGAAAAATTAAAATTCAAATTATTAGCATGAGTTTTACCTTTCATCTTTACATTGTATAATACCTCTTTTAAATGAAAATATGAGCATTTGACTTGTATGCAGAATCACTGGATTTACTCGATTCATAGTTCTTGGCTTGTCCCTGGAGGTGCCTCCAGCTAGCTAGAACAAACAAACACAAGCCGGAGTCTGCAAGGTTGGAAGGAGGAAGAGAGGCTCCCCGAGTGGTGGAGTGGGCCTGGACCAACACTCGCCCAGGCACAGGGTTACTTGCAGGGAGAGTGCACACCCTCAAGGAAGGCCCGGGCTCTCCCCCACCATTCAGGGCACATGGGGCTTAATGTCTGTCCCATTCCTTCTTCCCACCAGCTGCTGCATCAACCAGCCATTTCCAGGTCAAGGGCAGGAAAGTCCCTCAGAGTCAGCCTCACAAGCACAAATGACCTCCAAGAATATTGCAACCTCTGTACCAGGACAGCTATGTGCCTGGATCAGGGGTAGGCCAGAGACTTGCCCCCACTGAGGCACCCCTGGCAAAGTGTAGAGCTGCCAGCCTGCTGGGGGCCAAGGGCAGCCCTGGGTCTTTGGGCTATGGAAGGAGATGGGTACTGAGAACTATCCCAGGGTGTCAGCAGGAGGCTGGACCATGTGTCAGCCAAAGACCCCAATGTATGCTCCATTGTCCCATTGGATTTCACTTACAAAATACGAATTCACAAATAAAGTGATTAAGAATTTCAAGATGGTGACCACAACCACAGAGCCCTAATCCCAAATGTGGGGCCACGTGCAACTGCACTGCTTGTGCCCCCTTAAAGCTGGTCCTGACCTCAAGCAATAGAGTGATGCTGGGAATGTCTGTCAACACAACTGAAAAGGAAATACGTGGGGTGTATAGGTATTTTGGGGAGCCTGTATATGTGTGGTGCTTCTCAGTGACACCTTAGAGGGGCTGTCCATTTGTTTAAATCCTATTTTTTTTTTTTTTTTTTTTTTTGGAGACGTAATCTCACTCTGTTGCCCAGGCTGGAGTGCAATGGCATGATCTCGACTCACTGCAACCTCTGCCTCCTGGGTTCAAGCGATTCTACTGCCTCAGCCTCCCAAGTAGCTGGGATTACAAGCGCACACCACCACAGCGGCTAACTTTTGTATTTTTTAGTAGAGATGGAGTTTCACCATGTTGGCCAGGCTGGTCTTGAACTCCTGACCTCAAGTGATCCACCAGCCTTGGCCTCCCAAAGTGCTGGGATTACAGATGTGAGCCACCAAGCCTGGCCAAAATCCTACAATTTTAATTGTCTTTTTAACCAATTTTTAAAAATTATAAAATAAAAGTAACATAGACTTTATCATGGTGACCATTTTGAACAGTTCAGCAGCATTAAGTACATCTACATTAGGGTGCAACCATTACCTCTGTCCCTCCCCAGAACCCTTTCATCTTGCAAAACTGTACCCGTTAAACAGTAACTCATCATTTCCTCCTCTCTCCAGCCCTGATGATCACTGCATTTTCTGTCTCAATGAATTTGACTACTCTAGGTACCTCATTTAAGTGAAATTGCCCAGTATTTGTCCTTTGCAATCAGTTTATTTCACTTCACATACTGTCCCCAAGGTTCATTCATGTTGTAGCCTGTGCCACAGTTTATTTCCTTTTTAGGGACGAATAACAGTGCATTGTATATGTACATTACATTCTGTTTATCCATTTATTCATTGATGCGTACTTGGGTTGCTTCCATGTTTTGGCTAGTGTGAATAATGCTGCTATGATCACAGATGTACAATTTATTGTCTTTTAAAACTTAGCTTCTGTCACTGAGTGTTACAATGATGCTGCAGCTACTCTGTGGGGACCTGGAACCTCAGAGACATGCCCAGATTTCATACTCAATGCTCCACTGAGGATTTGGGTTCCAGCCTGCATAGATTGGCAGCAGAAGGAAAATGTTTCCGAAAGAGACACCACTGAGCATTATTTTTCTTTGTTTCTGCAAAACAACTTTGGTTTATTTTCTCCCATTTGAGTCTTTGTTTTTACCTATGCAAATGTGATTCATCTTTCAGCACTGGAGAAGGGCCCTAAATAACATAATTACTTCACCAATCATCTACTTGGCTACTGGAAATCATCTTTTTAGTGAGGTCGACTGTCGTTGCTTGAGCTCTATACAGACTTCAAATGATGAGCACGCTTCTTTTCTTAACATGCTAATTTGCCTCTGAAGCCAGTGTTATTTTAAAAGGGGGGTTTAATTGGATATTAAATCTGCAATTGAAAGATTAAATTATGAAATAAACAAACATATCAATCTAATAGGTCTTTGGGAAAAAATCAGGAATTCCACTCTAGTTTTTAAATGCAAATGCATTCCAATATATATATTTAATTCTCTGCCCATTTTGCTGTGCTTTGTAGCTCTCAGCCTGAATTCTTTCCTGGGTTGCTTCCAAAGGAAATCATCTCAGGAGGCTGAGTAGGCTCAGGATTCTGTGAGCACTGGCCCCAAAATAACCTTTTGCTTAAAGACTTTACCTGTATAAATGAAATTCAAGAAATGTTGAGAAACCATTTTGAAATGAATAATACTGAAGCAATTCCAAGGGGTATAATTTGGGATGCATCAAAGGTGGTGGTAAGAGAATACATTTACCTCACTGTAAGTTTAAAGGAAATCAAAGATCAAAACAGATACATGCTCGAGAAGGAAATTAAGAAATGAGAAGTACATCATAGCTATAAAAAAATCCCAAATGATTCTTCAGAAAATTATTTCAAGGCAAAGTAATACCTTTTCTAATAGAAAAGTACATGAAACCCCCTCTCCTCAAGTTTATAAAGCAGGCTTCCTGGGAATAGGAAATAAAGATGAGTAGCTTTTCAACTCTACATTTTAAAAAGGTACAAGAAAACAAAGATTTTTTTTTAACCCCTAAAATAAGTACCTATCTGGGAGAATGGGAATACCACCATGATATGAGGGTCTCTTTAGATACAAGTGCTCTGGGCTGACAGAAATGAAAGCAATATTCATTAGCACCAACCACAACTCTGCAATCAGCCATGCTAGGCTGAATTAGGCACATCCACAGTGACAGAGTGCTCCTGGGGTAACCAAGATGGGGGCAAGGAGGAAAGCAGGTGATGGCACGTACTTGCCGCCATCTCTACCTCTTAGGAAAGCCTTGAAAATGTAATATTATGGCTGGGTGCAGTGGCTCATGCCTGTAATCCCAGCACATTGGGAGGCCAAGGTGGGCAGATCACTTGAGGTCAGGAGTTCAAGACCAGCCTGGCCAACATGGTGAAACCCCATCCCGACCAAAAATACAAAATATAATAGCTGGGTGTGGTGGCATGCGCCTGCAATCCCAGCTACTTGGGAGGCTGAGGCAGGAGAATTGCTTGAACCTGGGAGGTGGAGTTTGCAGTGAGCCAAGATGGCACCATTGCACTCCAGCCTGGGTGACAGAGCAAGACTCCAGCTCAAAAAAAAAGAAATAGTTTCTGATAAAGTGATAGAATGTTTTTGATTTGTCTCAAAAATAACATAGAACATGGCCAAGTGGGTAGGGACTCGGGTGAAACAAGACTGTCCAGGCGTTGATAACTGTTGAAGCCGGTAATGGGTACAGAGGAGCTCATATACCAGTGTCTATTTTGTATATGATTGAAATTTTCCATAACAAAAAGTTTATTTTAAAAGAAAAAAGCTGTCTTTACTTAGGAATCCTCTACCCATTTCCACAGGCAGAAGAATCTCACACTTTCTTTCCCAGAACAGGACCCATGCTAGTTCTATGTGGAGCCATAGCCCTTCTGGATTCCCAGTTCTGGCCACACCAACACTGACTGGGGACAATCACCCACTGACACAGCAGCCTGCTCCAGGAGATCAGGAGGCAGTACAGGAACCAGGTTTGCTGCAGGGGGAAGGAGACAGGGTAGGGTCCTTGTGATGGGACTTGAAGAATCTCAAAGAGCCCACACTGGATTCCATTCAGCAATCATCTGGCTTAGAGGCCAACATTCTTTTTGTTGAGTTTGACTTACAGCAAGTCTCTTTCCCCTTTCTTTTTCTTCTTTTTTTTCCCTTTGTATCAGGATGCAAATGTATCCTCTTCACTCCCTATAAATGGCTAGTCCTTTAAGGCAGGTGTCCCTAACCTTTTTTGCACCAGTGTCTGGTTTTGTGGAAGACAATTTTTCCACGAACCAGAGGTGGAGAGGTTGGTTTTGAGATGAAACTGTTCCACCTCAGATCATGAGGCATTAGATTCTCAAAAGGAGCACGCAACCTAGATCCCTCGCATGCACAGTTCACAATAGGGTTGGTGCTCCTATGGGAATCTGATGCCACTGCTGATCTGACAGGAGGCGGAGCTCAGGCGGTAATGCTCACTTGCCTGTGGCTCACCTCCTGCTGTGTGGCCCAGTTCCTGCTTTAAGGAAGAAGGGAAAAGGAAAAGAAAACCATTGACTAAATGCTTATTGACTAAGCGTTAAACAAAGAGCCAGGCATTTTACATATGATAGTTCATGTAATCCTGTCAGATGAGGCAATTTTTAAAAATCCCATTTTAAAAAAGAGGCAACTGAGATGGTGACATTAATTATTAAATTGAAATTCAAATTATTAGCATGAATTTTTTCATCTTTACATTGTGTAATACCTCTTTTAAATACAAATATGAGCATTTGATTTGTATGCAGAATCACTGGATTTACTCAATTCGTATTTTGTGGCTTGTCCCTGGAGGTGCTTGCAGTTAGCTAGAAGAAACAAACATAAGCCAGAGTCAGCAAGGTTGGAAGGAGGAAGAGTACCTTTGGTTGCAGACTAAAATAGCAGACCAAACTCAAACCGTTTCAAACAACAGGAGAAACTTTTTGGCTAAGGTAACTCCCACAGTGCTGCAGGTGGCAGCGACAGTTTTTCCAGGGCTGTGGTTCCTGTGTCCCTGTGAGTCTCCAGACTGCCTTCCTCCACGCACTGGCTTCATCCACAGGCTGGCTTCCCTCAGAGCAAAAAGGCCACCGCAGCCTCAGCCTACCCCCATCGAGGCAAGAAAGAGCTTCTTCTCTTGATTCAGCACAACAAGCCAAGTCCTGCAGTTCATTTGGATTAGACTAATCAATTATTATGGACAGGGAGAGCCATGTGATAAGCAGCTCAGTCCCATCTCTTGACCACAGCAAAGAAAGAGGATGAGATTATATTGCATGGTTATGCCAATTAAGGCCCACCCTTGGGGCTGGGACTTTGGTTAATTTGCCCGAAACCACAAGACTGCTGCAAAGTGAAATAATTTCTATAAAGCAGAGAACTACATTCATCAGAGTTCCACAGAAAAATAGTTGGAGAGAATTAGCTTTCCCAGGGGTCTTTGTGCTTGTCCATTCACAAGAAAGGAGCTCTCGGAGAAACAAAGCTGCCCCTCGTCCACCTATCCTGGTGTGACCCAGCTTAGCGTCTGAGCAGAGGAAAAGTGTTGGTGGCCATTTCTGGTATGGGGAAAAAGCAAAAGGGAAGATGGTGCTGAAACAGCCGAGCGGATAACTTTTGCCTTCAATATACAAGAGATATTGAGAGAGGATGTGATAGGGAGAGAAGCTTTTTTTTTTTTTTTTTTAAGACAGAGTCTTAATCTGTCACCCAGGCTGGAGTGCAGTGGCACAATCTCAGCTTATTGCAACTTCCACCTCCTGGGTTCAAGCGATTCTCCCACCTTAGCCTCCCAAGTAGCTGGGATTACAGGCACCCACCATCATGCCCGCCATACAGGCACCCGCCATCATGCACCCATACAGGCATACATGCCTGCCATGCATGCACCCATACATGCACCCATACACCCATACATGCACCCATGCATACATGCACCCATACATACATGCAGCAGGCATACATGCACCCATACACCCATACATGCCCACCATACAGGCACCCACCATCATGCCCAGCTAATTTTTGTATTTTTTAGTAGAGATGGGGTTTCACCATGTTGGCCAGGCTGGTCTTGAACTCCTGACCTCAGGTGATCCACCCACCTTGGCCTTCCAAAATGCTGGGATTACAGGCATGAGTCACTGCACCTGGCTGCTTTATTTTGTTTTCAATGGTGTTTGCTGTGCATTGATCATTGTCTCTTTCTTTTAATGTTTGCTAGAGAAATGGAGTAAAGAAGTGAAGAATTAGTAATTAATTTAAATTGTTGGATTGTGTTTCTCCGAACATGCTACTGGGCTGAGAATGGACCATGTAGGGCTCTGGGATTTATTCAGGTTACCTAGCAAATTGAAGCAAGATATCATCAAGAACCAAAAAAGAATAATATGGACAAAGTGTGTTCTGGCTGTGTAGAAGCTGAGGGCTGCTGGAAGCGGGAAAGTCCTGGTGGAGGAAGTGGAATCTGATATCCAGCAGTGCAGAAGGTTTGGCTGGTGAAACTGAGGGGAAGGTGTGAAATTGGCAAAGAAAAAGTTGGGAATCTGCAGAGAGAGAGTAATAGCACACAGTGGGGAGGAAGCACAGCCTGGAGGCAGGAAGGACAGGGTCCAAGCATTGGGCAGCCAGGGAGAAAGGGAAGGCCATCAGGAGGGGAGCTGGGGAGATTGCCAAAATTCACCCTTTATTAGGAGAGCTTAGATGTAAAATATGGCCCTCGACACTATTGAATATATCATAGCAGTTAGATGGACTCAACTCAATGTGCATATCGTACATGGATAGAACTCAAACACATGGTGGTGAGCAAAACAAGAAAGAACCAGAAAAAAGTCTGTAGCACACTATCATTGATGTAATTTAGAAACCTCTACACCCATCAAGCTAAACTTTACAAGGACACAGACAACCAAGGACACCGTGTGCATCAAACTCATTAGAGAGGGCACCTGCAGGGAGGAGCAGGTGCACACAGGGGCTAGAATGGAAGAGGAGAAAAACAAGGACCTCCCCCAAACAAGAGAGGGAACTGGCATGGAGAGGTGATGGTGAAGTGGCAGGAATTAGGGGATAAGGTTACCTTAACTTCCTAAATCTACATTCAAAAAGGAAAACGTGCAAAAGACAGTCTTAGTTGACCACACAAGGCCAAGAGGAGAAGGGCTGTGGGCGCCAGTGGCAGCTCCTCCCATCTCCCCTGCTTTTGATGCTGCGAAAGGGAATAGCAGGTAACTCCACATCCAGGAGCTGCCACAGCAGGACACGGGATCAGGGATGGCCCGTGGGGTAGCAGAAAGAGCACAGGAGTTCCCTGGCCTGCCACCATCTGGCTGGTGACCGGTCAACTCCCTTCCCTGTTCTGGGTCCAAACTGCTTATCTATAAAATAGAGGGTTTGCACTGCAGGTCCTCTATAGACCCTTCCAAATCTAAAATCCCTACCCTTCCTCCTGACCTAGGAGAAAATACCAGCAACCTAAGGAAAGTTCAGCTCCAGTCACCTCCCGATTCTGGGCCATCCCAGAGGGTAGAGTCAGGCTCCACGATTTGATTTCATGGCCGGTGAATATAAAGCAAATCCATCAATGACCCCTCAATACACTGATATGAGAATTACAAATCAATCTTCATAGAGGTTATATTGTCTTTATAGTGTGCTTTGCATACGTTTGTATGACTCATGAAACCCTAAACATTTGTTTTTCTCTAAAAGAAGGAGTTATATTCAGTGACCGAAATGAACCATGCCAGTGTGTGTGTGTGTGTGTGTGTGTGTGTGTGTGTGTGTTTGGTGTTGGAAATGGGTGTAAATGCTGTTATTTTCCTTTCAGTAATGAACTGATTTCCTCATCTAGGCAGGAGCACTCAAGGAATCAATGCTATTGACCACTGCCACAATTGTCATGTTTTAAGCCATTTCTCGTTTTATTCATGCTCTCGTGTATCTCCTGTGTTTGACAAGCTCTTTCTCTGGGTAATAAAGGACCATTTCTAGTTCCCTAGAACTGTTTATTTTGTCCCCTATTGTTTATTACAATGCAGGTGTGGACTATTTGTGAATTTGCCTAAGTAACAGAATTGAAGGTAGAGTAGTTGTAGACTCAAAATTTATTTATGAAGCATTAATATGGAACCTGAGCCTGGAAAGGTGGCGGGTGAGGGATTTCTGTGGGAGCCGGGAATGTTCTGCCTCTGGATTAGGGTGTTGGTTACACAGGGTATGTTCAGTTTGGGAAGACCCATCAAGCAGTACATTTATGTGTTTTTCTGCATATATATTATATTTCAATTATATATATATTTAATAAAAGTATTGAAGTCACCAGTAGCTCATATTCTTGTGGGGATGTGTAGGGATTAACAATCATTAATAGACTTGGTTACTAGTAGTCAAATTTCATCTCAGGCTCATAGAAGTTTAAACATGGAAGGGATCTTAGAAATAATTCAGTTTAATTTTTAATTTGCAGCTGAGGAAACACAGGCCCAGATGGAAAGTGGCTTGCCCAATCCCACACAGCAAGGCAGAGATGGATCCATCCAGCTCTCTCCTCCCAGCCAGGGCTTAGCGACAACACAGCTACAGGTGAGATGGTGCAACCAAAGAGAGCTGAGCTGTTGGAGACAAACATTGTGTTTATTCAGATATTCTCTGGTGGTTTCAGTCTAAACTGAGGAATTATTTGTGTTGAAGGTCACCTACCATCCTATAGTAATCTGTGGCAAAATTACTGGAATCTACATCTGAAAGTCCTTCTGCGGGTTCTTACTTCTAAGTCAAAGATTATCTGAATTAAGGCTGGATATGTGTTTGTGAAGGGAGAAGGAAATAATTTACCAGCGATTGATGGGTGCTGTTTACATATAGAAGCATTTTTTTTTTTTTAGTTTGGAGCTAAGGTAATTTGCTTTTAGATATGCAGAATAAGGCAAGGCCATTTCTGTTTCCTGCCTTTCTCCTCCCAGGGGCATGAGAGGCTCAGAGGCCTGGTCCTCTGGCTGGTGGAGCCTTGGAGGCAGTAGTGAAGATCCCTGGAAGAGGGAGGCCATGAAGAGGGATGCAGATACCTGGCAAGCCCACCTCCCTTCTATGCCACCTGCCAGCCTTCTCTGACATTCCCAAACCAGGGACCAACACCGCCAATCAGGGAAGATTTACACGCATTTAATTATGTAAGTCTCATTAGTTGACGCAGAGGGAACTCGTACGATGAACACACTCTGGCAAGTCAGTTATTTAGCACCTCTCCCTACCTGCTCCACCTGGAAGAGGCCCATGAAATAAATGCCCTGAGTCGTTTGGGCAGTAAACTAGAAACTCAGAATCCATAACTCAGGTTTCCTACACTGTCAGTGTAGGAAATGCTGTATTGGCAATTTCAAACAAATAAACTGGTTTTGGGGGAGGGAGTGGGGTGCTGAGAAGGGAAGGGGAGGGAGGGACAGACACAGGGAAGGGGAAACAGAAAGAGGATGAGAAAGCATGCCCTAAACAAGGAGGCTGCCACTGAAGTTTGTGCTTCAGGCCAGAACAAAAGGCAGAGGCCTTTAGCAAGGCAAGTGCTGAAGTCCACAGGCAAGGAAAAGAAAAGACTTTAAGCAATGATTAAAAGAGGCAGAGAAACTCATAACCTGTGTTTGTTGTACCAGAAAGAAAAGCTTATACATATAGTTTATTAGTTTCCACCATTGTCATCGCCTCTGGCAGCATGTACAGTAGGAAATACCAGAAGGGAGGAAAAAAAGCAAAACAAAACTTAAACTTGATTCCCCTCCTGCTAACCCTGTCCTGTCAAGCAAGGCGAGATAAGGGGAACAGTTCACCTTGTCCTCCTGAAGATCAGGCCATCAGGATAGGGTGGCCTAGGGATCACCACGAAAAGCAAATGAGTTGTTGTTGCTGTTACAACTCAAAACCCCTTTTAGAAGCTGGGGCCCCAGCCAGGCTTTAGAAGTCCACAATGGGCATTGTTTCAGGAATCCCCCACCCTGCAGAAAAGGGACTTTATTTTTGTTCCATCGCAGCAGAGCTCTAGCTAACGTCCAGCCTCAGGCCCTTTCCCGCACAGCTACCCCTGGCAGGACGCTCGCCGGTTTAGCCCAGCCTGTCTGCCCCTCCACCTTTTGCCTTCTCTAATTCTCCCCAGCTCTCTCTCTCCTCTTTTTTTTTTAATAGTAAAAAAAAAAAGCTGGAGAAGCTACTTGAAGTCTGGGGTTTGGACAGGAGGTGAGATCACTCTCCCAGAGGCACCATGGGGCAGAAGTGGAGAGCCAGGCACTGTCCCCAGCTGGCCTATCCTGGCCACTTCCTTCCCAGGCCCATGTGGGTCACTGGGCTCCTCAGAGTTGGTGTGACCCTGGGTTCCATGGGAAAGGTCTGCTCCTCACTCCAGCCCAGGCCTCTTTCTGATCCGTAGGCAACGGCTGTGGTCTGGGCAGGCTGCTTTCTCCTAACCTGCCTTAGGGTTTCTTTCAGCTTAAAACAAAAACAGGGTGCTCCATGCACACTGTTTCTAGATTCCATTATATTTAGCAAGCACGAGGCCCTGAGTCTGCTGAGAAGGGCTGAGTGACTTTTATTAGTGATTCATGAACTGGGCAGCATCCAGTCTACAAAACAGACTGGAGCTCCACTGGGTGAGGCAGAAGAGTGGGTTTCTGTAAGGCAACTTGAGCAGGAACGGGGAGATAGCCTACTGCAAAAAGCAGATTGGTTAACATCAGGTCACTTCAGGTTACTCTCCTTGTGTGGGTTAAAGCAGACGGGGCTCCCTTATCACAAGCTCAGTTGACTGGGCCCCTTTTGATGGGTTGCTGTGAATCTCTTGTTTCTTGGTAAACGTTCCTATTTGGGTGTTAGGCTACTGTCTCTCCTGATTTCTCAGAAGGCCAGATCTTAAAGGTAAACAGCTTAGGTTTCAGTTTGGTGATATGGGCCTTAGCATGAGTGACTTCACTTTAGATTGGTTTGTCAGGGTTTAGTGCAGGAGCTCAGTCTAAATCAATGGTCTTCCATAAATTTTATCTCACTGAGAGTGTTTGTGACGTATGTGTTATGTATGAGCACACTCCAAAGCCAAACACAGGTTGGGTCATTCATTCAATAAATGTTTACTAAGCTTCTATTTTGTGCCAGGCACTGCTCTGAAACTTACAGACCAGCAGTGAACAAAACAGATAATTTCTGACTCCATGGAGCTTACATCCTAGTTGGAGAGACAGAAAAAATACTAAATAATTCTTTAAACATTAAGGTAATCCTTCTACTAAGGCAAATAAAGCTGGGAGACAGGTCCAGAGTACGTGGTGGGAGGAATACAATATTAAACAGAGTGGTCAGGAAAGGCCTCACTGACTGCAAAATTGCTTGGGGATAGGCTGCTGTTTTGAAATCTTTCTACCTCTGCTTCTTCTTTGCCTAGTGTACAAATGATGAGGATAAAGTCAGTAGCCCAAAGCCTTGCCGTCAGCAATCTGTATCTCCAATATAAGATAACAATTCCTCTTAAATACCCAAATCACAAAAGTCCAGGCCCCACCTGTCAAATCAGCAGGAAGTTTAGACTTCTCTTGGGTTTTTCTCCCAAAAGATTCCTGAGAATCATGGAATGAGTTAGACTTGTCCATTAATCAGTCCCCTTTTTTGCTACCATCCAGAGAACCAGTTCAAGTCTCTGGAGGCTGGATGTCCGGCCTTCACCCTGGCACAGTGGGCTGTGGGCTCTGCGGTCCAGTTGCTAGTCAGGAGACGTCCTGGTGGCCCCTGATTCGTGTTCACGTTCACATCACTGTTCCTGCGGTTCTCTACACATTCACCTTGGTATTAGCTCTCTTTGCCCCTGGTCCAGCATACCTCTTCAGCTTCCAAGTATGGGTCACCTTCCTTATGTAAATTTCCTCTTGGGACTGTATTTTCTTTTAAATAAAAATTGGCCTTGTCCGAGAACTTACTTCATCAGATATAGTCATGTATCTTTGAATGTCTCCTCCTAACTCTGTAAATTTGTGAATGACGTGGGGGGCACAGCCCAGCTCTGTCTGGTGGCACTGGGGATCCAAACGCAGATGAAGCAGCTCAGGAAGTGGCGATACCTTGCTGCTCCGCCAGCGGGGCCAACACAAAGTGCTGTCAGCTACACGGACACCAGTTTGTTTGTGTTGTGACTCTGAAAGGAAGCCATGGCATTGCTTTCCACAAATTATTACTAAAAAACTGTTCTGTTAATATTTGAAATATTTAAACACAAAAGTACCTACCATTCAGATTTAACAAATTGTTAGCATTTTACCATTTTGCTTAAGACCTTATATTTTTAAAGCAACAGAAACTTGGTATCCTGTGCACTTTGATTCTATGCAGTTAGTGAGCTTGGATAGTGACGGTTCAGACAGGAAGCTTAGAGAGCAATGCACACCATTTTATCAGAATCTGCGTAGGTCTTCAGTTTCAGGTCGTAAGATTTCAGAGAGTGAGGAGATACCATTTCCTCCAAACAATTCTCTTTCAAAAAAAATCACTGGCCTCTATTCAGTTCCTAAGTAGAGAAAAGAGTTCAAATAGTAATAATTATAGGTGTTATAGATATAGTTGGGGCCTTTTGTGTGTTCCTCTCAATTTCATTCTCTGCTCCCTCTCCCGTGGCTGCCATTGTCCTGAAGCTGGTAGGTATCATTTCCGTCCATGTTTCCCACTTTACTATATGTGGATATTTTAATAAACAATACATAGTCTTTTGGTAGGGGTTTAAATATTACTTTAACAGTATTATACTATATGCATCATTCTGCAGTATGTTACTTTGTACTTTAGGTTTGCCTGCTGTTGCATGGATACAGTTTTCTTTTTTAAATTCCTATTTCTTCTTGTAGAATTAAATCTTTTATTTGTTTTAATTTAATTTTATTTTTTTGAGACAGAGTCTCGCTCTGTCGCCAGACTGGAGTGCAGTGGCATGATCTTGGCTCACTGCAACCTCCACCTCCCGGTTTCAAGTGATTCTTCTGCCTCAGCCTCCCGTGTAGCTGGGACTACAGGCGTGTACCGCCACACCCAGCTAATTTTTATATTTTTAGTAGTAACAGCGTTTCACCATGTTGACCAGGATGGTCTCGATCTCTTGACCTTGTGATCCACCCGCCTCGGCCTCCCAAAGTGCTGGGATTACAGGCATGAGCCACCGTGCCCAGCCAGAATTAAATCTTTTATTGAGGGAACATAAAGGTAGCTCTCTGAGTTTTTGCATCTCTTAAAATGTCTCTATTATGCTTTCACTCAAATGATGAAGTAGATGAGTACAGAATTGTAGATTGACAGTTTGTTTCTTTCAACACTGAAAATATTGCTTTCCTGCCATCATGCATTTCTTGATGTTGATGAGAAGCCTGCTGCCATTTCAATTGTCATTACTCTGTAAGTGACCTGCCTTTTTTGTCTGTTAGCTTTTAAGCTTTGCAGCTTCACAACAATGTGACTAGGTGTGAATTTATTTTTAATGATTTTGCTTGACATATAAAGTGTGCATTTTCATGCCGAGAACCCATGTCTTTCTCAATTCTGGAAAATTCTTGAATATTCTTGAATATAATTTTTCTGCCATTTTTTTTTATTTTCTTCTGGACTTCCTGTTAATTGTTAATCAGAACTTCTCAGTCTATTCTTGGTAGGCTCTGATTATCTAGTGCTGTACCACAAACCACACCAAAATGTGACTTAAAACAATAATTTATTGTTATTTCTCATGGTTCCATGGGGTGATTGGACTTGGCTGAGTTGTTCTCACTTGGGACCTCTTGTGCAGTTGAGGCCAGATGCCAGCTGGAGCAAAGTCATCCAGAAACTTGACTGGGTTAGACATCCAAGATGACTCACTGGCCCCATGGCTCATGGGCCCAAAATGTCTGACAGTTGATGATCCCATGGGTGGGAGCTCACCTGGGACTGTCCATTGGCACACCTACCTGTTGGCTTTCCATGGGTCTTAGTCAGCTCCCCATGTGGCTCAGACTTCTCGCAGTATGATTACTGGCTTCTGAGAGGGAGTGTTTCAAGCACCCCGGGCAGAATCTGTCAAGAATTTTTAAGACCTAACCACAGAAGCCCTAAATAGCACCCCTACCACATTCTCTTGGTCAAAAACATCATAAGGCCAGCCCAGATTCCAGAGGAGGGGAGACACTGCCTCTTGGCAGGAGAGTAGCCTGTGTGTATGGGGAGAGATGGAATTAATGGTGGCCATCTTTGCAGGAAAGTTACCACACCGTGCCTCTGAAGTCTCCTCTTACTCAGTATTTCTTTGTTGCTGTGTTGTGTTCTGCATGAATTCTTCAGTGCTATCTTTCAACTTACTAATTATCATCGTGACTGCATCCAAGCTAGGTTTTATTGCATCTACTGATTTTGTATATTTTATGATACTTCTTGTTTCTGATGTTTCTAACTAGTTCTTTTTCCTATCCACCTTTTCTTGTTATAGAGTCACCTGTTTTGCTTAATTATGCCTTATTCATTTTTCTATATTTTATTTTTTAATTTATGTTTTTGAACATGCTAACCATAACTATTTCAAACTAATTAATATTCACCAATTTGAGAGGTATTTGTGTGCTAAGATTAGTAAGATTTGCTGATGTTTGGATATGTTGAGAGAGTAGGAGTGTGAAGAATAAAACTCCAAGTTATATGCCTTATTTGGATGAAGTTAGAGACTATGGAAGAAGACCAAGCTTGCAGGAGAAGGTTATAAGTTCCTTCTGAAGCCCTATTAAGGCAGTTGGACAGACCATGATCATGAATGTTAATTTTGACTATGGACTAGGAGAAATATAAATACTCTACAAAGATAGGCTCCAGTTATTGATCCGAGGATAATTCAATAGCTATAATCTCAAGATCTACCTTCATTTATTTATGAACTTATTTAATTCTTCCATATGCAAGTGCATCAATATGCTGTTAGCAACTTTGATAGTCCTTTCTTTAAAGTTGCCATTATTTACTTCTAAACATTTTCCTATTACATCCACTATCATGGACCCAAATCTCTGCTTCAGAAGTATTCTCAGAAATGAAAGTGAGGGAAATGACAGAGAAAGTGAGGGCAGAGATGAACATCAGATCCAAAATTCATCTCTGCCAATTGCTCTATATGTTAGGAGGAAACAACTTCTAGTGCCTTGTTACTTCTTTCTTTCTTTTTTTGGAGTGCTTCCATTTATACCTCTGTGTTTCTCTACCCCTTCATTTTGTCATTTACCTGCCTTGCTTGTTCTGGCCCAGACTGGGAGTCAGAAGAGTTGACTCTGAGCACAGTGAGGTCCAACTTCTTGTGGGATGACAGAGGGTAGGGGAATCCTGCACGTGGGGGGGTAAGCCATGCTCCCCTGGATGACTGACACAGCCAGAAGGCAGTTCTCCCCAAGATGTACTGCCAGGGGAACATGTTTGAGAATGATTGCAAGAGGTATTAACATACTTCCTCCCAGACTTATAGGCTAATGATTTTATAATTGAGACCCAGAAGTCTCATCTTAAGTTAATGAAGTGATAGGATGCCTCTTCAAAAGCACTTGGTAAATATTCATTGATGAATGAATGAAGAAACAGACCTAGATAAATTAAGTAATGACAGCACAACAATAGCAGCAAACCCAAAGAGTGGTGACTCTGTGTGCTCTCAGCGCCCGCTGACTAAGGTGTTTTATGCATTTGGAATTCATTACTCCTCACAGTAATTTTATAAAGTGGGTACTTTCTTAACTCCATTTTCAGATGGA
Organism: Homo sapiens; assembly: GCF_000001405.40. Taxonomy (NCBI): domain Eukaryota; kingdom Metazoa; phylum Chordata; class Mammalia; order Primates; family Hominidae; genus Homo; species Homo sapiens. The sequence continues at coordinate 152,218,643 of NC_000004.12, read as the reverse complement.
AACCTGAGACATGAGCGGTTTCACAGCCAGCAAGTGGCAGAGCTAGGACTCGACCCCCTACAGTCTGGCTCAAGCATTTGGCACTACTATACAACCCTCTCTGCCTAAGTAACCTGTCCAGGTTCCTGCATGGAGATTACTTACAACCAGGTTTGTCTGACTGATATCAGACTATGTGCTTTCAGCCACCATTCTCTATTTCCCTGAAGGATCATTGCCTATCAAGGAAGTTTCTTGTGAGGGCACCCTCCAGCTTCAGGCTGCTTTATTTAGCTAGTCGATGAATCTTACAAAAGAAAATACAGAGTTAAGAAATCTTAAAACTAACTGCTGGTTGTCATGCAGGGCAAAAAAAAAAAGGAGAGATATATTTGTTTGACTAAATTTTCTACTCATCCATCTTTCTGGGAAACCAACTAAAGTTATTCTCCAAAAGTCACAACACAAATCTTTAGCAAAATGAGGACTTGCAAAGAGGCAGACCTCAGTATTTATTGTCAAAACAGATGATGGAGGCCACCTACTCCCACCTGCTCATTTCACAGGCGAGAAAGCCAGGCACAGAGAGATTCAGTGTGTCTTATTCTAAGTTATGCACGTGATGAGTGGCGGAGCCAAGACTAGAAGCAGATCTCTTGACTCTTTGCTTAACAAACTGTGCATTATTCCTGTTCAGCCTCAGGTTTCTCTCTGTGCCCTGAGCAGTTAGCATTTCATCCATTCATTATTCAGTCACTTATTCATTCACCCCCCACCCCTCATATATTTACTGAGTGCTTTCTCTGTGCCAAGCTCTATTCTCTGTGCTGGTCTTTGAGTGGGATATAGGAAAGATATAATTTCTGCATCCATGGTGTTTACAATTGACTGAGGGAGACAGGCCCCAGATAAACAAATTAAGTAATAAAAAGAAAATGTCTGGGAGTGAAAACGGCCATGATGAAAGCAGGTGTGAAAGAAAGGGGCCTACTGGAGCCCAGGGGTCACGAAAGGTCTTGTGGGAGTTGCATTTAAGCCACTTATTGAGTGGTGACAGCGAGGAAGAGCATCCCAGGGCCAAGGCTGGTGGAGGAGCACATGCTAGGAGTGTCTGAAAAGCAGGAAAAAAGGACCATGTGAAGGAGGGAGAGGGGACTGGGATGCTGAATTTTATGAGTGGACTTGACACAGAGTGCCCAGATTAAACACTATTTCTAGGCATATTTTTGAGGTTGTTTCAAGATGAAATTAGCATTTGAATCTGTGGATTCCGTAAAGTAGATCTAGCTCGGTGTGGGTGAGCATCAGCCAATTCCTTGAGGGCCTGAACAGAACAAAAGGCAGAGGGAGGAGAAATTTGCCCCTTTGCTTCCTGCTGTGTACTTGAGCTGGGACATCAGTCTTCTCCTGCCCTTGGACTGGGATTTACACCCTCAGCCTCTGGTTCTCAGGCCTTCAGACTTGGACTGGAATTATACTCTTGGTCTCCTCTCCAGTTTGCAGACAGCAGATCATGGGACTTGATCTGCTCAGCCTCAATAATCACGTGAGCCAATTCCTCATAATAAATGTGTGTGCGTGTGTGTGTGTGTGTGTATTTATATACACATACCTCCTATTGGTTCTGTTTCTCTGGAGAACCCTAATACAGAGGTGACCTATTTTGTAGAGCGTGACAGTCCGATCAAAAAGACTTGTCAAGCCATTAAGAAAGATGATTACAATGCTATATAGCAAGCTGGAAATTGATCACAGTATAATGTGGGAGAAAAAAGCAGGATATAATTATATGGAAGCCATGACTACAACTCTATGAAAATATTGAAAGGAAAATGATTCGGATGGTCACATAGAGTTGGAGGATTATGGATAATGTGGTTTCTTTTTTCCCCATTTCTTTAGTGTTTCCAATTTTTCTCTGTGCTTCATTGCTTAAATTAAGAACTGAAATGGATAAAAATAAACTGTAGCTGATGCTTTAAAAAAAAGAACTAGGCTCCAGAGTGTTCTAGATTAGTCTTGAGATACATTTTTCTTAACTTAAATATTTTAAAGTAATATATACATATAGATTTTAAAAAGCAAATAGTAGACCCTACCCCTTCCCAACTCCAAGTTACATTCTCCTGAAGCAACCACTTTCAAGTCTTTTGGCTGTTTTTTTTTTCTTCTTACAGTAATTCTTTTTTTTTTTTTTTTGAGACAGAATCTCACTCTGTTCCAGGCTGGAGTGCAGTGGCACAATCTCGACTCACTGCAAGCTCCGCCTCCCGGGTTCACGCCATTCTCCTGCCCCAGCCTCCTGAGTAGCTGGGACTACAGGCACACGCCACCATGCTCAGCTAATTTTTTATATTTTTAGTAGAGATGGGATTTCACCGTGTTAGCCAGGATGGTCTCGATCTCCTGACCTCGTGATCTGCCTGCCTCAGCCTTCCAAAGTACTGGGATACAGGTGTGAGCCACTGCACCCGGCCTTCGTATAGTAATTCTTAAATTTTTAAATAACATGCCTCTATTTCTACTGCTTGATTTCCCAACATCCTAGGAATTCTTTTTATTTCTCTACAACTTTAGACTGTACTTTTTCTTAGTTCCCATCTTGGTTTACTTTATTGACTTATTGTTTTACTGGGACATAACTTTTTTAGGAAGAATGCATGCAAAATAAACTCGCATGTTTGAATAAGCCTTCATTCTATTCTCATATTTGATTGAGAATTTGACTAGGTGTATAACTATAGGTGAGAAATACTTTTTTGTTTAGTTTTTTGAAAGCATCACTCCACTGTCTGTGAGGTTTTACTGTGGCTGTTGAAAATTTAATAACATTCTCATTTCTAATTTTTTATATATGACCTATTCCCCCTACTCCCTACACCATGTGTTTTAAGTTCTTCTCTTTATCCCTGCTATATTGGAATTTCACTCAATGTGACTTGTTGTGGATCTTTTTATTATTCATTTTACTTGACACTCAAGGGTCCTTTTCCAACTGAAAACATGTACCCTTAAATATGGGGAATTTGTGTTTAATAATTTTGCTTGGTTTTCTGTTTTCTCCTTTTGGAGTCCCTATTACTTGTATGTTGGACCTCTTGATAGATGTCATATTTTCTTTTCTCTGTAATTTTCTATCTTTTAAATTCTATTTCCTGAAAGAGTTCTACTTTTATCATCCAGTTCCTTCTATTGAATTTTTAGATGTCTGCTATGATGTTTCTAATTTTAAAAAACTTTCTCTTTCTCCGGATGTTCCATTTTATAACATTTAATTCTTGCTTCATAGATGCAATGTTATCCCTTATCTTTCAATATTAATTATAGTTTGTTACCATTGTAGTTTTCCTCAGTACTTGCCTTGATTCTATTCCCTCCTACTTTCTTCCCCGCCTCCCCCAACAAATTGTTTGTTTTGATGTATGGCCTTCATATTGGGAGCTTTCATCAAATGTCTGTTAACATATGGCCATCTCTTTGCATTTCAGACTGGGACACAAAAGAGATGACCAGAAACTGGGTAGGAGAGGGATAAGGCTTATGGAGAGGAGACTTTCTTCACAATAGGACAAATAGTGGGGACTTGCTGGTTGCATTAGGGAACCCCCAGAAATAAGGGTTCTTAGATTTGGGGGAATGGGGTCAGTCATCAGTCTTTTTCTCCAGAGACAAAATTTCTAATCTGCTTTCTTGGAATTAGGGTTGGAGTGGTAATAATAATAATAAATATGTGTGGGAATGGGAGAGAGGCTGTCACCAAATCCAGTGTGCTTTCAGTTATGTTTGGTGTTAAGGTTAGACCTCTTTCAACTCAATTTCTCCTGAGACAAAACTTACAGTCTTTGGAATAGAGGAGGACCAGCCGTCTTGCTTAGTATATAGAGGGAAAGAATCCAGGCTCAATTACTCCTTATACAGACTTTTAACCAGTCTTCTAGTTTTCAACCCCACCCCTCATCCCAGTCTTCTGGTGTATGTGGTGCTTCCAACCTCTAAGGCTTTCCAGGGTCTTAGAAAGAGATAATAGAGAAAATTGAGGAAATATAAATGTTATTGGACTAGTGAAAACTATCAATCTACTGATCTGGGAAACAACCCATCTTAGATGAAATTCAGACATTTAAAGAAATTCAGACATTATAGCAGACATTTAAAACCTTAGTAGAAGGGATTGGAGATAAACATTGAAGAACTCTTTCAGGAAACAGAATTAAAAAGACAAAAAGTTGCAGAGAAAAGATAAGAAAATGTGATATCAATCAAGAAGTCCAATACACAAATAATAGGGGTTCTGAAAGGAGAAAACAGAAAACAGGGAGGGGCAAAATCATTAACCTCTAAGATTACACTCTCATAGACTAACTTGTTGTTGGATCTTTTTATAGGAGCTTAGCAAAGTTCATAAAGCTGAAGCCTAACTCAGCACTTATGCCAATACTTTAATTTGTTACAGTATGTAATTTTTAAGACATTAAAAAGAGTACACCTGCTGTATCTACATGTTAAAAGCCTAATGATAAAATGAATACTAATGAATACACCTTCAAATAAAGAAAAGTAGCACGTTACTAATATTAGTGAATTTCATCTAAGATAGATTATTTCCTGGATCAGTAGATGGATACTTTTCATTTGTTCAAGAACATTTACACCTCTTCCATTTTCTTCATTATCTCTATGTAAGGCTCTATCACACCTTCTCACTTTGGCTTCCAGTTTTCTTAACCTCTCCCTCATATTTCCCACCTTGTCTCTTTATATTTGCTGAATGTATTTTAACAAGGATCTCAGTATATCTGGGCAATAGAGCTTGCCACAAAGTCTAATCTGTCATACTCCTGGAAATGAAAGTTCCAGGTCTCATCCAGCTTGTCATGTTTAATTGGCATCAGTAGCCTACTCTCATCTCCTTTTCTTTTTCTTTTTTTTAATGTATGTGATTGTAAACGTCTTCAATTCCTTTTCTATCATTTCAGAGGGGTTCCGGGAGAAATATGTGATAAACACTATATGGTTTGGCTGTGCTTCCACCCAAATCTCATCTTGAATTGTAACTCCCATAATCCCCATGTGTTGTGGGAGGGACCTGGTGGGAAGTAATTGAATCATGGGGGTGGTTTTTCCTGTGCTGTTCTCGTGATAGTGAATAAGTTTCATGAGATCTGATAGTTTCATAAAGGGCAGTTCTCCTGCTCATGCTGTCTTGCCTGCTGCCATGTAAGACATGTCTTTGCCCCTCCTTTGCCTTCTGCCATGATTGTGAGGCCTCCCCAGCCATGTGAAACTATGAGTCCAGTAAACCTCTTTTTGTTTATAAATTAGCCAGTCTCATGTATATCTTTATTAGCAGCATGAGAACAGACTAATACAAACACTGTTGTTCAATCTGAAATGTATAAGTGGAAGTTGGTTAGGTGTCTTTTAAAATTGTGCAGCATTGCACTGGGGGGTCTAATATCTCCAAACAAGTAAACTTGTATAGAAGTCTACTGAAATAATCATTTGATATATTTTTGCCTAAGTGAAATTATTGGGACAAATCCCTAAGTGGCATTGCAAGTGTTTCCCTTTGGCATCCTAGGTAGGGAACCATCTCGTGGATACAAGGATTCTTTCTGAGACTTATCCAGATGGAAATCTTCACTTCAAAAATAAATCTTTGTATCTCATAACAAAACCTTTAGAAAAAATACATTAGTCATCTTTATCAAAAAACTGAAGAACTTAACTTGATTTAGAGACAAGGAAAGACCAAAATGCTCATGTTAAACCCATTCCTTTCCTTGTCCATGAAGAAAGATTAAGTCTTCAAATGGCCACTTCTTAGTCTGAGTGACTAGAAAATCACTCTACCAGTGAGGGCATAATGATGGCTGGGTAATCACTGGTTAATGAAAAACTTATTGATTTCACAACTTCTTTGAACTGAACGTCTCTCTGTAAGCCTAAATCTTGGATATGTGAAGGATGAAAGTATTTCATGACAGGATATTAGTATGGACCAGCTTTATATTTAGACCCAAGCCCCGAACTGCCCCGACACCCCCTGTTTCCTTTGTGAGCTGAGAATCTTCCCACAGAGGCCAGTCTGGGTCATCTCTTTCCTGTGATCAGGTAGGGTCCTTCCTGACAAGGCCCTGCCCCCTCCTGGCCTTGACTACCCCTGGGCAGTGGCCCCTGGGGTGGACCTGCTCTCCTGCTCTGACAAGCAGTCATCTGTCTTAGAGCACAGGCTCTAATTACCCCTGCCATTAGCCTGCTTGGCAGGACTGCAGATGTTATTAATGGCGGTGAAATTATCCAATGCCTTTCAAAACTCCCCAGCCACTCGATGTTTGTCCCTGTGACCTCTCACAGCACTTCATTTCTTTATTCACTTTGCTGCTGTATTGAATCTTAACCTTGAGTGTGAGATAAAAAACAAGGAGGAGAATGTCACTCTCTCCAACGTTCCTTTATTCCCTTCCTCAGCCCCTCACCCCCTACTTATTTGGGGATGTAACCCAGCACCATCCTCACTGCCATGCTGTTTGTCAGCAGGGAGCTCTTGACGGTGTGGATGTGCCATTCTTTCCCGCCTCTACCCATCTCATAGATCTTTTCTCACAAATTATAAAATAACTTGTTGCTCTTTATTAGAAAATCAATATATTTTCATGTCTGGGAAAATTAGAAAAATGTAGATAAGCAGAAAGAAGAAAAATAAATCCATACTCTCACCTTCCAGAGATAAAAAATGTTAAAATTTTATAGTATATCTTTACAGACATTTCTCTATAGGAAGATATGAGATGATACTGTTATAATAATAATCACCATAACTAACATCTATTGGTGCTGTTCAGATTGCTTTGGCGTGTATTAATTGATTCACTAAATTGTCTCAAAAACCCTATGAAGTGGGTTTAATTCCTTCCTTCCTTCCTTGCCTCCCTCCCTCCCTCCCTCCTTTCCTTCCTCCCTCCCTCCTTTCCTTCCTTCCTCTCTCCCTCCTTTCCTTCCTTCCTTCCTTCTTTCTTTCTCTTTCTTTCTTTCTCTTTCTTTCTTTCTTTCTTTCTTTCTTTCTTTCTTTCTTTCTTTCTTTCTTTCCTTCGTCTGTCTTTCTCTCTCTCTCTCTCTCTTTCTCTCTTTCTCTCTTTCTTTCTTTCTCTTTCTTTCTGACGGAGTTTTGCTCTTGTTGCCCAGGCTGGAGTGCAATGGCACAATTTTGGTTCACTGCAACCTCCACCTCCTGGGCTCAAGCGATTCTCCTGCCTCAGCCTCCTGAGGGATTACAGGCACCCGCCACCACGCCCAGCTAAATTTTTGTTATTTTTAGTAGAGATGGGGTTTTGCCATGTTGGCCAGGCTGCTCTCAAACTCCTGACCTCAGATGATCCACCTGTCTCAGCCTCCAAAAGTGCTGGGATTACAGGCGTGAGCCGCTGCACTTGGCCGAAGTAGGTTTAATTTCTATTGCCATTTTGCAGGTGAGGAAACTGAAGCAGGGAGAGATTACAAATATTGCCGAAAGCCTCGTAGCTATTGAAGTGGAAGAAGTGGGAGCTGAACCCAAGTTGTCTGCCTCTAGGCTCTGTATTCTTCAATAATATATTATCATCTAACCTGCTTTTTCAATTTCACAAAGTCTAAATATCTTTCTTTGTTACTCTTAATCCACCACATGATTTCAAATAATTATGAAGACTTAGTAGAATATCAAAATATGAATATGTTGAAATTTCTTCAACCAAACTTTAGGACAGTTTTCTTTTTCTTGTCTTTACTCTTATTTTATTTTTTGCTATGATAAACAACACCTAAATTTTTTTTTAATGAGATAATTCCTTCAGGAATTTGGCTATAGGGAAAGCAAAAATAAATAGACAATGTGAACAATGTTCAGTTTATTTCACACTTGCAAATGAAAGCTTCATGTACTCCTTTGTTCAATTCATTATTTCTAAGAGATATTTGTCTACTTTTAAAAATGTTAATAATTATTGAATATTTTCTATGTGTCAGCCACACCTTATTTGTGCTGGTTAATTGCTGATATTTACTCACAAGTAATTCAGGCTCAAAATGAGATTCTGGTAAAGTCAGAGAGGAGGAAAGGAGAAGACTTTCTGGATGTCTCTGCCCCTGTAACATCCTGCCTTTTTCCTAGGTATTCCCAACTGAGCATCGTTTTTTTCATTTCCTTTTCCTTCCCTCCCTCCCTCCTTCCCTCCTTCCTCCCTCTCTCTTTCTTTCTTTCCTGAGCCTGAATATTCTGTCTTTTCCCTTAGCTGGAAACAGCTCAACTGTTGACTATCCAGAAACCCTAATGTAGCTTTAATCTAATTCCTGTTCTGGAAGGACATTTTTGGCATACCATTTTGTCTCATCTGAGTGATAGACTAGGTCTGTATTTGGCCAGTTAATCCACCACAGCAGAGTCTCTTTGGAATTTTTAGCTGATTGTCAGCCGGTCTATGTAAAATGTATTTGAATTGACCTCTGGCTGATAGGATCGACTAAATATCTTCATAACTTCATAATAGGTCCATTCTTCCATGATTCAGAGTACAAAGCCAGGGCCCAGGCAAGTCACTGACTGAATAATATGTAGACAGAGACCTTGTTTATTAACTCATTTTTCTACTCCGTGTAATGATGCCTAGCACACAGGGAGCATTAGACATGTATTTGTAAAGTTGAAGAGGAACTCCCAGGAGATCTGGGTTCTAGTTTCAGTTCCACTACAGATTAGTAAAACTAGTTAGTAGATGTTGGGGTTAGGCTTATTATTAACCACTTTGCCCCTCAATTGCTGCATACAAATTACCCGCTTAGGAACTCTTGGCAATCCAATGAAATAACTCCTGAAGCTCTGTGATTTCCACAGAAGAATTGTGTTCTAGGTTCTTAAGGTATTAACTTTCAAGAAAGAATAAAAAAATATTGACACTCTTTCTTATTTTGAAAGCTACGGAATTTAATTCCAGGATATTGTGCACGGCAAACAGGTGACCTCTTAGATGTTTCAGCTTCCCCCGCCCCATTTTGACATAGACTGCAGATGAAATTTTCATGTAGGATCCCTTCCCATGAGCGACCTTATATGGGAATTACGGGCTATGACAAGGATGAGAGAGGCTGTGGGATTCTGTACCATTCCTAGTCCACTAATATAACCCTACCCTTCTCTCTCACTTAAGAAAACACATTAGTTAAGACATATTTCAAAACTACCACAATAAAACTGTGGGGTAGTGGTGCAGGAATAGACAAACTAACCAAAAAATGGAATATGCACCTGGACACCCAATCATGTATCCATGGGAAACTGGTATATAATAGAGCCATTTCCCAAATCCGTGGGAGGAAGCTGGATCACTTAGTGAATAGTGTTGGGATAAATGACTCACTATGGAAAAAACCAAAGCTGGATGCCTACCTCTCCATATAGACAAAAATAAATTTCAAATGGACTAAGGACCCAAGTATGAAGGGAAAAGACACAATTCTTACAGAAGAGTCTATAGGCATCTATCTTTGTGGCTTTGTAGTTTTCTGCACATTTCTTAATCAATACCCAAACAACATAAACCATAAGGGGAAAATTGATGGGTCTGACTATCTAAAAAATTAAAGATTTCGGTTCAAAACAGTTAACCTGCCTCCAATGGCATGGAGAAAGATGTTCACAGTGTCTAAAATCGATAAGGAATTGATGACCCAAGGAACTCCTGCAGATTGGCAAAAAAAGGATTGGAAACTCACATAAGAGCTACACAGGCAAAGGATATGGGCAGTTTGTAGAAGGAGAAACCCAAATTGCTATTAAGCATGTGAAGAGATACCCACTTCACTGGTAATCAGAGAAATGCAAAGTTAAATTATAACACGATCCACTTTAAAATAATTAGATTGACAGAAATTGGAAACCTTATTAATATCAAGTGCTGAAAGGGATGTGGGGAAAAGAGAGCCCTCTGACACTGCTGGTGGGAGTGTAATATCCTATGCTTCGGCAATCCCACTCCTAGTGCAGCCCCCAGAGACAGACGTGCACAGATCTGTGAGGGGACATCTCCGTGGGTGGTCCTTGCAGCACGATCTATGCGTGTGTGTGTATATGTGTGTGTGTGTGTGTGTGGTAGAGTCAACCAAGGTGTTCATCCCTAGGGCAATGGAGGAAGCAACTGTGCTGGATGCAAGGCAGTCAGCAATAATGATTAGATTTCAATATAACAGCAAGGAGATATTCCAAAAAACAGAGCTGGATGAAAAAAGTAACAGAGAGAATGAGATTTATAGCCCATTGCCTTTTGTAAATTAGATATTAAACATGCACACACAAAGTAATATTATATATTATTCAAGGATGTCCGTATATCTACATAAAGATAGGAGTAAGGGTATCTGGAGGAGGGGGAATGAGAGTGGGATGAGCGAGTTGGAGGGAAAACAACAACGGCACTTTTGAAGGGCATTTGATGAATCCATGAGTGTACCATGCACTAAAGAGTAGAATTAATTCAACTCTGTGGATCTGTGGTCCAAAAGACAGGAAAAAGAAAGTAAAATTAAATTGGAATGTGGGTGAATGAGAGGTATCCTCATGGTAATAACCCTGAAATATTGCTTATAGTCTGTGTAATAAATCATTGATAAATTTCAATTATCCATTATTTGTAATAGTTTACTTGCAACACTTCCCAGCTGTCAGGACCCCTGGGGCTGAGAGCCCTAATGGGAGCTGTTTGTGTTCATAGTTCTTTGCCTGACATAATGCTACAGAGGTGAACTTAGCCACAGAAACTAAAAGAGGCAGCCTCAATATTCAAGGAGCAATTGGGAGAAAGACTTGGAAAGGGTTTGCAATTACTGTTCCATAAAGACCTAGTCTGAATACCTCTTTATCCATATTTTATTTCCTCCATCTAATATTTAAAGTCTTCCCCTTATATTTGTTGAATGAAAAGCAGAAATCTAAATAGCTCTAACATTATTTCCCTAATTCCCACAGCCTGCACTGCTCAGATGTCAGTCTCTAAATTCCTAACACAAATGAACAGAAGACAAAATCATTTGCAGGATTCTGAAATGAAGTTTTTCAGCGGAACACAGAGAAACAGTTAAATTTTGCAAAGCTGTGAAACTGGAGAGGGGGCTGTCCTCCAAATCTACCAACCAGAGACCTGGAAGGAATTACTTGCATGAGATTCATTTCTCTCTGTCTTTCTCTTTCTCCCCTCTCCCCACCTATCTGCACCAAACTCACCTGCCAATTTCATCAGCGATACTTGAATGGATTTTCTAACCTGTTCCACTCCAAATTGATCAGTTAATTAAGTTGATCTCTACAAGACTGTTAAAGAACCAGGTCTTTTTCCTTTCATGTTATGCAGTTCCAAGTAAACTCCCTTTACTCTGGTATCCTTATCAGAGGCAGACATCACAGGAAGTGGAGCATTCCTTATGAATATCTTAATCTACACACAAATAGATTTTTTTCAATGTGAATTTGGATTTCTAAAAGCACGCTTACTGCAAGTACATTTTGCAGCCTCTTGTTTCCAGATCAGAATTGAGTGATTTTCTATTATTTATTTATTTATTATTTGTCACTTTAAAATATGCAATTCTTGGGATCATGCAGAATTGCTGTATATTTGCTTTGAAGATTAGAATAAAACTGGTAGATAATGTGGATGTCTCTTGTGATCAATGGCTGTGAGGCAATGTGTGTGGCTTTGGCCGCCGAGTCTCCAAGTGAGGTCACTCCTCGGATCTGAATGTGTGTGCGCATTGTTGATAACTGGAATTAGTTTAGGAGGAAGTGAGACCGGCGTCCTGGGTATTAACACCCTCTGAGGGGTTTCCAACCACTTGCAGGCCATTATCTCATTAGTTCTCAAAATACCCCATTGAGGAGGAAAGGAAGGAAGACCCTAATGGAGTAATGAAATGGTAGAAAGCACTTTGCTAATGTAGCCATCACTTCCTCCTCCCCTGCCCCTAATCCCTAAGCCCGGATGCAGAAACTGAGGCAGAGGGAGCTGAAATTGCTGACCCGAGACCCCTGGAGAGTCAGCAGCAAAAGGAAGACCGGGATGCTGCTCCTCAGCATGCTGATGGAACTTTTTTTTTTTTTTAAAGAAATGCTTAAATAAGGGCTAAATCGCTCACTTAAGATAACAGCAACCTTTTATTTCTAAACCAACACGGGGTGTGGATAGCTGGGAAGTCAAAAATGTGCTAAGAAGAGGGGTAGGCACTGGGCCAAGATAAAGCTGTCGACAGGCTCTCAGAAGTGGCCACTTTGGGGTGCAGCTGGGCTCTTCTGCCGATTCAGTACTTTGCTGATAAGTACAGTTCAATTTGGTTCACATCTTTATAGACACACACATGACACATATTAAACTGACCTCGTCTGCTCTAATTCCTCAGGTGTTTCACCAAGGCCTTTGAGGCTATTTTCTTTAAGAAAATAGCCTTGATAAAGACTTTCGTTTTCAAAGAAGATGGTTTGGTTTAAGTTTCTTCCCTGCTTTAAAATGATGAGCCTACATCTCCTTGGAAAGTGCTTTGAGAGTCATCTAACAGAACACTTCTATTTGTTTTCTTTTTTTATTCAAGGGCTTTATTTTACGGCTCGCAGTCACCATCAGTACACCGTGCGGGCCCTGGGCTCCTCTCCGAGGTCCCCTGGGTTCCTCTGCTCTGTTTTCATGGTCTTTAAGCTTCCTCCTCTAGGATCTAGGAAATCTTTTTTCTTTGGGGAAGTGGGGACTAAGGTAGAAATGGCTGGTAAGACATAGGTCAAAGGAATAAATCTTTCATTGTGGAATTGCAGGCATGTGGGATAATTTGTGAGAAGAGGGAGTTTTATGACACTCCACCAGGCAGCCTACTTGGAAAGGTCAACCCCACCAGGAAAAAGATAGCATCATTCTTGAAAAACCCAGATGCTATTGTTTCCCCTGAGAGTCAGCCTACTCAACACTTCTTAAAAGTCGAGAATGTGAATGAATACATGGGATTCATTCATTCGTTCATTCATTTATTCAACAGACACCAAAAATGAATAAGTAATAGCCCCTTATATCAGGGAACTCACAGACATATAAACAAATTATTGAAGGGCAGTGTAGTCATAAGAAGGATAATAGAGGGAGATTTAGAAAGCCAGGATTTCTGGCATAAAAGTGGAAGTATTCAATGAATTTACAGACAATCAAAATTCAAGAAGACATTTATAGGCCCTAGGTCCTAGGTGAAACTGGCAGGGAAATATTTAATGGAGATAAATATATGATCCAGCAAAGGTATAAAAAGACCAATGGATAATACTTAATGGAGATAAATACAGGATCCAGCATAGGTGTAAAAATACCCATGGGATAATAACAAGATTGGAGATACCGCCATATGATGTGGTTGGCAAGGACATAGACTAGTGGGTCAAGTCCAATCATGGCCCCACCATTACTTCTTCCATGACTGTGGAAAATTTTCTTCACCTCTCTGTGCTTCAGTGTCCTCATCTATAAAATGGAAGCAATAATAGGTCCTACCCAAAAGCATTGTTGGAGGGATTAAGTGAAATGATACCTTTCAAGTTCTTAGAAAATTGCCTGGCAAAAACATCAGCACTCAGTAAGATCTAACAAGGATTATTATTACTCACAAAGGGTTCTTTTAGAAAAGAAAAAAGAAAGATCCCAGACTTTTAATTTATAGCTTGCCCAGCTGCAGTCAGCAGTTCTCTGATAAGCTCATTGGGTTGTACGCTGGTCTCCCAAAAGGGCAGGAGGCAGCATGCAACTCACTACTTTATACACCGTATTCTGTCCAAAAGAAAAAGGTGTCATCCTGGGGTTTTCTATAGGCAAGAAGAGAAAATCTGGATACGGTTGGACACCTACTTAAGCCATTAGGGAGGCAAATATCAATAGGGCCAGAGACAAAACAGGCCCACTGTGCACTTCTGTGGTATGTGACCCTACAAGAGAGAAACTTTCTTGATAGTGAAAAGCTCTCAGAAATGAACTCAGTCTCTGCAACCACGACAGTCTCCGAGAAGGGAGGAAATTTGGAAGTATTTAAAGAAGCCAAAGTAGCTGTGATGGACTTAATGAGCTCAGGTTTCACAAAGACTTTTGCAGAGAAAAAACACACAACCAAGAATGATTACAAGAGGTATATCGGGAAGGTGAAAGTCTAAAATGAGCTGAGGCATGCAAAAAACTTCTAAAGACAACAAAAAGGACTTAATGAGGTTCCAGACAAGAAGCTCAGGGAAGACAGCGGCAGATCTAGAGCTTGGAATTGATGGTGAAACTGTAGCTGGGCAGTCTGGAGAGGGCAGAACTCTGCAAGACTTCCTTTTGTCTGTTTTCTCCAACAGGGAGAATGGTAGAACAGAATGCAAAGAAAGAATGAGCTCTGGCCAGTGACATGGAAGCCAGTGAGCTTTGTTCTTTTTGAGACAGAGTCTCACCCAGGCTGGAGTGCAGTGGTGCGATCTTGGCTCACTGCAACCTCTGCCTCCTGGATTCAAGCAATTCTCCTGCCTCAGCCCGCCAAGTGGCTGCGATTACATGCACATGCCACCATGCCTGGCTAGTTTTTGTATTTTTAGTAGAAGATAGGGTTTCGCCATGTTGGCCATGCTGGTCTCAAACTCCTGACCTTGTGATCCGCCCACCTCACCCTCCCAAAGTGCTGGGATTACAGGCATGAGCCACCGTGCCCAGCCCGCCAGTGAGCTTTTAAGAAGCATGTGGCTGCTCTTAATGAGTTCAGATCTCTGGAATAAATTAATGATGTTGCAAGGTACTGAGGCAATTCGCAAATCAGATTCTCAGTCATTGCTTCTTGAAATTTAAAGAATCTTAGGGAAATGAAGATGTGCTGGGAAAAAAAATGCCCATGAGCACATCTCACCATTTTTCGAGATGGAAAACCAGTTCATTTTACAGACTACAGATAGTTAAGCATGTTGTCCAGCTTGCACAGGAATTGATCTTGGAAGGGTTAATTGTTGAGCACTTTGTGGAGAATGTGGGGACCATGAGCACATGGCACAGGCTGACAAGGAACAGGTCGCACCAGGCTGATCTCAATTCTTCTCTTCTTCCTCTTTCTTTTTCGTTGGTGCTCTTGGGACCAGAGTCCTGAGAGGTCAACTGAATTGTGTGTTTGGATTCCTTCCTTCCCTTCCTTCCTTCCTTCCTTCTCCTTTGTTTTTCTTTCTTTTCTTCTTTTTTATTTATTTCTTTTCTTTCTTTCTTGACAGGGTCTTGCTCTGTTGCCCAGGCTGGGGTTCAGTGGCATGATTACAGCTCACCGTGCCTTAAACTTCTGGGCCCAAGCAATCCTCCAAACTCAGCCTCCCAAGAAGCTGATATTACAGGTATACGCCACCATGCTTGGCTAATTTTTTTCTACTTGTAGAGACAGGGTCTCCTTATGTTGCCCAGGCCGGTCTTGAACTCTTGGGCTCAAGTGATCCTCCTGACTCAGCCTCCCAGGGGTTACAGGCATGAGCCATCGCGCCCAGCCTTGTGTTTGGATTTCAACAAAGCATTTGATAGTTCTCTCAGGATGTTGTTGAAGGTAAGAAAAATAAAAATAGGATGGTTCCCAAGTAATTAAAAAACTTGGGAACTGCTTGAGTGGCTGTACTTAATGGTTGTGATCATGGAAACTCTCAGCCCACAGGGGTGTTTCTAGTGGTGAAAAAAGCTTTTTTTCCCCCTGGTCCAGTCACATATTTTGCTGTTGTTGCTGTTCATGATTACTACTTATTACATGCCCACTACGTGTCAGACAAGATGTGATATATACGTATATAATATCATTTAATTGAATTTTTATAAAACTGTGGGATAGATATTATGTTATAGAAAGGTTAAATAACTTTCCTGAAGGTACACTGAGATGAAGGCAGAGACTGGGGATTTGAGCCCTAGAACCCAAAGTCATTGCTCTTTCCTTTATACCAAAGGCTCAAAAGCTGAATTGGCGGGAGGAGTGGTGAACAAGGGAAATGAGATCATCAGGACCCAAAATGATATCATCAGGGGCATACACTGAATCCAAACAAGAAGCAATTTAACTGGGAAATTTTAACTTCGTGCCCCACAGTGTTCCCGTGTAAGTACAGGATGGAATAGACATGGTTTATTATGTGAACAAGACTTAGTTGACAGGAATCTGAATCTAGGACAATAGTGTTCTGTGGCAGCCAAAAAACAAAACAAAACAAAAACTCCAACTAATTAGATTTTAGTCCACCTTGAGAGCATAGCACAGCTACAATGAGATTTGGACAAAGAAAACAGAAAAAGGTCTATGTCTGCTGTTTGGGGCCATTAGTGTAATGTTGATGGATTAAAGAGAGAAGGCAGAATTCCTCACCCCAATTTTTTGTCTGTCTTTATTTTCAGAAAAACACTAGGACTACAAAATGTACACCAACTGCTGGTGAGAGAGAAATGTGGGGTTAGAGAATGCTGTTAGCTGCTATTTCCCAGAACTACTCTTCGATAGGGCTGTAGAGAGAGTTCCAGGGGAAAGCAACCAACAACCACATCATATGCAAACAAGGGAAGGAGCCAGGGGTTTTGGGCTGGGAGGAGAAGGCTTTAGAGACCATCTCAACTGGTCTTCTCACACTGAAAGGTCCATCAAAAGTACAAGTCTGCTAATTCTCCAGAACACTGGCTTTCAAAGCTGCTTGGCTGTTACCTACAGTAAGAATTATATGTCATATCTCAATGCAGAATATGTGTAAACACCCATATGTAACTGAAATAAGCATTCCAGAAAATATTATTGACCCTACTGTGTTCAGTTTACTTTGATATTTTCTGTTCTGTTCTATTCTATTCTATTCTATTCTATTCTATTCTATTCTATTCTCTTTCTTTTTTTTTTGAGACGGAGTCTCACTCTGTCCCCCAGGCTGGAGTGCCATGGCCTGATCTTGACTCACTGTAAGCCTGCCTCCTGGGTTCACGCCATTCTCCCGCCTCAGCCTCCCGAGTAGCTGGGACTACAGGCACCTGCCACCACGCCCAGCTAATTTTTTTGTATTTTTAGTAGAGATGGGGTTTCTCTGTGTTAGCCAGGATGGTCTCAATCTCCTGACCTTGTGATCCACCCGCCTTGGCCTCCCAAAGTGCTGGGATTACAGGCGTGAGCCACCGTGCCTGGTCCTCTATTCTATTCTTTCTATCCTATTCTATTCTTTTTCATTGAAAAAAAAATGCCCATCAAGACCCATTCAATTCATTTTCTGACTTATTAATGGGTTGCAACTCATAGTTTAAAGATCGTTGCCCTAAGGCCTAGAGCTAGGACCCACGGATGGAAGCTATGAGGTGCCAGCTATTGCTTCAGGTTCACAAAGAACTTCTATCAAGCAGAGGGGGAAAAAGATGGGATAGTTTTCCTCAGGAAGCAGTGAGTTATTGCTTCTTGCAGTATTCCAGCGTAGGCAGAATGAAGGCATGATGAGAGCAGTGCAGGAAGGAGTCACATGTCAAATGGGGACTGAATTAAATAATCCACATGGTCCTTTTCATTCCTGAGACATGATGGTTGTATTAGTGGGATTGGCTGCTAAGAGGTTTCTGCCCTTTTAGGCTATGCTGTCAAAAGCACAGTGTACACCTCTTCAGAGGTGAAGGCGGAGTTTGTTTATTTATTTATTTATTTATTTATTTATTTATTTATTTATTTAATTATTTATTTTAGAGACAGTGTCTTGCTATGTTGCATAGGCTGGACTTGAAATTCTGGGCTCAAGCAATCCTCCTGCCTCAGCCTAGAGGGACTGCAGGCATGCGCCACTGTACCTGGCTGGAGACATATTTTTGAAGTCATTCATTTATTTGTTTATCCAACAAACGTTCATGGCATATCTAGCACAAGCCAAACACCAGGCTAGGCTGTGGGGACATAATATTGACACAGCCCATGTCTACAGAAGCTTACTGTTTGGTGAGGAAAAGACAATAATTCAACACATACTTTTTGGTGCCAACTATCTGCCGGCCACTGCTTTCGAAGCTGGGCTTCTATCAGGGCATCCATGCAAAATCCACAAAATCCCTGCTCTCATGGAGTCTGCAGATTATATACAACAAGCACACAAATAATCAGTTCTGATTGTGGTAAGGACAGAGCACCTGGAGAGGGTAGAGCCTAGTGCAAGAGTCAGGGAAGTGTTCCTGAGGAAGTGGCATTGAGACAGCCGCCTGAAAGGTGAGCACTTCGGGGAGAGTGGGGTGGAAAGCAGGAAGGAACCTTTTCAGGCAGAGGGAAAAGCCAGCATCTGAGGACTGGAAGGAAAGTGAGGCTGGCTGGGGTTAGAAGGGGAGGGAAGGAATGGACCCCACAGGATCAGGAAGTGGGATTTGATCCTCAGAGCAAGGGGAAACCATTAGAGGAATACACAGAGATAGAGAGAGATCTATGGATACAGAGAGGATAGATTTAAGAGATATGCGGGAGGCAGCATCAGCATGACCTGGTGAAGGAGATGAGCTGGGGGAGGAGATAAGGATGTCCCCCTCTCTGTGTGTTCTGCCTTGAGCAGCTGATGGTAATGGTGATGGGGGCTGAGGAGAGAGAAGCAGTCCAGTTCAAGGAGATGCGGAGCAGAGGGGAAGGAGTGATGGGGTGGGGGGATGGGGGGAAGATGAGGTCAGTCTGGGACATCTTTGCTCATGCAGCTTCCTTAAAATGCAGTCTCCTTAAAATATCACCATCCCACTTGTCTGCTGGGAAAACACCTGTCTGTCCTCTAACACTCCAACAGGCACGAAGCCTTTCTCAGCCCCACTCCTTACCAGACAGAAGCGGTCATGTCCCAGTTTTTATCCCTATTCTCTCCTTACCAGGTTCTGTTGCTGCCTCCACAGCACATCATTGTATTTATTTGTTTGCCTGTAACAGTAACGATGCCCATTGAGCATTTACTGCGGCCAGGCACGGTTCCACGCCCTTTACACATATCGCCTCATTTAATCCTTCCAACAGCCCTCTAAGGTCCATACTATGACTATCCCCATTTCACAGATAAGCGAAACTGAGGCATAGGCAGTTTAGATAACTTGCCTAGTGAACATGGCACTGCTAGTAAGGGTGGAGCTGGGATTCAAGTCCAGGTTGTCTGACTCCAGGGTGTGGGATCTTTACCACTGTGTGCATCCTTTGTTTTCTACCAGATCGTAGACCCTTGAAGTTAGAAACCACTAAATATTGTTAATACTACCTTTTTTTTTAACATCCCCAGTCCCCTGCATGACACTTGGACCTTAATAGGCCCTTAAAAAGTTGTTAGGATGGGTAAATGACATAACATTATTAACACATTTGAAGAGGGATTAGGATTGCCTATAGAACTCTAAAATTAGGGGTTGTTCTGTAAATGGACAGATAGTAAATATTTTAGGCTATGCAGGCCATATGGTCTCCGTTACAACTACTCAACCCTGCTGCTGTAATGCAAAAATAGACAGACAATATGAGAAGAAATAGATGTGGCCATGTTTCAATAAAACTTTATAGATACTAAAATCTGAATTTTTTTTTAAGACAGGCTCTTGCTCTGTTGCCCAGGCTGGAGTGCAGTGGTGCCATCTCAGCTCACTGCAGCCTCTGCCTCCTGGGTTCAGGCAATTCTCCTGCCTCAGCCTCCTGAGTTCCTGGGATCACAAGCCTGTGCCACCATGACTAGCTAATTTTTATATTTTTAGTAGAGATGAGGTTGTGCCATGTTGGCCAGGCTGGTCTCGAACTCTTAGCCTCAAATGATCCACCCGCCTCAGCCTCCCAAAATACTGGGATTACAGGCATGAGCCACCGAGCCTGGCTGAAATTTGAATTTTATATAGTTTTCATGACATGAAATATTCTTTTTAAAATGTAAAATGTTTTCACATTATAAAAATGTAAAACTATTCTAGAATATAAAAACCATTCTTAGTTTATAGACTGTATAAAAACAGCCTTCAGAGTGGATTTGGTCCATGGGACGTCGTTTGCAGACCCCTGCTCTAGATAGCAGGCCTGAAGCCTGTGAGTGGAAGTGGCTTTTGGTTGCCAGAAGCATCAGCTGGAGACAGAGGCCCATCAGTAGGAAGGGCTGCCGGGTGCCCTGGGAAGCTGCTTTCACCAGAGATTTCAAAGCCAGGGGGCCTGGGAAATATCTGGGGTGATGCAGAGGGGATTCCTGCTGGAGGGGTGGGGACAGGGGTGAGATACAAGGTGACCTTGAGGTAAAGTCTTTTCCTCTACTTTATAAGATTCCATGTGGCAGCTTCCTGGGCTTTAGAATAAAACCATAAGAGCTGAACTGATTGGAGGGAAGTTATAAAACGGTTTATAAGAAATGATGCTTCATTGCATTCAAGGACATTCAGCAATCAAACGAACACTTAACAAAGGGCTGTCAATAACCCATTTGAATTGCACTTTGTATTTTTCAAAGTGCTTTCCAGTACATTATCTCCATTGATCCACCCAGGCACCCTAGGAGACAGGCAACCCCATTTACAGGTGAGGTCAGGATGTACCCCGCCTGGGACAGCTCAGAACCAGGTCTGTGCTGCTCCCTGCAGCCCCCATCGACCTGCTGAGGGCTAGATAAAAATGAACTTTATATTTTATATCAAGGGGATGTTACAGAGCTTAAAGAATCTCATTTATATTTGTATGAAGAATAAACATTCCTGACTGAAGCTTATTTTTAATCCCTGAGAATCTGCTAGAAACATGGCCACATACCCAGATTAGCATGTTGAATTTGAGAAACCATATTAATTTAAATAGAGCAAGAGTTCACTGAAAACTGACAAGCTAGAATACTGGTTTTCACCCTGCTCCCTCCCAGCAGGATGGAAAAGGAGTTTCTGCTGTGTTACTTCACATGGGCAGGGGAATTTGGCATAAAGGTAAATGCCAGTCCTTCCCAAGTCTGAAGGATCAGAAATACATTTTGAATTAGAAAGGTTTCTCAGAGTCTAAAACTCATCCTGGTAAATTTGTAGTTTAGAGAAATCAGAGAGAGAGACTCTGACACAGGAGGAAATCGAATCCAATTGCCTTGAGGTGGTTTCCTTCCTCCGAATTGGAGAAAGTGTGACTTGGGGAAACATGAGACACAGCCAGCCAGTGTGCCCTGGTGATGTGGGGGAGAAACCTCCCCCTCCCCAACTTGGGACTCAGCATTTCCCTGCCAAATTGGGCTTTGGCACTGCTATGGACGCCTTGGCAAACTTTTTCGTTTCCCAAGAGCAACTTCCTGGTTCTTAATTAGGCCTTTTATTCCTAGATGTCTATATTTAACTGTGCTCCGTAAATGCTAACCCCTTTTGGATACTGCCAAGAACTGTAGGGAGGAGGCAGTGGAGTCTAGACGGGGCAATTATTCAGATAACTAAGCCCCCAAATCTTATTCTTAAAGACCCTACAAGGAAATCTTCAGTTATGGAGTGATGCCTTCCTGAATTAATTAAGTAACTACTCCACACCTTCTCTCATTTTGCCCAGGGAGACAGAGAGCAAACACTTAACCCATGGGAGGATATGGGCCAGCGCTGTAAGGGTTTCCCCCACGAACTTGGCGGGAAAGAGGATGGAGGGGAAACAATGGACTGAAAAAGAGGCCTAGAGAAAGGCCCTCGACTGTACACAAGGCAACTGCAAGACTGTTCATTCTGCCCGTTTGTAAAAAAGAACTGAAAACAACCGAAATGCTCTCACAGGAGAAATGGATCAATAAATTGTGGTACATTCCTACAGTGGAATACAATTTAGCAGTGAGAAAGTGAACGAGTTACTTACATCGATGAGGATAAATCTTAAAAACATATTGCTGAGCTTAAGGAAGCAAGTTTCACAGGATACCTGTAATATGAAAACATTCGTAAAAATATAGCGTAAGGATTTAAAAATTCATGGCAATTAAAAAAACTCAACATATCATCTTTTTCTTTTTAAAGGAAAGAAAGAAAATGCATGCTCAGGCCATACCCTAAGTTCAGGGGAATGGTTACCTCTTAGGAGGGACGCAAGGGAGTGAATCTGAGGAGGCCTGACTGTGTTGGGCTAACTGTAATGTTTAATTTTTTAACTGTAATGTTTAATTTTTACTCATGCTATTGTCAGAGATCCTTTTAGTATACCTGAAATAGTTCATTAAAAAGTGAAAGGGGGCTAGAGGAGAGCTGGGCTGCTGTTTTTTCCATGGGATCAGTTGACCCTTTCAGGGAAGCAAGAATGTTTATGGGACAACACTGATGGAGAGTTCAAAAAACAAGACTCCAGAACCAGTTCTGCATCTCTCAGGATCCAAGTGATCATCAGTGAGCCATTCCCTTTCCTGGGTCTCAGGTCCCTGGTCTGTAATGGCAGGGCTTCCCGGCTCTCTCCTGGAGTCCAGCTGCCTTTGTTTCTGGAAGTCGTCCTAGGAAGGCAGCCTTGCTGGGGAGTTGGCCCCTGCTGTTGGCAGCACCGTGGTGATGGTGACTTAGCCAAGCAGCAGACCCTACTGCTCACGGGGCAGCATGGGGGAGGGGGACTTATAATTACTGAGCTGGGTTAAAAATTTGCTTATGTGACCCTTGGAGCCTTGCAAAATGAGCTGGGAAATAATTACATGGATCAAGAGAGCTTCTTACCTTAAAACTTTCATTATGGAGAACTTTGAACATACATAAAATTAGATACTATTACTCCTATTTTAAAAAATATCCTTCATCCAGCTCCAACAGCCATTAACCCATGGTCAGTTGTGCCCCATCTATTTGCCAATTCACTCCCCCGATTTCTCTTATTTTGAAGCAAGTGTCAGACAAAAGACCATATTTTAGTCAAGGGTTCTCTGGAGAAACAGAACTCTCTCTCTCTCTCTCTCTCTCTCTCTCTCTCTATCTGGATTTATTTTGAGGAATTGGATTATGCCAGTTGTAGAGGCCAGTAACTTGGGTAAGAGTTTTCATTGCTGTCTTGAGTCTGAATTCCGCAGGTTGGAAACTGGGGTGGAGTTTCTATGTTGCAGTCTTAAGGCAGAATTGCTTCTTCTAGAAACCACAGCCTTTGGTCTTAAGGCCTTCAACTGATTGGATGAGGCCTGTCTACATTATGAAGGGTATATACTTTAGTCAAAGTCTACTTAGTTAAATGTTCATCTGTATTAGTCTGTTTTCATGCTGCCGATAAGGCTGTAGCTGAGACTGGGAATATAAAGAGGTTTAATTGGACTTACAGTTCTGCATGGCTGGGGAGGCCTCAGAGTTATGGCAGGAGGGGAAAGGCATTTCTAACACGGCGGTGGCAAGAGAAAATAAGAAAGAAGCAAAAGTGGAAGCCCCTGATAAGCCCATGAGATCTCATGAGACTTATTTACTACCACAAAGACAGTATGGGGGAAACTGCCCCCATGATTTAAATTATCTTCCACCAGGTCCCTCCAACAACACATGGGAATTATGGGAATACAATTCAAAATGAGATTTAAGTGGGGCCACAGAGCCAAACCACATCATAATCACATCTAAAAAAATACCTTCACAGCAACATGTAGACTGGTGTTTGACTAAACAACTGGGCACCACGGCCTTGCCAAGTTGACACATAAAATTAACCATCACAGACCATGTTATTAGTAAATATTTCAGTATGTGTATCTAAATAGGACTCTTTTTGAAAAACAACTATAATATTATCACACTTACAAAATTAACAATTATACTTAATATCACCAGATGTCAAATTAAACTAATGCTGAACTCCAATTTGTCTCATAAATGTCATAACTTTCATTTAATAATTTGTTTAATGTTATTTAGGTTCCAACTAAGGTCCATAGCTTGTGATTAAATTTGTGTTCTATACCTCTTAATCTGCAGGTTCTCCTAACATTTCTCTTGCTTGAAATTGATTTTTAAAAATATTATTTGTCCTATAGAAGAACTCACAGTCTAGGTTTTGCATGGGAAAAACTCAGAAAAAAATGGGGAAAAAATGCTTGTTGCATTCCCTTAGTGTCATTTATCAAGTTCCTCTGTCCTCTGTGTTTTCTGTAAACTGATAGTTAAATTTAGAGGCTCACCCAGGCATTTAAGAGATACTTATTTGCATGATTTTAAAGGCCCACTGAAGGATTCCTTATTATCCCATCCTGCAAACAAACAAACAAAACAAAAGCAATATGCCTCCCTTACTAGATTGCTGAGGACTAAAATTGCTCTGCTAGAATAATTTTGTTTTAATCCCCAGTTCACATGCAAATAGTCCTAGAAAAGGAAAAATTTATTAGATATTCTTGAATATAAATGTTTTGTAGGGGAGCAGAAATCATATCTTTTCCTCAACAATTGCAAATCTCATGGCTGACACCCCTATAATAATAGGCAGAGTAACAAGAGAAAAGCATAACAAGTTTATTTAACTAAAGTTTTACATGACAGGAAGCCTTTGGAAATGAAGACTCAAAGACCCAGGGAAAACTGTGTATTTTTTATGCTAAGTCTGTGGAAAGAAGTAGATAGTTGTGGGGAAATAGTTGATTGGACAAAAAGGGTGTGATCTGACAGTAATGAGCAGCAGGTAGAGCTCAGTAGGGCCTGTTTGTTGTGATTCTTTTTTGTGTCTCTGTAAGACATCCGTTTTCCTGGGAACAGGACAGAACACCTATTGTGTGAGGGTCTTATGACCTACATTCAGGAGGGGTAGGACAGAGAATTCTTCTATGGACAGCTGTCCCACAGAAAGGCAGGAGAAGGTCAGAGAGTGACCTCCAAGGTGCTATATATTGGGGTAGCAGGTCCTGCACCCTGTCGGCCTCTATGAAATTCCTTTCTGAGTCCCTCTCTGAAAGTGGTGGAAGAGAGATAAATGGTGGCGAGGGAGAAGAGTGCATGGGCAGTGGGTGGCTGCTTCGTGGGAAGGGAGAGATAGGGTCACTACAGAAAGAACAGAGTCAGTTGAGATGGAACTCATCCTGAAAGCCCCGGTAGCCACGGAGCATCTGCTAGGCTCTGGACACTGTATTCGGTGATTTCAAGCAATTATTTCATTGCAATCTTATAACAACCCTGGGAAGTGAGTATAATTTGCAGCCATTTTAAAGATTAAAACACTGAGGTTCAACCAGGCCTGGTAACTGGTTAACGGACATGTGGTTGGTAAGTGGCATCTCCAAGGTTCCCCCCCACATCTCTCGCTCCTGTGTTCCTTCTCTTTCCATTAACCCATGGCTACTATGCTAATCCACCTCCCTCTATTACTCCCAGCTTTGGTGGGGCTTGACCCGAAGACTCTACCACATGGGTGGTTTCCAGACTCCAGGCTAGCCTGTTCCTGATCACATTCTGGGCTTATACCCAGAATCAGACCATCTCAGGGATTTGCCCAGTGGCCTCTGAGTAATGTCTTTTTTGTTTTCTTTTTAAATTTTTCCTTGCCCTTTTCTGGGGAAGAAGATGGTAATACTATGTCTGGAAATTCAGTCTGCTGATTAGACAGCAAAAATGCTTCTGACTTCTTTGGTGCTACCATGAGTCAGTAGCATTTTAAAAAGAAATTTTATTCATTTATTGCACAGATGAAAATGGAAGACTAACAGAAATTTTAAAAAACAAAGAACTAAAGAAGAACGAGCCATCTCCCAGAAATTCCACCATCCCAACAAAATCGGCTGTTTCCATTATTTGGTGTCCTCATCAGCCTCTTGCTGGACGCCTATGCAATCGCTCCGGTTCCATTCGGTTCGTCTCGGTGCCTACGGAACAGTCCGAGGAAGCTGGGAGAGACGCAGATCTTTCTCTGTCCTCCTCGGATTCACAGCCATTTTGAAGTTGCTCAATTGGAAGCATTAACCTGCAAGACTGCATCCTGGGAGCCAAGGAGAGGGGCCAGCAGAGCCTTATTAACTTATACTTTCATCATTTTCTTCTGCTGGTCTTTTTGAGAGCACAGCCATGAACCTTGGTAGGGTAGGTCTTTCTTTTAACACCAGAAGGGGAGGATCAAAACTAGCAAAGGTAATTGAGAAAGAAGAAGGAGAAAGAAACCAACTGTAACGTATAAGCAGTTCTGATCTTTCTTAGTATTGAGATCATACGCAGCTGCAATCCTTTCTCCTTCCTACCCCTGGGTGACTCAAACCTCATTATTTAGAAAAATGTATTTTGTAGGCAATTTCAACAGCTAGGACAAGTTCTAAGACAAAGGAAGTATGTGAAACTAGTTGAACCGTGGACGATTGTGCCCTGTTTATTCGTATCTGTTCAATGCATGCCTGAGTTGGGCCACTGCTTACCTTAAGCAGTCTTGTCAGTGTTTAGAGAGTTAAGTTATATGAAGCATAATCGCTTGCTTTTGCCTGCTAAGAGGAAGGTGAAGTGCATTTACTATCGTTATCTGTTTGCAATAAAACCTTTGAGACATTCTTAAAGAAAAATGCAACATGAGAAAAAGTTAAGTTCTTTAGAAAGAAGTCATTTGTCTTTAGCCAAATTCATCTGGGTACGATATGGGTTGCTGCAGACATAAAACTGTCTGGAGTCTGGCTTCAGGGCTTAGAATTATAAAATATTCATGGTATATAATTTTGCATAATTTGTTTAGCTACCAAGACATAATTTAGTTATTTGGTGCATGAATCCTTCAGAAGGTCTAAAGAAGAGAAAAACGGACTTTAAGAAGCTAAATCCAGTTTGATGCAAGATGAACAAATCCTATAGGGCCCTGTGTACTCAAAACACACAAACACATGGTGGTAAACACAGACATCTATCTGCATATAACTAATTCTTCCTACTCATCCTCTGCACTGTTTTACCGGGGCACTTTATGTATATTAGTTACCTAGTTTTGCTTTGCATGTGATTACATATAAGCCCAAAGGAAAAAGCTAGAGAAAGAGCCTTCGATTTCAGCAAGATGCATTTAGATTATAAAACTCCTTGATGGTAAGTTCGTTGAGATAACAAACATGATAATTTATTTATTCAAAGCACAGCAATAGCTTATTTCCGTGTCCAGTACTGTGCCCAGGACTAATGGGTATATGTTAAAAGTGGTTCCTGGCCGGGCATGGTGGCTCACGCCTGTAATTGCAAAGTCCGAGGCGGGTGGATCACTTGAGGTCAGGAGTTCGCGACCAGCCTGGCCAACACAGTGAAACCCTGTCTCTACTAAAAATACAAAAATTAGCTGGGTGTGGTGATGCGTGCCTATAATCCCATCTACTCAGGAGGCTGAGGCACGAGAATCACTTGAACCTGGGAGGCAGAGGTTGCAGTGAGCCGAGATTGCGCCACTGCACTCCAGCCTGGGCGACAGAGCAAGACTCCGTCTTAAAAAATAAATAAATAAATAAATGAAAGTGGTTCTTATCCTGGGGGAGCTTACAGTCCAGTTGAGACAGGATGAATAAACAGAAACAGCTAAATAACAAGCTTGAAGGCATTATTTAAGCAAGTACAAGCCAGCATGGCAGAGCCCTCAAACCAAAACACAGAGGAAATGCAAATAAGGGAAGGTGATTACTCTCCCCACCCTCACTGCCACTGCGCAGGTCAAGGTCCTGTCCTCCGTCTCTGCATCACAGCGACACTCGACGACCTGTCTCCACAGTTGCGGTCTTGTCCCTCCTAACCCATTCTCCATATTAAAACAGTAAAGGATCTCTCTCAAAGCATATCTCACTATAGCGTTTACTTCTTAAAATCCTTAAAATTCAATGGCTTCCCATTGGCCTTAAGAAAAAGCCCAACCCCTTAGCCTGGTATTAATGCAAAGTCCACCCCTGAGTGCCAGGCAGCTTGACGGTTTCCCCTGCAAGCGCCCTTGCTTCTCTCAACCTCACCATTGATCTCTCCACCTGAAACGTTCTCACCTCCTTGTTCGCTTACCTCCAGTTCTTCAGTATCACCTTCGGCTTCCTCCCTTCTGGGAAGTTCTCTAACTCTCCGAGACTAGGCTGGTATTCCCCATGTGGGCCTCATTGCTCCAGAACTTTTCTTAGCCAGTACTCAGAGAGCATTCTCAGTGTCTATAATTGGGAATCAACACAGTGAAGCTCTGAGTCAGACCTTCTGGATCTAAACCCAAGACCCACCACTGACTGGTTTTGTGACCTTCCGGTAAATTACTTACCATCCTTGTCACCATTTTCTCATCCATTAAATGGGAATAATGATGGAACCTACAGCACAGGACTGTTGTGAGGAATGCATGAGGTTTTATATTAGAAGTACTTAGACTACAGCATGGCACATACTCGGCCGTCAGTAATGTTAGCTGCCATTAGGATAAAGTTTGCTGGTTAAAATAATCAGAAAAAATTATTTTAATCAGAACATTAAACCCATAGACATATAAATGCAACGTGTGTGTGTGTGTATATATATATACACACACACACACACACACATAATAAAGTATGTGGTATAATAATGCTAACTATCACTGTGATAATTACTGGTTAGTATCCTCCCAATGCTAAGAACTGCTAGCTCCCCAGCCTTCCCCAGGTCATGGCTCCACAGCACATGTTGAGATTTGACAACACACTGGGGATAAACTGAGCGAGCTGCTGCAGCCAGTCCCCAGGGCTGGTGGGTCACTCCCCAGCTTTGCCTGTCACCCTCCACAGCACACTGGCTGGGAGATCTGTTCTCAACTGGAGAAGGGCAGTGGCTGGGCCTAGCTTAGGGTTGTGTCTCCAGCCCCGGCAAGCACAGCACTTGGTGTGGAGACAATGCTCTGGAACTATTTTGAGAATGAATAAATGAATGAGTGAACAACTGACATGTGTCAGCTTTCTAACAGGAATAGAATTTTAGACAGAGGATAGGAGGAAATGCAGGCTTGCCTTTGCCAGGGGTGAGTGGGGAAGCCAGTCCTGCCTGAGGGAACAGCAGGAAGGGGCCAGGGGCCCAGTGAGCACAGGGGCAGGGACAGGCACCTGCTTCTCTCGTTGTGCACCTTTTGTGTGGTTTGGATTGTTTCCTGTGTGTGCATGTCACTCAAACCCTGCACACAGAATGCCTGGCTGGAGGGGACAGCTGGCCATCAGAGCATTAAAAGCAGGGCAGTAAAAATAGAGACGGGGAAAAGCATAAAGGAAGAACAGTAAAAACAAGAATTCCACATGTAAGCAAAATAGATTTGATTGCAAAATGACTTCCATAAAACCATAGTTTCATATGAATTTTAAAACTAACCTTTTACCGATTATAACAGTAATACATATTCATTGCAGAGAATTTAAGATATGCAGAAAAGCAGACAAAAAATAAAAATCACCCATAATCCCACCACCCAAAATAACCACACTGATGTAGTTTTGCGTCTAGTTTTTTGCTTGTGCACATGTACATTATCGAATATACAATTTTACATCTTTATCCTTTGATTGTCAGGGATAGCCTAGTCCCAGCCCTTGTCTTATATTTAGTTTTATGGCCTGGGGGCCTGGAATTCCAGACAGGTCATTAAAACAGGGACCAGAGATGGGGGAGAGGAAGGGAACTGTCCACTCCTTGCTATATGCCTTTAAAGGCGGGAGACTTGCATCTCCGTTCTGGGGCTATCTGAGGGCTGACTATAAGCCAGAAGCCGCTGATCACTGTGAGCCTCAGAACTATTTCTAGGCAGCCACTTGCTGGCTGCCTGCTGCTGATCCCAGGATGACATGACTTCTACTGCCTGGGCTCACTGGACTCAGCTTGCTTTGGCTGCGTCCCTCAGGTCTGGCTTTCTGGCCACTGGGCTCAACAGTTCAACTTGAATTCAGTACAAGTACAGTATGGGTGGGCTTATGGACCCTTCTCAAGACTCTGGTGAACCAGGGCCTGAACTGGACCACTTGCGAGGTGCATTTGGTGTGTGTGTGGGGTGTGTGTGTGTGTGTGTGTGTGAAAGAGAGAGAGTGTGTTTATGACTGTGTGTGTGTACAAGTGCACATGGAGACTCAGTTTTAGTTCTTGACTGTCTCTGGCCTACAGCCTGGGGTGAATGGAAAGTATCTGCCCTCCCCTGTTCCTGCACAGGCTTCCTGTACAGAAGATCTGATAGAAATGAGACTAGGATTCCAAGCCCAAGACCAGGGTTCACAAAGGTGACTTGATTTCAGAAACGAGAGCACCCAGGTGTCACAACTGGGCCCTAAAGTCTATCTTGGCTCAGCAGCTCTGCTGCTTAACTTCTCATCCCAGAGTGTTGAGTTCCAGCTCCCCAAATCCCACTTGTCTGAGGTCATCATTAGTCCTAGAGCCTGGGCCAGGACTCAGCTCAGGGTGGGAGCCTCAGCGAGAGTCAAGTGATTGCAGGATGATTGAAAGGACAAAGGGTTCTGGGACAGAGAGGAAGGCTGTTCTTAGCAAGAAGAGGTTTTTAGAAATTATAATCCATTTTCCCTCTCAGTGCAAGAATCCCTTCTGTAAATCTCCTGGCAGAAGATCATGTAGTATATACTTGGAGACCCAGTGACAAGGGGCACATGCACTCATTCACCATTGGAGCTATCGGAATGATAGGAAAGTCTTCCATATTTAGCTGAAATGCACTTCTTGGGAGCATCATCCTGGCAGTAGCCCAGAGCAGACCCATGCTGGTGCCCTATGGACAGCTGTGCAGATAGTGCAACGAGCTGCCATCTTCTTTTAGTCCAAGAGCAAGTTTTCCATCTGCTGCTGAGTGGCTCCCTGGCAGAGAGATGGAAGCAGAGTAGTGAGGCCACGATAGATCTGACTCACAGTCTCCTCTTGCTGGGAGCCCAGGGATGGTGTGTTGCCAACTCTGGCCACAGTGGAGTTGAGGGGTTTGCTTTATGGAAAGCAGAGGCAGATGTGGGATAAAGCCTTGACTTAGGAGCCAGGCAGGCCCAGAGAGACCGAACACATTCACCCTTCTGGGCTCTCTGCAGCTCTAATGATTAGGCTCCTGCAAGAACCAGGAGTGACTTCCTTCTCTGAGTCAGGTCTAGTAGTTGGTTTTTTTTCTAATAAGCCATAATTAAGGAATTTCAGGACCTGGAGGTCTGTACGGACCAGGCTTTCTGCCTCTTTATTCTCTAAAGGGGCAGATATCTAAATGGTGAAATTATCTGGAGATTCTTGCTTCTGCCTTCTGCTTATGAGTTAATCTTTTTTTTTAGAAGTCTCAGCAAATTTTAACTACTCTCTCTTTTAGGGGAAGGTAAACGCACAGGTTTTGGTCATAGTGGGACATCAGCTTCAAGGCATCTGAACCCCATTTCACCTTTAAGGCAAAAGTAACTGTGAGATGTGGCATTCAGTTAAAACCCATTACCTCAATTAAAGGTTTTCTGGGCCGATCGCTTTCTGTGGTTTTGTACCAACATTAAACAGCAAACAATTTAGAACTGCAATTTCTCATATCAACTTCAAAAGCACTATATACGCCATTTATTGTAATAACATAAAATTTAGCCTTCAGCGATAGGTGCCTACAAATTTTCATGTGACTTCCGAACAATCGTTAAAAGTTTCAGTTGGTTATTTCCATCACCTTCCATCATCTCCCAAGAAAGAATTAAAACATGCAGTGTCAAGGGAGTTTCAGGACCACACAGAGTAATCTCACTAAAGACCTCCTGGAACTCTACCAAAATCTGACTGTGGATGGGATCATGTTAGAAACCATCATGCCAGCATAAGAAAAGATAATTCTCAGCTAAGAGAAGAAAGAGGCAATGATATTAAAGCTTGGGTGGGCTCATTTTAATGAGAAGAGCCATCAGGAAGACTTGTAGGCCTTTAATAAAAATGCAAAATGCCCAACTTGGCAGTTAAGGAAGATCTACTTGAAGAACTATGGGGGGTTAGAGGCAGAAAGATCATTTGGGAGTTGTACTAGTTAAGGTACAGGTGAAGCAGTTATAACAAAGGAATCCCAACAGACAATGGCTTAGGTAACATAGATGCAGTGTTTTATATCTTGTTTGGTGTGATGGTTGTAAAACTGTAAGGTGTATACCTGTCAAAGCGCAGTGAAGGGGACATCAAGCTCTGCGCAGTTTTTGAGTGTTAATTATGCCTCAATTAAAAAAACCGCACACACGGGCATTTCTTTCTTTCTCACATACTAGTTCAAAGATGGTGGGTAGGTAGCAGTTCTGTCTTGTGACTGGTCAGCTCTGCTGTCCTTAACATGTAACTCCATTGCTGCTGCTTAATAAAGGGGTGAAGGAGGAGGAAGTCCAGGGCAAGTGGCTTGTCTTTAGGTTGAGGCTAACTTGGAATTGGACGTGTCCTTCCATTCATGTACCACAGGCCCAGAGTGAATCACAAAGCCACAGAGAAGATTGAGAAATACAGACTCAAGCTGAGAAGCCACGTGGCCAGCCGACACTCCAGAGGGCCTGGGTGTCCTGGGGAGGGACTCATAGAAGAATGAGGCTGGAGAGGGTAGGGAGGCCTCCACCCTCTGGGGTGATCCTAGCAGCCCACCATCCATGACAGCCACGGAAGAGAGAGGCCAACCCGCAGAGTTATTCAGGGACAGAATGGACACAGTCGTGTTACTGTTTGCACCTAGGGACAGAGTTAAAGTGAATTACAAGGTTGGAGCATGGTGGCTTGGGAAATGGTGAGATCATGAAGGAAAGGGGGAAATCAGGAGGGACAGCTGGTGTGCTGGGGTGGGGCAGAGGGAAGAGATGGCCAAGGAAGACTCAGAGGTTCTATCCTACGAGATGTTTAATAATAGAGGAGGCAGCTGTCCCTGCTGTTGAGGGTGTGGCTTTGTCTGAAACCAGGGAGCTAAAAGGAACAGTTTGTCTTAAACAGAAGATTGAATGTTTTGAAGGTAAAACGAAGCAGGAGTTGGTGTCTGAGAGGCAATGGCTGGAATCTCTCTTACCATCCACATTTCAGACAAGATTCTCCCATCTCCACTCTCTCCACTGGCCAGTGACATCTGCAGTGCCCACCGTGGGCTATCGCCACCTCCTCTTTACCACAACCCACACTTTCCCCATTTCTAGATCTGAGCTGCTCAACCTTTTACTGCTTTTTATCCTGTATTTGAAAACAAGGTTCCATGCAGAATGAAAGATCAGGAACATGGGTTCAACTCTTAGGCACTGCAGTGAGTTGAGGGAGTTTGGGGTGGGGAGAGCTGAGGGGTCCCAGTGTTTGCCAAAGTCATCAGAGGAAAACACACATCAAATGCGTGTTGCTTTCTGTGCATAGGCAACAATCCCTCTGTGGTTTCAACTGGGGGAAGTAAGCTGCTTCCTTGTGGAGATTAGAAGCTCCTTAAAGGTAGTGGCCACGCCTCCTACTTCCATGCTTCCCCAGCTGTTCCTAATGGTGCTGGAGAGGTAGGTATTTGTTAAATTAATAACCACCTGGACCTAATGCAGTGTCAAGGGGTTACATATGGATTCCTCCAGCAAAGGGTGACTTTCTTTAACCAACTCCTTAAACCTCCCCATATATACCCACTGCTAGATGCAGGACTTCTTTCTCTAAGTCAAGAATCCATAAGGTTTCTGCCAAGTATAGGAAAGTATGATGCAGCAAGGTATGGGACCTTGTACAAGTCTTTTAATTTTTCTGGCCTCAGTTTTCTCATCTGAAAATGACAGTAGGGGCTGGATTAGGTGATATCTAACAACATTTTGCAGCACTGGTATTCTAGATTCTCTCTTAGATCAAGCTGCTTGTTTTCCAGGTATTTTTGAGACATTTGAGTTTGCAACTTCCCTCCTCCACCTTTTTTCTTTTTCTTTTTTTGGAAGTAGAGTGTCTTAGTCCATTCAGGCTGCTATAACAAAATACCATAAAGGGGGTGGCTTATAAACAACAGAAATTTCTCAGTTCTAGAGACTGGGAAGTTCAAGATCAAGGCACCAGCAGATTTGGTGTTTGGCAAAAGCCTGATTTCTGGTTCATAGACGGTTCCCTCTTGCTGTGTCCTCGCATGGTAAAAGTGGCCAACAAGCTCCCTTGGGCCTCTTTATAAGGATACTAATCTCATTCCTGGGGACTGCCCTCATGACCTAATCACCTTCCCAAACCCTTCCTCCTAATACCGTCACCTTGGGGGTTAGGATTCCAACACAGGAATTTGGGAGGGACACAAACATTCATATACAACATAGAATATTCTCTACAGCGTGTTTTCTGGTCTTAGGTGAAAGCCATTCACATGATTCTGGTTGTGTGGGGATATGAGTACAGGTATGAAAGCAAATGATCAAATAGATAGCTATTGTATTGTATGCAGTATTCAACTGCTGCATAATAAATTGCCACAAAGATAGTGTCTTGCAACAACACAAATTTATTGTCTCCCAGTTGTTGTGGGTTAGGAGTCCAGGACAGACTAGCTGGGCCCTCTGCTCAGGGTCTCACCAGACTGAAGTCCAGATGTTGGCTGGAGCTGTGATCTCATTTGCTATGTCCTGAATGTTTGTGGCCCCCCAGTTTCGTACATTGAAACTTAATGTGGTCATATTAAGAGGTGGGGCCTTTGGGAGGTACTTAGATCAGGAGGGCTCTGCCCTCATGAATGGGATTAGTGCCCTTATACAAGGCCCAAAGGAACTTTTTGGCCCCTTCCACCCTGTAAGGATGCATAGAAGGCGCCTTCTTTGAAGTGGAGAGTGAGCCCTAACCAGACGCTGAATCTGCTGGTGACTTGGTCTTGGACTTCACAGCTTCCACAGCTGTAAGCAATAAATTTCTGTTGTTTACAGATTACCCAGTCTAAGATGTTAAAATTTGTGGGAGGCTATTGTTTCAGACTGAACTCCTGCACTAGGACCCAGTGGACCAGACAAAAGCAGAATGGAGGCACTCATGTTAAGTGCCACATAGTCAAACTTAAACTTCAAAAAATAGGGGAAATCCCCAAGCAGGCAAGTTAAAAAAAAGAAAGAAAAAAGGGATTCACAGCAACCAATCAAAAGGGACTGAGTCAAGCTGAGCCAGCATGATAAGGAAGTTCTGTCTACTTCAACCTACACAAGAAAGGTAACTTTGAAATGACCAATGTGCTCTTTGTCCTTTCTTTTTGCTTTCCTCAGCATTTTGCTGCCTGTAAAGCCCACCCCCTCTGCTCAGCTCAGCGGAGCTCCTTTTATTTCATAGACAGGATGTTGCCCAATTCATGAATCACTAATAAAAGCCAATTAGATCTTTAAAACTCAATTTGCTGAAATTTTGTTCTTTGACAATGGCATTTTGTTACAGCAGCAGGAATGGACTGAGACATCTTCGGAAGCTTGGCTCCTCCTCTAAATTCATTCAGGTGGTTGGCGGGATTCAGTTCCCTGTGATTAGAAGACTGTGGGCCAGGCCCGGTGGCTCACACCTGTAATCCCAGCAC
The DNA here is from genome assembly GCF_000001405.40 of Homo sapiens. Taxonomy (NCBI): domain Eukaryota; kingdom Metazoa; phylum Chordata; class Mammalia; order Primates; family Hominidae; genus Homo; species Homo sapiens. The sequence goes on along the minus strand of NC_000004.12, from coordinate 152,183,306 downwards.
TTTGGGAGGCCGAGGCGGGCAGATCACGAGGTTAGGAGATCGAGACCATCCTGGCTATCATGGTGAAACCCCATCTCTACTAAAACTACAAAAGGAAATTAGCTGAGCATGGTGGCAGGTGCCTATAGTCCCAGCTACTAGGGAGGCTGAGGCAGGAGAATGGCGTGAACCCAGGAGGCAGAGTTTGCAGTGAGTCGAGATCACACCACTGCACTCCAGCCTGAGTGACAGACAAACTCCATCTCAAAAAAAAAAAAAAAAAAGAAGACTGTGGTCTCCATTTACTTGCTGGATCTCTGCTGGGATCACACTCCTGGGGTTTGGCCTCAGGTCCTAGCCTTTGTCCCTTTCATAGCACGGCAGGTCACTTCTTCAAGGCCAGCAGGAGAGCATCTGCAGCTGCTTCTGGTCTCCTTTAAGGGCTTACCTGCTTAGGTCAGGCTCACCTGGAATCATCTTCCTTTTAATAACCTCAAAGTCAGCTGATTACAGACCTTGATTACATCTTCAGAATCCCTTTGCCCTATATCAGAGAGGGATATTCCATTGTGTTCATGGGTCACAGCTACACTCAAGGGAAGGAGATTCTACATGGTGTGTATACCAGGTAGAGGGGATTTGGGGAACCAGGGCTTCCCAAAGGCAGCCAGAGCTGCCTTCCTGATCCACTAACAGGGGAGGCCTAGATGATTCCAAGATGTCCTGGCCAAGGTCCTTTGCTGACACAGAAGGAAATTCACCAAAACTAGTTCGAGGAAAGAGATAAATTAAATGGAGGGACAGAGGTGATTTCATAGTCTCTGCCCACCACAGCTATGAAAGCAGGGGCCATAGTCTCAATGTCTACAAAGATAGACAGGCATGATGACTCAATAAAGACCCCAGAGTTGGCCAGGCACAGTGGCTCATGCCTGTAGTCCCAGCACTTTGGGAGGCCGAGCTGGGTGGATCATGAAGTCAAGAGTTTGAGACCAGCCTGGCCAACATGGTGAAAACCCATCTCTACTAAAAATACAAAAAATTAGCCGGGCATGTTGGCGGGTGCCTGTAATTCCAGCTGCTCAGGAGGCTGAGGCGGAGAATTGTTTGAGCCCAGGAAGTGGAGGTTGCAGTGAATTGAGATGGCGCCACTGCACTCCAGGCTGGGCAATAGGGCAAGACTCTGTCTTAAAAAACAAACAGGCTCCAGAGTCTAGTCAGTAGGGAGTAATGAGGTCTGTGGTGAATTGGGTAGGACCTGACTTCCCTAGCAGGGACAACCTAGACTTAGTGCCATAGTGTGGCCAAGCTTCGGAATTGCCAAGACAATCCAGAAGTCCCTATTTTCATGTGAAAACTCCTGAGTTTTAAAGTTGGACAACCATTTAAAAAATGATTTTAAATTTTCAAAATAAAATTGAGAACAGAGGATTTGGGAGGCATTAAAACCGCTCTGAATGATACTCTGATAGTTAGATATATGTCACTAGACATGTGTCCAAACCCATGGAATGTATAGCACGAAGAGTGAACCCAGTGTAAACTATGGACTTTGGGTGATAATGATGTGTCAATTTAGGTTCATCCGTTGTAACAAATGTGCCACTCCAGTGGGGGTAGTAGAGGCTGGGGGGGTGGGGGAGGTGCTGATAAGGGGGGAGGCTTTGCATGTGTGGGGGCAGGGGGTATATGGGGACTCTCTGCACCTTTACTAGGTCTTGCTGTGAAACTAAAACTGTTATAAAAATAGTCTGTTATAGTTAGAATTTAAATTTTTTTAAATCATTTAAAACCCCACAGTTGTGGGTCAGAGATGACCTATTGACCACCGGTGCGTGATTTCTGTGTTAGAGAAAGCCATATCCAGTTGAAGGAAGCAACACACTTGACCTAGCCAGGGAGAAATCCAACTCTAAGGACAAAATAGCTTCAGGAAGAATGTGATCTCATGTCAGCCAGGGCCCTGTATGTGGCAACACATCTTGGGCACCAGAAGCTGGATTTGTAAGTCAGATCCCTGAGGTGAAGTGAGGCCGACTGAGGGAGAGAAGGCGGGAGGCGTGAGTCCCACTGGGATCACTGGGCTAAAACAGTGTTTACTACGAAAAAAGGCTCTCGGCCTTGTAATGTGGTTTCATGAACAGAGTGGCACATCACCTCACATTTGGAATGCAACACCTTCAATGGTTTGCTAGAAAATTGCTCCCCAAATTATACTTCTGCAAAGAGTCCATGATAATAATGCACCACAAGGGCAGAGAAAAATGGATTGCAATTGGATACATTGAATAATGTAATGTTTCAACAATACCAGAAAGAACGTCCTATTATTAAAATACCACAGCAGTTTTTAAAAGCAGCATTAAAATCACCATGAGCAGGCATTAAGATCTGAGAATAACAAATATTGAGTTTTTCTCTGACCTATGGTAGGGCAAAAATCCCTCAATCTGCTTAAACTTTCAGAGAATATCCAGGCATTTACAGGAAAGGATAACTAGGGTGAAAAAGAAATTGCTCTGACTCTCATTCAATATGGGAGTGGCAAAATTATGGAGGTTTTAACATCTCTTTAAGCAAACCACACAGGTATAGTGAGGCGGGGAGCTGTGCAATTATCCAGGGAATGTGATTAACACTGAAAGCCCAGTCTAGAGAATTCAGGCTCTAAAATGCCTACCTTTTCTGGAATTGTCAGGCTGTGAGGGAAAACTGAAGGTGCTTTCAGTTCCCTTAATGATGGTCATTTCCTCTTGTAGCCCCAACTGGTATCCAGGTGTGTTATGAATTACAGAAAGTTTAACTTGAGTGCTGTCTCTGAACCTCACGTGGTCTCTTCCTCCCATGGACCCCCTCACTCCAGATCCCTTCTCTCTGGCTTCCAATTTCTCCCTGGGCCTTAGGCTACCTTACTTTCTTGTAAGTCTACCTGTATCTTATGCTTATTTAAGGTGTCAGCTAATCAATTTGCTGTCTTCTTGATCCACTAACAGGGGAGGCCTAGATGATTCCAAGATGTCCTGGCCAAGGTCCTTTGCTGACAGAGAAGGAAACTCACCAAAACTAGTTTGAGGAAAGAGAGAAATTAAATGGCGGGGCAGAGGTGATTTCATAGTCTCTGTGAGCAAAAGCATAGGCAGGCCTCATGGGACCCTGGAAAAAGAACAGAAATACCTGCAAATGAAGTTCCACTCTCATTCTCTTACCGGGGGCCATTCCTGCATTGCACCCGCAGATGTTGCTGCTACTCTGCAAGAAATTTGTGGGGTTCTAACCTCTGCCTCACCATGTGTCTGCTTCAGTTTCTTCTTTCTGCCAAGGTGGAAAGTGGCCATCCCAACTGTACCTTTGCAGGACCCAACGCTGACCATTGAGAGACTCTGGGTCAACTCCAAGCTGGAATGAGAAAGAGTTGAGTCGACCTATCCTCAAGCCCAACCAGAATCCCTCCATTCCCGTTTTCCTTCCCTGTTAATCTCTCTCTTCTTCATTAATCTTTTCATTGCTTCAGTATGGTAACCCAAACTGGTGGAAAGGGGACAGAAAATGGCACAATCAGAAACTGAAGCCACAAAGACCTAACATCCTATGGATGAGATTATCCATCTGCTGGAGAGATGACTTGAAGTGTACAGCAGATAAGCTTAGAGGGCCTCTCCAGACCCGTCGCAAAGATGCAATCTGAATGTAATTTAAGATAAATAGTAATCATGGAAACACTATCATATTAATCACAGAAATAAATGCAGTCCATGGGCTCTACGTTTGTGGATTCAACCAACTGAGAATTGAAAATATCCAGAAAAGAAAAATGGATGGTTCTGTCTGGACCAAACATGTACAGACTTTTTTTTTTCTTGTCATGATTCCCTAAACAGTACAGTATAACAACTATTTACATAGCATTTACATTGTATTAGGTATTATATATAAGTAGCCTAGAGATGATTTAACATATATGGGAGGATGTGCGTAGGTTATATGCAAATACTACCCTACTTTATATCAGGACTTGAGCATCCATGGATTTTGGTATCTGCAGAGGGTCCTGGAACCAATCCCCAATCGATGCTGAGTGATGACGGTAGTTGCTCTGCTTGGGATATTAAAAATAAAAATAACAAATGAATTGAAGAGTTACCATTTCTCTCTGGCCCTGTCCAGTGGAGCTGGGTACCTTGCCCAGCTCCAGGGGTCTGCTGGCTCATTTGGTAGGTGCCACTTTATTAGAGCAGAGGATTGTTATAGCTTGATGACACCAACCATTAAAAATCTTCCCACGCCCTGCTCAATGACCTTGCCTTGAATTAGTAATTCAGTTTTTCAAAAATACTTTTCATTTTAGAAAAAAATTTGCTCAGCAGCTGCCAGCGAGTCTCATGAGTTTGATTAGCCTGAACCAATCATCCAGAACTTCAATGAATTCACAGAATTGAGCTCCTGAACCCTCAGATCTGAAGATCTTGGTGACCTTGTCAAGGTGCCAGCCAACCAGCTCCTTCCTGACTTGAATTATGCCAAAGAAAAGTCCTTCTAGTGTAGCCTAAGAGAAGCACAATAAGAAGTCCTATAACAAGGAAGAGGGTCACTCATCCTGGGGCCTTTCTTTCTCCACAGCTGTCAGCAAGTTCAATGGAGAGAATTCCGAGCCGGGTGGGGAGTGGGGGCAAGACAGCAGAGACACAGGGAGCAGGTGGGCCTCTCAGAGCTCTGTAAGTCACCCCATAAAGGCAGCCGCTTCCTCTGCCTGTAACAGTGGCAGGTCTTGCCCGAAGGTGTATTTCAGGAAGACGGGGGATGAGCTGAACTATGCCTTCTCCAGAGCAGGCTAGACATGTGGGTGAGTGCTGACTACTGGGTTTCCTCTACTTCTACTGCTTCTGTCTTAGTCTGCTGGGGCTGCCATACCAAAATACCATAGACTGAGTGACTTCAACAACAGAAATTCATTTCCTCACAGTTCTGTGGGCTGGGAAGTCTAAGTTCAAGGTGCCAGCAGATTCAATTCCTGGTGAGGACCCTCTTCTGGGCTTGTAGACAGCTTTCTTCTCAGTGTGTCTTCACAGTGGAGGGAGAGTGTGCTAGCTCTATGGTGTCTCTTTTCATAACGGCACTGATCCCCTCAGACCAGGGTCCTGTCCTCATGACCTAAGGACCTCCCAAACCCATTTCCAAACACCATCACACTGGGGGCTAGGGCTTCAATATCTGACTTCAGGGGTGTCCCAGGGTGGGGCACACAAACATTCAGTCAACACGTTCCCTTCCTCCTCCTCCTTATTACTGGCTCCTACCCAGGGACAAGAGTCCATTGCTGAGGCCCCAGGAGCTGGGGAGGAGCAGAGCTGGGGGAATTGCCAAGTGAAGGCCCCAAGTCCTTTTAGAGAAGATGCACTGGGAAAGAAGGGTGGTTCATGTGGCTTGACTGGGGGGAGTTGGTCCCTGTTTTCTTATGAACATGCCTAAAATGAAGGTGCTACAGCTCAGACCAGTCTAAGATGGTGCAAAGGGGTGTGTGGAGAAGTGGCTTCAGCTGATTTGACCATGCACAATCTTAGGTCCCTGTTGGTAGATGATAATGGATCTGAGGTCCCTGTTGGTAGATGATAATGGATCTGAGGTCCCTGTTGGTAGATGATAATGGATCTGAGGTCCCTGTTGGTAGATGATAATGGATCTGAGGGGGTGGGGTTCACAGTATGCACAGCCTCACTGCATTTATCACCAACTGGGTGTAAAACAGACCATACAACTTTTTTTCTGAGAACTAAATGACATTTGAAGAATTGTCCCCTTAAGTGCTTCAACCTACACTATACCTTTGATGATAATTCATTTGAATGGATGTGACAATCACCTGGAAGCAGGATGCTATCATTTCCATCACTGGCTCAGACAACCCCTCAATGGCAGTCATGGGCTATTTAGGTACCCCGCCTTGGGTGTCACCTCCAGGATTACGGCCACAGATCTCACTGGATTTTTATACCCTTTTCACACAAGGGCGAGGAATGACTCTCAAATATTTTGACCAATCAGCATGCTTCTCTGGCTTTGGCACTCAGGCCTTTCTCTCTGATTGGATTTAACATTCAGCCTTGGGTTTTACATAGTTGCTGCCACATTTGAGAGTCTCTTACTGCCCAGCCCAGTTCCTTAACATTCAAACTAGCCCAGCCAATTGTGCCAATTTTCCCTACCCTGAAGTGAGGTGAAGAGATGCCTTGGGCAGGGCACAGTGGCTCATGCCTGTCATCCCAGTGCTTTGAGAGGCAAGGCGAGATGATCGCTTGAGGTCAGGGGTTAGAGGCCAGCCTGGGCAACATAGCAAGACCCCATCTTTACCGAAAAACAAATTAGCTGGGTGTGGTGGTGCAAACCTGTACTCCAAGCTACTCAGGAGGCTGAGGTGGGAGGATGGCTTGGGCCCAGAAGTTTGAGCCTGCAGTGAGTCATAATTGCATCACTGTGCTCCAGCCTAGGTGACAGAGAGAGAGCAAGACCCTGTCTCTAAAGGCTAAAAAAAGAAAAAGGAAAGAAGGAAAGAAAAAGAAAGAAAGAAAGAAAAAAGAAAAGAAAGAAAAAAAAAGAAAAGAAAGGCAGGCATTGGATCATGATCAAACAGATGTAAGAGGCAAGAGTAACATGAACATGATTTTGAATGTGGGACTTGAATCCTGATAGACCTGTGCTCAAATTCCAGCTCCACACTACTTGCTATGTGACTTAGGACAAGGCACTTTTCTGAGCCTGTTTTCTCAATTCTCCAATTGTATGAAGATGAACAGTAATTTTGCAAAATTCTGACACAGAAATAAACACTGACTATTATTATTGTTGTACTCAATAGGTGAGCAAAATGTAGTGGTGGGGACCCCATGACGGGGCAGGCACACAGTCATTTTTAGGGAAACTGGTCATCTGGAAGCCAGATCTCAGCTCTTGGACTAAGTTCAGATGGGATGTCAGTCTCAGAAAGAGGGGTGTGCAGAGCCAGAGCAGAAGACCCTATTTTGTGATGAAAAATGATAAACTGGGCAGGCAGCTAGTAAGAATCTAAGAAATATTAGACACAGGCAGAAATCCATTTAAAAACTGGGACTCCAGGGCTCTGGGTCTCAGCACAGCAGAAGCCCAGTGACTTACATGGAAGGCACTGCCAGGCCCTGCTGGTAGCAAAGGTGAACCTGAACCCTGCAGTGTGCATTTACCCTTTATGATCAGGATTGATCCTGGGGAGCAAGAATGTGGAGGAGCTTGAGATGAACCAGATTTTCTTAGTATGAAAAGCCTGAAGGGTGGGGTGGGTTGTGTCTGAGTTGAATTTCCCTTGGCCAAATGCTGAGCAAACACCCTTGGCTCTGTCCCTGAGAAAAAATTCTAACTAAAATCCAAATTGCTTGTTTATTAGCAAATGTGAATAATGTACAAATTAAACCACCTGCTCCTAGTGAATTAATTTAGGTTATACTGCAGCTGGGATGGAGTGGCTGATGGTTAGTTAACACAATCATGCAAATTAACACACGCCTGACTTCTAGGCAGATCCCCACCATCCACAGTAGGGGCCCTAAGGGAAATCAGGCAACAGACCTTAAAGAAAGCAATAATCTCCGCTTTATCTGTTCTGACAGTTTTCAGCTACTTTCTACAAGAGTCTTTTGGGGAGAATATTCAGTATCTTTTTTCTTAGCCCAATGATGCAGGAAGCAGTATATAAAATGTGGAGACTGGGTGTGGTGGCTCACGCCTGTAATCCCAGTACTTTGGGAGGCCAAGGTGGGCAGCTCACCTGAGGTCAGGAGTTTGAGACCAGCCTGATCAACATGGTGAAACCCCATCTCTACTAAAAATACAAAATTAGCCAGGTGTGGTGGCACATGCCTGTAATTCCAGCTACTCAGGAGGCTGAGGCAGGAGAATCGTTTGAACCCCGGAGGCAGAAGTTGCAGTGAGCTGAGATCGTGCCATTGCACTCCAGCCTGGGCAACAAGAGCGAAAACTCTATCTCAAAAAAAAAAAAAAAAAAAAAAAGTGGAAAGAATGGTTTAACAGTGGGTTTCTGGGACCTGGGTCCCTCATGTGAGCTGGTGATGTTATTCTTGTGTGTCTCACTTTTCTCTTCGGGCTCCTGGGACTTTCCTCTAAGTGACTGGAATCATACTCGATCCATTGGGTTATTTAAGATTGCTAAGGAAAGACTGACCCAGACCTACAAGAGTCTTTTGGGGAGAATATTCAGTACTTTTTTCTTAGCCCAGTGATGCAGGAAGCAGAATATAAAATGTGGAAAGGGCTGGGCATGTAATTACAAGTGTAATTTATATTACAATTATATTACACTTGTAATCCCAGCACTTTGGGAGGCTGAGGCAGGTGGATCACCTGAGGTCAGGAGTTTGAGACCAGCCTGGCCAACACGGCTAAACCCCCGTCTCTACTAAAAATACAAAAAAATTTAGCCGGGCATGGTGGCAGGCACCCGTAATCCCAGCTAGTCGGGAGACTGAGGCAGGGAGAATTGCTTAAGCCCGGGTGGCGGAGGTTGCAGTGAGCTGAGAGCACACCACTGCCCTCCAGCCTGGGTGACAGAGTTAGACTCTGTCTCAAAATAAATAAATAAAATAAAATAAAATGTGGAAAGAATAGTTTAACTGTGGGTTTCTGGGACCCAGGTCCCTCATGTGAGCTGGTGATGTTATTCTTGTGTGTGTCACTTTTCTCTTTGGGCTCCTGGGACTTCCCTCTAAGTGAGAATCATACTTGATCTGTTGGGCTATTTAAGATTGCTAAGGGAAGACTGACCCAGACCTCCTTTGGTGATGGGCCTTACTTCTAGGACACAAGGGAAAGGGGCAGCATTAGGACATCTTTCTTCATTAGCCACAGACACTCTGGGTCTCGGCACAGTCAGGACTGGTGAATGGAGAACCCGAGTCATTTGCCTGAGCCCATACGCATGTTCACATGTGCCAGGCGAGACATCTGATGGGGTCAGCTTGTCACTCTGCAATATAGAGCACCTCTATTGGGGTGAGTTGGTGCCAAGCCACCTCAGAGGTGGTTGGTCACTCTGGTGAGCAGCTTGCATTGGTTGGGGCACTAGTCCTGGGTATCATCAGTTGTGGCCCAGGTGGCATGAATGGTCCACTAAATAAAAGTATTAATACAAAGCTGGAGACAGAATGCTGTGCTTTAGGAAAGTGTTCCTCTAAAGGGGGTTGAGGGTGTGGCAGGTCCTTACCACACCATGGATTCTGCTCTAGAATACTCCTGTGTAGGGTAGGTGAGCTTTGGGCAAGACACATAATTGGAAACTCCAGATGGCCTAGGCGGGTGGAAAGGATGGCAGGGGATGCAGAGAAGGAAGTTCATCTCAGCTGTTACCACCTTTGCCTTTTTGTTCCTACCTCTGGGTTCTGGAGGCCCCCTCCTCACTCTAAATCCCTGAGCCCTGGCCCCACCTCATTCATAAGGAGGTTGGTGACCAGATGAAGCAGGAGCACACTTGGAGACCATTTTCATAGTGGGCAAGCCCTGGACTCTGCAGGTTGCCATTGCAGTCTCACCCTGTGTGTCCTGGTAGGAATATCCATCCACCTTTGCAGGCTTGTCTCAGGCAGGAGAAGCACCACTATCAACAGCACCAATGAAGGGAAGGCCAGGAGGGCAACTTTACAGAGAAGCACCTTTTTAACATTCTTTTGTGAGAAGTTGGCTATAGCTTGTGATAAATCCTGGTGGAAGGAGTAGAGCATCTGGAGACATTGGGAAAGACTGCTGGAAGCCCAGGTTTAAATTTTTGCTTGGCTCTCTCTTGACTGGCTGTGAAAGTATTGGAAAATCACTTTACTCTTTTCTCTTTTTCTTCTCTTCTCTTTTTTGTTTCTTTTCTTTCTTTTTTTTTTTTTTTTTTTTTTGAGACAATGTCTTACTGTGTCGCCCAGGCTGGAATGCAGTGGCACTATCTCGGTTCACTGCAACCTCCACCTCCCAGGTTCAAGTGATCCTCCTGCCTCAGCATCCCAAGTAGTTGGAATTAGAGACACACACCACCACGCCTGGCTAATTTTTGTATTTTTAGTAGAGACAGGGTTTTACCATGTTGGCCAGGCTGGTCCCGAACTCTTGACCTCAAGTGATCCACCCGCCTCAGCCTCCCAAAGTGCTAGGATTATCAGAGTGAGCTACTGTGCCCGGCCCACTTTACCTTTCTGATACTTAGTTTCCCCATCTTTAAAACAGGAATAATAACCTAATCTTTAAAAAATGTGGTAAACATGAAATGAAAATTTGTCAGGAAAGCATTTTGTAATCCTAAAATGCCATCCTCATGTTTTGTTTCCATTTGTTACTTTAATCATGTTGCTTTTGCTCAATATGGCAGAAAGGTTTTTTTTTTAAATGCAATATTGCAATGCCTCCAGGAAAAATAGGAAAAAAGATAAAGGCTAGAATATCTATTACAGATACAAGCTAACATATCAAGATAACTATCTGGATAATATTAATCCCTTCTCTTAACTAGATATTTGAATCTCCATTTGGTAGTTAATTCCCCCAGGAATCCCATCAAACAGAAAATAATCGAATTAGAACTTCATTTTGTTTTAAAGTTTTCATCACATTCTCTGTGGGTTGTTGCATGTTACAGTGAACATATGGGAGGTTGCATGTAGCATTAGTTAATTTTTGTTAAACACCTTGAAGAGAAGCAACTATGTGAACAGTTGCTAAATCCATATATCATACATGTGTATGACTCTACTCAATGTGTATAAATAAACAAACCGATCTAATTTAGAGTTGACATATAAAAATTGGTAAGGGATGTCACAGGCTAACATCAGTGGAGGCAACATGATTTTTTAAACACTCTTTTAAAACGTTCTGCCCTTTCTCATGGGTAATTTGTCTGTCACGTCCTGATGTTCCAGTTGTCCCATTGGCTCTGTAAGCGGCATCAAAGGCTGAATTTCCCTGCAGGCGAAGGCACGGAACAATAATCCTCTGTGCAAACAGCTGCTTTGTTATGCTTGAGGTAAAAATTGTGATGATGGCAATGTAAACTCAAAAAATCTCCAGCTTGATTTGAAAAATCTTGACAGGCTGTGTTGCAGAGGTCTCTGGTTTGCTGTATGGAGAATCTGCATGCTGGGTCTCTCAGTTTGTTGGGGCTGCCATAATAAAGTGCCACAAGCTGGGTGGTTTGAACCACAGAATTTTTTTTCTCACAGTTCTGGCAAATAGCTGTCCAAAGTCTGAGTGTCAGCAAGGTTGGTTTCTTCTAAGGCCTCTCCTTGGCTTATAGAAGGCTGTTGTATTAGTCAATTCTCATGCTGCTAATAAAGACATACCCAAGACTGGGTAATTTATAAAGGAAAGAGGTTTAATGGACTTACAGTTCCACATGGCTGGGGAGGCCTTACAATCATGGCGGGAGGCAAATGAGAAGCAAAGTCACATCTTACATGGCAGCAGGCAGAAGAGCTTGTGCAGGCGAGCTCCTATTTATAAAGCCATCAGATCTCATGAGATTTATTCACTACAACGAGAACGGTATGGGGGAAACTGCCCCCATGATTCAATTATCTCCATCTGGCCTGCCCTTGCCATGTGGGGATTATTACAATTCAAAGTGAGATCTGGGTGAGGACACAGCCAAATCATATCAGCTATCATGTCCCTGTGTCTTCACATGGTTTTTTCTCTGTGTATATCTGCATCCTAATCTTCTCTTCTTATAAAGGTACTAGTCATGTTAGATTAGGGGCCACCATAATGGCCCCAATTTACTTTAATTACCTCTTTACAGATCCTGTCTCCAAATACAGTCCCATTTTGAGGTACTGGAGGGTAGGTCTTCAATATGTGTATTTGGGGTGAGGGATACACAATTCCACCCATCGCAGTGGGGGAATTTGTTCTTGGTCCAGGGTATCTATTCAGCCTGATAAAAACTTTTTTTTCCCCCAGTTTCCCAAATACTTGCTTTGTCCTATAGCTTATATTTTTAAATTTCCAAAACCACTTCCAAATTTTTTCTGGGGCTGGTTCTGATAGGATGGAAGAGGGTTTCTCTGTCATCTAAAGACTGTAAAGAAGTTATGTTTGGCCTCAGTGCAAGCTGGCGAAAGAAGATCTGAAAAACGAGGACACTTGGGAGTTGATGGGAAATGACTTCAGCCTGAACCGAACTCTCAGGCCCCTGTAATCACTACCAAGTCCCTACAGCTGAGTGGCTACTTGAATGGCTACCCAGCAACATCCAACAGAACATTGTGCAACAGTGGGAATGTTCTATATCCGTGCTGTCCAATACAGTAGCCACTCACCACATGTGACTACTAAGCACTGCAAATGTGATTAGTGCACCTGAAGAACTGAATTTTAAATTTTACCTGATTTTAAGTAATCTAAATCTAAATGGCTACATGTGGATAGTTGCTGCCATATTGGACAGCATAGTCCTAGACCACAGATAAATAAGAGAAGCTCTGATATTTGTGAGATGCAGTAGGATTGGTGCACCATACCACTCTCCCACCTACCACACACACTCCACATGCTCTGCTATCAATTTGAACTGGCCTTCGGAGAAGGAAGCTATCGCCAAGGTTGGCTTGGGGATTCACTCCCTGATGCTAGCTTCAAGTTGGGGTCCCCATAAAAGTGAGCCTGGTTTATTGCTTTGCATACAAAAGTATCCAAGAGACCAGATGAGCACAGATAGGAATGTTCCTTAGCCACAGTGGAACAGTTTCTTACTAAGAAATATAACTCTCTGGAAATATTATACTGGCAGATCAATTGAAAGCAATTTGTGTCCACTGTGACTTCCTTTGCAAATGCTGCTCTGAGAACTCAAGCTAAGGGGCTCAGTCAGAATAGGGCTTTGGTCAAAATAGGAAGTATCCATAATGCCTGCTATTTTATAGCATGGGCTAGTCATATCCCATACTGTAAGCAGTTCAAATGTTTGGAAAATTAAGTTGCTTTTGCTCACTCTTATCATGCCTCTGACTCTGCAGAGCGTAGGTAAGTACCAATTTGGAGCCCTACCATTTTTATTTGTTATTTCACCGAGGTAAGCAAGGTGGGAGCTGCCCAAGACAATGAAGGTAGTCATTACCCTTCATTGGGCTAAGTATATAATTTCCCCAGTGATGCGCTGGGTAATAACAAAAACTTATGTGAGGTACATGTAGTGTTATATTCCCTGGGGCTTAATATGGCTCTCAGTAAAATTGATTTTCTGAAATCTTGCAATATACCTCATCAAACTAAATGAAACCTGCACTGGTTTTATAAGAAGTGATTGGATTCCATGTGATAAATTAACCCTCACCGTCAGAGAGGTGCTGGGTAATAGGCTGGTTCATTTCAGCCCCTACAGCTGCCATCCAGGATTTAAATTTCTCCCCAGATCCTTATCTAATCCCCTCTGGGACCCGGAGGAGCTTCCACCCAACTGAGAGCCTTGGAGGGCTTAGCTGGTCTGGCTGAAAATCATTTCTCCCAAGATGGAGATTTATCCCTGTCTCCACGGGAAGGGAGATTGCTGGTGATAGTGGGAGGGCCTTGGAGGTCAGAGAGCAAAGGCGAAGGCACACGGGAGTGCCGGAGCTCTGGGACAATGAGTTTTGTGAATGGTCAGAATGGGGCTGTGTCTGAGAGGAAGACCACCTCTGCTCCTCTGCGATTCTCCCTTTAGCAGCATCAGTGGGTTATGTTAGGAGGTGTGAGGGCCCCTCCTGACCTGCATTTTTACCTTTACATCTTGTGTGTATGTTTATAACACTCAGGTGGCTGAAATTAGCTTTGCCTCTCCAAGAGAAAACAGAGCCTTCCCCCGTAAATAAACATGTGAATCAGGCCTCAGCAACCTAAAGGGGGCATCTTCCTTTGGAAGGGAAAGTAGGTATGACTGGGCTTTGATTCAGCTCATCCCTGGGAGACCGGTTCCTAAGGTAATAATAGCTTGAGGGAAATTACTCCCCACAAATCCTAGGGGAGAAAGTTGGTTTCCTCTGTGAGAGTAACCAACATCCATTAAGCAGGGATACCTACACAAGCATTTCCAAAAGACACAGAGTTTCACAACGATATTGAAATCCAGCTAACAGTATGCACCAAGTGCCTGGGGGAATCAATGGCAAGATTGCTTACCTTGCAGAAAGATACCCTAGATGCGAGCATTGTATTGCTAGAAATCCAACTCTGTTTAGCATGATTAACTTGGCAAGAGTAGGCAGAGCCCCTGAGAGGTGAAAATAGCAGGAGTTTAAACGAACAAGTGCTAGGTCCCCTTTCTACCCATCACAGCTCAGAGTAGATTAATTCTTGGCCCCACTCCCTTCTTCCTTTTCCTAAGGTCCTGCCCAAATTAATAAGTCTTGGGAAAAGCAAAGAACTGACAAGTTCCCCCCAAGTGGCCTGTGCAGTGTCTTGTTTCGCTGGAGGGTAATCTTTTCAGGGAGGAAAACCAAAGTCCAAGAGAGAGCTTTGGGGTTTGTGAACCATTTGCAGGGAGGGGATAAGAAAAATGGGAGAGTTGTTTTCTGTTTAGGAGTATGATGAAGACCAATGTTCCCCAGCCCGAAAGCATAAACTATTTCAGAGCATCTAGGTGTCACAGAGGACAATTTTTCAACGGCAAAAAAAAATGGGTCACATTTTACTTTCAATAATTAACATCACCACACGATATGAGGTTTTTTTTTTTGTTTGTTTGTTTTTTGAGTCAGAGTCTTGCTCTGTTGCCCAGGCTGGAGTGCAATGGCACAATCTCAGCTCACTGCAACTTCCGCCTCCCAGGTTCCAGCATTTCTCCTGCCTCAGCCTCCCAAGTAGCTGGGATTACAGGTATGTGCTACCACTCCTGGATAATTTTTGTATTTTTAGTAGAGACAGGGTTTCACCATGTTGGCCAGGCTGGTCTCGAACTCCTGACCTCAGGTGATCTGCCTGCCTCAGCCTCCCAAAGTGCTGGGATTACAGGCGTGAGCCACCATGCCCGGCCATGATATGAGTTTTGTTTGTAAAAAATGTTTTTAGTTTTGCTATTCAAGTTTATGTTTTCTGTATTAAAAAAATAAAAAGATAGTGGCATGCCGTTGCTCCTGTCTGACTCCTTTCCTATGTAGCTGCGTTCTGATTTATTGCTGTAACCTGGGTGCTGTGCAGATGTCCTGGTGTATAATAAAAGCTCTGTGACTGTTGGTTGAAAGAATATGATGCCAGGATTGCAGAGCTCTTCACTGTGATGTTGTCCAAGAAGCAAATGGTAACCCTGGGCAGGTTCAGGTGGAAGTCTATACTCAGCCAGTGGGGGAAGACCCTGGACCAGGTTGCTGGACTGCTGTTAGTGCCTCTTCCTCCCTTTAGTGTCTCCAAATGAGCAATGCTACTGTGCAATGACTACTTGCTGTTTGGCTTTGTCTCACCCTGTCAAGACGTAGAACGTGACCTTTGGCACCTGGATGCCTTGTTAGGTTTGATGCAGGTTTTAGACTTACTTGAACTTCTCCATCTTTCATTTCACTTTAAAAATGGAGACAATTCACGTAAGAATCTGGGGTTAGCTAGGACCTGCTATCCCTTTATCTTTCTCTTTGACGTCAGTATTCTAAATATACTGAGGTATATGGTTGAGTGTGTGTGAGTGTGTGTGTCTATGCGAGAGAGACAGAGAGAGACAGAGAAAATCAGGAAAAGAATACATAATCTCTCCATGCTGTAACCTCTTTCTGTTTGCAAAGGACACCTTCAAAAGGAGCCCTAGCCCTTTGATAGCATGCTAAAATGTTCATTTTTAATTAGTTTCTACTTCCTTCATTTGCAGCAATTAATCCTGGTTCCTAACTTTCATTTCTATAAATAAAGGTATTTAACAGAATTGTGAGGTATTTATATACTCTGTACCTTATGTTCTATCTTGCAAAAGCACATTATTCTAGGAGATGTGTGTGCTCTGACCTTAATCCAGAAGGTGCAAAAAGAAGCAAGTTTTCTACTACTTATGGCTTCTTGAGAGTTGAATCTCTAGCTTCAAGACACTGGTAGGCCCAGAATTGGACAGAAGCGTTGTTTGTCTGGTTCTTATGCCTAGACTGAGCTTCTTTCAAAGGCCATGATGATCTCAGAGACACACTAAGGTGGTGCAGAGCCAGCCCAGCCATGGGAGAACCAAGGAGAGCTTGTAAGTTTTATTGTGGCTGTAGGGCTCGGACAAGGGTACTCAGCCACCTGTTTTCCCAAGTCTGCAATTGCCATCTTCAGGTCTAAGGCCGCTGGGGAGACTTACCCAAGGAAGTAGTGAAGAAACACTGAGTTTTACTGGTCCCATTCCTCAACGTGTATTTATTGAGTGGTAAAAAGTAGACATTGGTGGAAAAAGCACTGCTTCTTATATGGTAATTAAGCCCTATTTTGGTTTCTAATTTGAACAATATGGTCCACACTCCTCTGCTCATAGATGTGATGTGGCTAAAATGTTAGGGAGTGGGCAAAGAAAGGGGGCTGGGAGCAGGGGCTAAGCCCGCACGTGGGCTACTGTCCTTGGTCCTGAACACAAACGTCATCGCATGTTACGACATAGTCACATCTCATAACCCAGAGACACTAATGTCTCCTGTTCAGCCTCTTGGAGAAATCCTGAGTGAGGTAAAGGAAAAGGCAGTGGTAGCAGAGAATGCAGGAGGGTGTCAAAGAGATACAGCTACCGATGGGAAAGAGTATTTTTATTTATAAGGATTAAAAGAGATTTTATTTGGGCAAAAGTGCTCATAGTTTCTCTTTTTAAAAATTATCTTTAAGGGGACAAAATGCAGTTTCTGTCCTGCTATTGAAGAAATGTGGCTGTACCTTATGCTCTACGAAGTGGTTTATGTTGTAGAACGTCTGGCTGGCTTCTTGTAAATTTGACAGTTACAAATAGTTTCTCTTCTGGGGTGTGTGTGTGAGGGTGCCACATGCCCCTGTGCCCCACCACTCCCCGCCCTGTTCCCCCAGGATTCATCAGCCTGACACAGTCACAATAGAGTAACTCCCTTGCTGGGGTGTGCTCTGCCATGATCACTGTTCATTGCCCACCATCGATTCTTAGTTTATATTAAGGATTCATGTAAAAGCCCAGCCGTGCTGTCGGCCTCCTCTCAGATATGTGTTCTCTGCTCTCCTGTACACTTTTCTCCTAAGCTCTCAGAAGAATCTTTCATCTTACCACAATTCATCCCACAATTTCTTGGCCTTGGAAAGGGTTCAGCACAGAGAAGAGAAACCAAGAATAGCTTTTGGAAGTCTCATGCCATGGCTGACAACGTGAGTAGGTTTCTAAGGACTGTGTCTTTTCAGATGGAAACCAAACTCAAGATGTTTTCAATTCCTTGGCAGTCAATCTTCCACCTTGACTTCCACATGTAAGGAGGTGTTTAAAAGTCTATTTACAACTCTTGTATAATGTAAGGGCAAATTATTTTGTTGCTATGTTCGTTCCTGGTTAATTGAGAAAATCATTCTGTTTAGCCAAGAGTAAAACCTCTGAGATTTTTCTTCTCATTTCTCTGCATGTCTGGGGAAACAGGCAGCAGTAAACAATCATGCCCTATTTTATTCCTAGTTAAGTGAATTATCATAATACTAATTACTAGTAAAAACATCTGGTTTTGGCACAGCTCGACACAGGGATTTCTCAGTGCAAGATTTGATATTTGCCCTGAAATCTTAACCTTTGCTGGGCTTCCCAGCTCCTTAGGCTGACCCCTCTAATATTTGAGCTCAAGACCTTCCAAAGCTGATAGTACTTTCAAATTTAGATGAGCTATCCCATAAGAGACTTTTTCTGGTTACTGATATGCACAATACCTTTTTGTATGTCTTTATTGCTTGTTTAATTTTCCATGGAAACCATTCGCATGAAAACAAAGTTTGGTTCCTTACGTCAGTTCCTGTTGCTTCTCCCAGTGTGACCACCTGAGATGATTATCCAGTCACTGTGGAATTTAGCAGGATGCCACTGTGAGAATAAGACACCATCTGCAGGATAATGCTCTGAATCTGGGGGCTGGTGGTGGTGGTGGCTAAAACTCTTGTCAGACTGAAAGCTTGTTTAAAAGCATGCAGTTCCTGAAGTCTGAGCCAACTTTAGTTCTTCCATGGGAAGGTTTTAATGACAAAGAAAAATTAAAGCCATGTATCTCAAAGTGTGGTCTGGGGATCATTTCGTCATAGCCCCATTATTAAATCATTATTTAAATACAGATTTATTTAAATAAATAAATATTTATTATTTGGATCATTATTAAAATACAGATTCCTGGGTTATGCCCTACACCTACTGAATCAGAATTTCTGGCATTTGTATTTTTATCAAATCCCCCCAGTAATCATAAAGGGGATACTAAAGTTGAGGAACCACTGGATCTGAATACATGGATATTTTATCCAGGCAAATAACCCCAAGGTTGTTGGTCCAATATCTGGAAATATGCCTAAGAATTCTGGGCATTGAAGAGATCTGCTTCATGTACTGATGCTGGTGTGTCTCAGCACACAAGCCTGCTCCTGGTGGTGAAAGCTGCAGAACTGGTTAGGCATTAAAGCTGTTCTGGGACCCAACTTGTCACACAAAACAAAGTCCATATGACCAACAGTGTGATGCAGGCAAAGTGTGTGGACCACAAATCAGGAGATTTGGGCTCCAGACCTGGATATGCCATTATAAAATGCTCAACCTTGGCCATGACGATGGTTCCCATTTGGGCCTTGATTTCCAAATCTGTAAAATGAAAGAATTGAAATACGTTTGTGGTTTTGTTCTGTTTTTTGTTTTGTTTTTGTTTTTGTTTTTTCACAGCCCTAAGGTCTCAGGAAATTCAAGGGGGCAATGAGGAGGCTGAATGGGCAGTTCATGCCTACTTCAAGCAGAGAAGATCAAATCCTCTTCTATATCAAACTTCCACAAAAAATTAATTTTGAAAACAGAGATCTGTTGCTAAAAAAGGAAAAAAGAAAAGAGAGAAAGAAATAAAAAGAAAGGGAAGGAAGGAAGAGAAGGAAAGAAGAAAGAAAGAAAGAAAAAGAAAGAAAGAAAGAAAACTACTAAATGATTCATTAGAGGTCTTCTAGCATTATGATTTTGAGATAATTTTTTAGTGGGTTCTAGTTGGTTTACCTGGGAAAATACATTATTCCTCTCTTTAAAACACAGGATTATGAAATACTACACCAACTATTTTGCATGCCATCTTACAAAATGTTAATTTAACATTTCAATTTAAAAATAAGTCAAGGATATAAAATTTCCCTTTCTCCCCTAAGAATACATATACACTTTAGAACATTTCTACCAAAGAGAAGTTGGGGCTTTCCCAACTGCATGATATTTTATGGATAGTTAAAGGTAATAGATAAATTCATAACACTGCTAGGCTTTTCCTCAAAGGAAAACAGCAGGGGTTGATGAAGTCTGAAGTGTTTGAGCAGGTTGACATTAATGGCTAATACTGGGGTTTGGAATGTATGTGGATTTTAATTTTCTATGCAGGCTCTGTTCCACATTAATAATGGATAATCAAGAGTTGATTGTTCTTTGAAAATATGTGCTTAATACTGGTTTTCCCACCTTATCAGTCAGGCTGGAGAACAGAGCTGTGGTGAGCAGAGAAGGGAGAGGGTCGGGCTAAATCCCATCCATCCAGGGCTGAGCTAAGAGATGCCGGCAAAGTTCGCCAATCTTTTCCTGCTTCATTTTTATCCACTTGAAAAGTAAAGAAAAGATCTGTAGCCAAGTAGATTTTCCATGTTAGAAACTATTCTGAAAGTTCATGGGTGGCTGGGCGCAGTGGCTCATGCCTGTAATCCCAGCATTTTGGGAAGCTGAAGTGGGCAGATCACCTGAGGTCAGGAGTTTGAGACCAGCCTGACAAACATGGTAAAACCTGATTCTACTAAAAATACAAAAAATTAGCTGGGGATGGTGGTGTGCACCTGTAGTCCCAGCTACTCTGGAGGCTGAGGCAGGAAGACAGAATTGTTTGAGGCCGGGAGGAGGAGGTTGCAGTGAGCCAAGATCGTGCCACTGCACTCTAGCCTGGGAGACAGAGTGAGACTCCGTCTCATAAAAAAAAAAAAAAAAAAAAGTTCATGGGCATATTAGTTTGTTAGTGTTGCCATAGCAAAATGCCACTCAGTCATAGGTAACACTGAGTAGCTTACACAACAGCTCACAATTTTAGAGTCAAGAACAAGATTAAGGCATAGACATGGTTGCTTCCTTTTAAGACCTTTCTCCTGGGCTTGCAGATGGCTGTCTTCTGATGATCTGGTGTCTTCACATAGTGCCTCTGTGTGTGTGCCCGTCTGGTCTCTTCCTCTCCCTCTCCTCCCCGCCCCTTCTCTCTTTCCCTCCCCTTTCCCCTTTCTCCTCTTCCTTATCCTCTATTCCCTCTCCCTCTCCCTCTATCCTTATAAATGACATCAGTCAGATTGCATTAGGGTACACCCTAACAGCCTCATTTTAACTTAATTACCTCTTTGAAGACCCTATCTCCAAATGCAGCCACATTCTGAGGAACTGGCCGTTAGGGTTTTCACATATGAATTTGGTAGTGGGGGATGGGGAACAATTTAGCTCTTAACAACGGATTAATATGAACAGGGAATTTTGAGCTGTACTGAATAATTACTAAGTATTATTACTGTTATTACTAAGTTGACATTACTTAGGATGCATTTTGCCCCAAATGATTAATTTTGAATCAGCTCATCTGGAATGCTGGTCTCTAAGTTACTGCACAGAACAGGCCAATTCTGGCCACAGCCTGGTATGGAGAGTGGCTCAGTGCCTCCCTTCTAAAGAGCATCTAGATAACGGGGATGTGGCTGACCTGGCCTTTTAAGTTGCTGTTTTTATAAGTTGTCCACATATTGATGTCATTTACTTTTGTCCATCCAGCATAAGGTATTTAATGATGAGATTATTTAATTTTGAGATGAGGGTTCAAGCCATAAAATTTTTTTGAAAGATACCAAACAAATAAATAATAATGGTTTTGCCAGAATAAGGATTTTAACAGTGGGACAGTAAGTCATACTCTGATTCATACGGGAAGGATAAAAATAGCCTGACAACAATGGGGAATTATGAAAAGTGCCTATTGAGCAGTCACTGAAAGCCCAGTAGGGCTGTAAAGGGAAATGAATGCATATCTAGCGGGTACCTTCCATACTCATTTGCAAGTGCATCTCTTTCTTGGACAGGCATCTACTTGTGCTCAATAAATACTGGGTGATTGATTAACAGAAAAAAAGATAAGCTGAATATGGGGCTGCAATCTCAGACTTCTGCTTTTAATACTTAAAGAAGTCTGAATTTAAGCCTTCTTGTGTCATAATAGCTTAACTTTGGAGCACAGAAGAGAAGCTGTCTGCTGCTACTCAGAGATGCCTGTGGTTTCAGTGTAAATGACAATCAAGGCTGGTCTGTGTGTCCAGTTCTAGGAGGACTTAGGCATGTGTCCAGGACAATTAAATGCTCGCTAGCACCCTTTGGACTCTAATTTTGAAATTATTTTCTTGGGCATGTATACTGGAGAATGAATGCTGGCTATATCATCTAATGGCTGCTTTTCTAGGGCCCAGGTTGTCATGGAGGGGGTGGGGATTCACAAGCCTTTTCACTGTCATGACACACATAGAAAATGATGTTTTTACGGCACACTGAGATGACTAGATACATCAATCAGAGTCCAGTTCAGGACATCAGAAACCACTCTAGATACAGTAACAGACCGAGCTGAATATGGGGAATTGGTTGAACAAGCATTAGGACTGAGAAAGTAGAGAAGACAGAAGTAATCCAAATGGAGGAATTGCAGCTGCCTCCTCTAGGCTGGGGAAAAGAGGCTAGAAGTTTGGATTATCAGACCTTGGAGCTTGGAAGAGGGACCTAGGGAGCTAGGACCAGTTCTCTGAGCAGGGGTGGCTGCTCGGGGACCGCTGGTACCTTAGGAGCTTGGAGGATGGAGCCCAGGGACCCGGGAACCTGCTTCTGGGGAGGGGCACTGCCTGGATGCTGCTAGTACCTCTGAGGGGCATAATAAGGCTGGTTCTGGGAGGGTAGGGAAAAGCTGGAAACTGGAACCCACTGCTGCTGTGGGGCTAAAGAGCCAATGCCAGGTCACCACTGCCAGGAACAGCCAGCATGTGGGAAGGAGCAAGTCTTCTCTGCTGCCTCCTGCCTCCCAGTCTCCCTTCAATGCCTCACTTGAGGACCATCTGGGGAGTTATCTGTAAAAGGAGAAATGTATTTGCAGCCCCCCAGCCCCAGCGTCACAGACCCAAGTACAGAGGGTAGGTTTGGAGCTGGGAGGCAGTAGCTTAATGGTTGGCACCCAGGACTACCAGCCCAAGATGTGGCCATCCCAGGTCCTACACTCCTGCCCCTCGGATTGGTAGGGGAGCGTCAAATCTCAGCCTACCAGTAGCCTATTAGGTAAGTGCTGGTTTAGAGACCTAACTGTCAGCAAAAACAGATGGGATCGCGTTGTGGGGAGAGGACGCTGCATGGGTATGTAGTGAAAGTAACAAGATGGGGGGAACCTCAATGGGCCTGATGCAGGGATGGAAAGAGCCAATGGCTAAGCATGGGCTCTGGAGACTGAATGCAGAGCGCAACACCGGTTCTATCCCTGACCTGGGGCAAGCTGCTTAACCTTCTTGAGCTTCATGGAGCTGCTGTGAGGATTAAATGAGATAATCCAGGTAAAGTGCTTAGCCCGGCACTTGTCACAGGGGGAGCATTCAGCAAGCGTTAGTCCCTATTACCGAAAAATTTGTGGAACTTGTTCACCCACTTCTCTGTGACGGTGATTACTGTGCATGCACACGGTGACTCATTTTCTCATCCTGACAGGTCTGTGCTACCCGAGTCCTGCATGGAACGCAATGTGATCTGTACTGGCCAATTAGATCATCCATCTTCCATTGCAAATCTGCTAGGGAGAATGGGTCTATATTGTGTCATTTCACACCAAGACGGTAATTTCTTACCCTCATTAGCAGAGTCTGCTCCCATGTGATCTGGAATCTTAATTTCTCTATCCTTCGAGTTAGTACCATAGCCCCTTAGTTACGAATGCTGACATTAGAGCAGGCCTTACTCTTAGTTCCTTATTACTGTTCTTGGCGACTGTGAGCATTTAACCAAATGCATGATTATTTACAAGGCTGGCTTTCTGGTATGCTTTGGGAAGTACCAGTCTGTAAGGCCATGTGGTGTCTTTAAGACACCCCCATGCCAGAGAGGCCACTTATGGGACTGGTGCAATAAAACCCACTTCAGTCTGAGCTTATCTCAAGCTCTTGTCCCATGCTTGTTCCTGTCCCCTAATGCCTAGCAGCTGTCCTTGGGCTTCAGGTTTTAGCCTTGGCCTGAATAGTCAGCACCTCTCTGATGTTACTTTTGGTTGGCATGCAGATATGCTCTTATCCCTGATCTGGGCCTTTCCTGGATTCTACATCTATCCAGTGGCCCTGCCCGGGTCAATTAAGGGGGTTGGGAGAGGAGGGGACACCCAGATGGGGATGATACTCCTGTTTTTTTGAAGGTACCTAAAATCTCATTGTTAAAGATACATTGCTTTAGGCTTTAGGCTGAGGTGCAGAATTTGGGATGTTAATAGTTTTTACTTGGAGATGGGAAAGCGTTTTGTGATGGAAGCATTTGAGAAACAAGGGGTTAAACAAAGTTGAAAAGGCTTTTTTAACCCAAGTCTTATCCCAGCTGTTAAAGTGTTAATGTTAATTGGTGAACCTCTAAGAAAGACAGTATGCGGCAGTTTTCCAAAATTTATGCAATGCTCAACTCATGTTTTGAAGGAGTAGTGCTTGGGACTGGAAAGTATTGCTTTTAGGCTAGGCATTGACTTTCTCTTATGATCTTTTTCTCTTTCTTAGTGTCTTCCTTCTAAATAAAAGTACTTCTGGCAGGAAATATCTATGAAGTCGCTATCACTTTAGCGAGAATTAGCCTGACTAGTTTCCAGGCACTTTGGATTCTTCCTTTACAGAGACTCTCACATTAGCTCTTCCTTTCCATCTCATCCCCACTGTCTGCTCAGGCTTGGCCTGGCAGGTTGTGTAAAAGAGGTGGATTGGAAGGGACTGATGTGGGACACTTGACTCTTCATTTTGTTTTGGATGCAAGGATGAGTTCCTTGGACTTCCACCTGATCTCCTGTTCCTTATCCCTTTCCTTCTCAGGTCAGTTTAGTGTCTTGGATTTAAACCATCTAAAGCACTTGCTTGGCTTAGGTTAAGATGACAAACTGTTAGTGCTGAGGGACTCTTCAGTAGAAAGGATGGAAGGTTAAATGCCAGCGGCTCCTGCCTCCCAAGCCAGGTCTCCTCTGCCCTGCACTGAGCTGCCCCATGGTGCTTCCATGTCCTTGATCCCACAGAACCGCCTGTACTTTCGAAGGATACAGAGGTCTCCTGGGTTTGGCAGATGAAGGTCCTGAGGAAGGCTCTGGTGGAGGCTGACAGTTTCCATCTTTGGAGATGGGCTCCTGAGGTGGCCTTCAGCACTCTCAAGCCCGAGGGACCTCTCTTTCTTGGGTCCAACACGGACAAAGCCCAAATACCTTTCCCTGTTCCCCATCACACAACCCAGACACATGGAATTTTCAAAGGGAAATCAAAGGGAAATGCACCATGAAAACAAAAGCAAAACCACAACATACATGTATACACGAACAACAACAAAAGCAGTGAAAAAAAAAGAAGAAGAACAGAGAAAAAGGAGAAACCGAAGAACAGTTGACTTCAAAGCTCTGGGCTGCAGCCACCCTGGCCAAGCTCCAGTGAGCTTCTTTGAGTCTGTGAGAGATGAACTGTTTCTTGGTGACAGTAAAACCTCCCCTTCCACAAGGACCTCATGCTCCAGCCCTCCTCCTCTGCATTATTGATTTAAAAAAACACACACCAAAAACCCCAGCCTCATTATGGGGTCCATTTGGCAGTAACTTCTTCTTTGGACTGAGTTCAAGACAAGCCAATGCTGCACTCAAATATTTCTCTGGAATAAATCTATTTCCATCCAGTGTGCATCCTGACTTAGTTCTCTGTGGTCCCCAGACCCCAGAGTCCTTCAGGCTTCATCTGCCTGCAGCTGCTCCCCCTGTTCCCAGCTCCCTGCAAACAACAAATAAACAAAAAAAAGCTGCACCTTTAATTTATGGAGGACTTAGGGTGGCGCCAGGCACCACATTCAAATCTTCACAGCAGCTTTCAGAGAATGATTCCATCATTATAATCTGAATTTTAAGAAGTGAGGAAGCCGAGGCTCAGAAAAACTAAGATGAATGACATAAGACAGCTAATAAGCCAAGGGGGCTGGGGCACACCCCTGTCATTCTGACTCTGTAGTCAGAGCTCACAACTACCCCCTCGCGCCTTGGGGTGGAGATAGATGGGCTTGCTTCTTGCTGAACTCACTAGACTTCTGCCTGCGGTCACTTGGGAGGTCACACAACAGAGCACGAGGACTGAGCTGAGAATGGAGCCCAGCCATAGATCTCTTGTAGCTGTCTATGCACTGTGGCATTTCACCCCTGGCTTCACTGAATTGAGATCTTTCTCATTCACATATGACACACTGCAGTTCAAAGTTCATATTTATAAGATCAAGCCTATAAAATTGGCACATCGTGAAGACACTAATTAAAGCCAAGCATGTCAACATTGCTTAATAAAATACCTCTTCAAACCCAGGGGTTGGTAGAGTTAGGCCCCTGTGGGAGACATACACCCCACTCCCCAGTCACTGTCAGAACAATAGGAGGCCTGTGTTTCTGGCCTCTTGGCAGAGAGCCCTCCTGGGCACCCCAGAAAGAACAACAGATCATGAATCTTGAAGGCACCCCTCAGAGATGAGTAGCACCCCAGCATCCACATCAGGCATCCTGAACTGATCAGAGCCTAAATCACAGTCCTTTCAGCAACATGTGGCTCCCAGGAGCCATTTGCGCATGGCTGTGAAGTGTGCGTGTGGGCAGGAGGTGGCAGAATTGATGCAAAGGGTTAGGATGAAAATAATGGCAGTTCTACTGAGAAAGGCAAAGGGCTGGGACAAACCCAAAGAGCTTAATTTTTGGCCTTCTCTGGTGGGCTGCCCTATGACCAAAGACTTTTAAGTGGCTACAAGGGCAAAAGCTCTAAAACTCAGTTACTATTTAAAGCGCCTATGTACCACATTGCAGGCAAGAGGGAAGGGTTGGGGAAAGCAGGAGAAACCCTAATCCATGCCCCATCGGGCTTAGTCAAGCCTCTTTCCCCAGCCATTCAAACAACAGAAGGTGGACTTCTCTGATGGTGAAGGGCAGAGTTTCCTTCCCGGGACCTGAGGCTGAAGGAGAGGGCACTGCCTGGCATCCTCCTGGCAGCCATTCACCCAGGCTACTGAGGCAGATCCTGCCTTTGGACTCTAAAGGAGCTGCAGGATGCTTCTGCAGAAGTTTCCATGGACCGTGTGCCCTTTACTTTCACTCAGGGCTTTATTCCGAGTGCACTCTCTTTCCCTGAGGGGCGGGGCAATGCTTTGGGTTTTGGTGATGAAGCACTGCTCAGCAACAGGACAGAAGGACAGACACCAGGTTTGTGTGGAGGAGGGGGAGGAGCGCCGCCCCTGGAGGCCTCTGGCTCTTGACAGGCAAAGCTGGAATGCTGTCATGTCTGGCTGGTGTGTGGGCAGCTTCTGTCGACACAGACACAGTTCTTATGTCTACACTACCCTGAAGTATGGAGCAAACATGGATCAAAGGAATATTTTATCTGCATCTGTGATTTTCAGAGGCAGAGAGGTCAGTGAGGACTTTGGAGGCATAAAGTAAGGCTGAAAAAGGTCGGATTCCTGGAGATGGTTAAAAGACAGCACAGAGGGCCGGGCATGGTGGCCCAAGCCTGTAATCCCAGCACTTTGGGAGGCTAAAGCAGCTGATCACTTGGGGTCAGGAGTTCGAGACCAGCCTGGTCAATATTGTGAAACCCCCGTCTCTACTAAAAATACAAAAATTAGCCAGGCATGGTGGCGGGTGCCTGTGGTTCAAGGCAGGAGAATCACTTGAACCCGGGAGGCAGAGGTTGCAGTGAGCCAAGATCACGCCACTGCACTCCAGCCTGGGTGACAGAGCAAGACTCCATCTCAGAAAAAAAAAAAAAAAAAGACAGCACAGGGAACAGCCTGAAGAGGGCTGCTGTTTGCGGGAGGGAGAGGGAGTGGAGCCAGGCAGTGAGTTGATGACTGTGACCACAGACGTTGCCACCTGCCTGAACTGAAGAATCACTGGGGTGGGGAGGGATGCCCCTACTTTCAAAAATTTGTTAGAACCCAGTAGGACTAGTTCCTTCAGAATAGACAATACTTAAACAACCCATTCCTTTATTCAGCATTTTTGTTTCACAGTGATCCACCAGGAAAAGAGACGAAAACAATCTGGTTTTTGTCTTAGGTGAGAGCCATGCTGTGGGAGGCATCTTTCTGAGGTGTTGGAGTTGTTCTGTAATTCTGCATTGTCCAATAGTGTAGCCGCTGACCACATGTGGTTACTGAGTACTGGATTACTGGATTTGTGGCTAGTGTGACTAAGGAACTAAATCTTAAATTATATATATTATAATAAAATGAAAATTAATTACAATTTAAACAGCCACACGTGATGAGTGGCTGTTGTATTGCACGACATGGGTTGAGAGGATTTACCAATCAGGATGCTTTTGGCTGTAAGTTGCGGAAGACACAACTCAAAATGGACAAGAAGCCCAGGGATGGTGTGGTCTCTGGGTTAGTTCAATGACATCATCAGTGATCCAGGTCCTTTCCATCTTTGGGTTCTGCCTTCCTTAGTGTGTGGCTTTTGTCCACAAGATGGTTGCAGCACCTCTGAGTGTTCGTGTTCCCACATAGCAACATCTGTATATGTACACTCTTCCCTTTTGTCTTTTGCTAGGAGTAAACACTTCTTAGAAGTCCCCTTGCCTCTGCCCCAGCACACTTCCTCTCCTGCCTCATTGATGAGGCCATGTCACATGCTGTGAAGCACTGGACGTGTGACTGAATCACCATGGCTGGAGAGAGCAAGTGGGCTCACATGCCTGGGAGAGGAAGGACCCAGCCCCCCAACGCACCTGACTGCCAATACTCAGCCAAGTTGTGTTGTGCTGCCAAGGAAGAAGGGTTGTGAGAGATGCTGGGTAGACAATGGCTGGGACTGGCCCAGTGGAGATTTCAACATGTATGCAATCCTAACACACACAAAATTGAAGGGCTGTAAATGAGATATGAACAAAGAGCTATGGTAGCACAGAGGAGAGAGTGAAGTCTTCCTGGGAGAGTTAGAGAAAGTGTTGCAGAAAAGATAACTTTGAATTGGGCCTTCAAGAAGAGGATTAGAAGCAGTCACTTGACAGAAGTCTGGAAGCTAAGCTTTGCCCTAGGTGAGCACATTTTCCCACTTCTCTAATAGATGTGAAATTCTTCAGGTTAACTTGTCTTTTGAGAGATGACTGTACCATCTGCTTGCACAGTCCTTCTTCTCTCTCTCCCTTTCTCTCTCTCTTTTCTAAAGGTATGGAGAGATCTGTTGAGCCAGCAATGAAACACATCCCTGTTTTTTTGCTATATTCAACCACCATCTATTCATCCACCTACATACACACTCAACCCTTCTCTGACTCGACTTCCTTTTCTTAGAAGGGCAGATGGAGGAATATCTGCAAGTGAGAGGCAGAGTACAGAATAAGCATGAGAGCAGAGACACATGGGCACACACCATTCAAGACTAAGAAAATACTGTCACGCTTTCATACTGCCATAGGCCTACAGGATTCCTGCCCATGCTGCCTTCTAGGGGACATCCTTTCCTATTGACACCTTCAGGAGGTCCCTGGAAAATGACATCTCATTTTCTGCTAGTGGGTATGATTAGGCCTAGGGCTCAATTAAGCTGATGACTGAGTGAATCCTTCAAAAGTCAGGCAGGTGGTAATAAATGAAAACCTTTAGCAATAACAACAAAGATGGCTATCTGCCCCAAGATGCTTTCATCATTTTCTTCCTGAGCATCCCCCGTTCCTGTCTTGAAAGTGGCTCAGTTTCATCACCAGCCAGGGACTGAGCTGTCTCTGCTGGCCAGGTCTGGGGCTCAGCCTCCAGTTCTGTGAGCATCTACATCCTCTTCAGGGAAACCAGCCAGGGAAACAGCCGTGTTCTTGCCTCAGCTGTGGCATCTCATGAGCCCCATCATAGCCCTGGCTGGCAGCAAGGGATTTTCCTTTGATTTAGTGAGACATTTGAGAGCAAAAGGGATCCAGAAAGGTCATCTACATAATTTAAGACATTTTCCCATGTAAGTACATGCACGTGCACACATTTACTCACGTCACGCAGGCACACACAGAACTTGAGTGCTATGGGCTGTCGAAGGATTAATTCTTTCAGCTATTGCTTTTTCTCCCCCCATTCACTAAATTTTGCTGTGAAAATGTGGATGACTGAACAAGAAGAGTTAAGTGGTCTGATGTTGGGAAATAGAGTGTGAGGGAAGCTATTATGCCAACAAAATGTTGAGAGTCTTCTAAGTTTTAGCCAATTGTTTAAAAGACGACAGACGGTAATGTTTATGAGATGTATAATTCAAGGCAAATCTGTCCAGATAGAGAGGAGAAAGCATCTTTAACTTGGCTAACAAATGTTGAGCTGCATTCAGATAAATAAAACCAACAAAACCCAAGGCACATAACTCCAACACTGCAGAGATGGAAAACAATTTTTCTTAAGGAGAAGAAAAAGAACTATAAGAACTATATGTACTTGAATAAGAAGTTTTGATTCTTCCATCCTTCCATGCTAATCAGTTATATTTTTGGTCTCAGGTGAAGACAGGATAGACCTCAAATCTTGAATAGTTGAGATTTTTCGACAAGGTCATGCTGCATGCCAGTTTTTCAGTTTCCCCCAATTTTTGTTTTGAGCCAAATAACATGATCTTTGTTCCATTAATATTTAAGAGTAAGTTAGATTGTGCCAGATGATCTTAAAGCTCATTTAAATCAGCTTGAAGATAATATTAAGCTTCCTCCCAGCATAATCTACTACCATAAGTGATAGCGTCATCTGCATATAAATGATGGACTGGATATGATAATGAATAGCCAAGATAATCGATATAGAATGACAACTGCATTTGATTTCAGATAAATCTTTCAAGGATCCATTATTGTGTTTTCAGAGTTAAAGATGCATTGTTTTTGTCCAAATCTTCTAAAGAAACACAAAATGTTTTTATGAAATGAATCCTTTATTGTGTTAGAAAGAGAGGGGGAAAGTTCACAAATTATACACATATTGTTTTGCAAATACAATAATTAGAGTTTGCACAGATCATTACTTTATTGGATTGAACAACTGTCTCTTGGCAATTGCTGCTTCTCCTTTTTTTCTCCTTTTCCTCTTCCTTTTCTTTTAGATAGTAATGAACAATCTAAAATATCCTTCATTTGAGACTGGCTTGAACACATTTAAATTGCCATAGGCCTGTGGAATTCCTCCCCATCATATCTTCTAGGTTACATCTTTTCATACTCTGAAAACATTTGATTTTAATAAATCACATCTTTCCTTTTCAGTAACCTAAAACTTACTGATATCTCTCATTTGAATAAAGTAAAGCCTCTGGATAACTATGCATTAGATAAGATTTGTAAGAGTTAAATTAAGGACATCCCTTTCTCTCCTAAAAGAAGAGACTATTTTTAAAGTCAAAAGGAAAAAAATGAAAAGAAACTGACAAAAAGAAGAGTCAATGCCAATAAACACATATTGATCTGTGTGTGGTTGATGGTACAAGCCTCTGGCTGCAGATATAGCCATTTTTATTTTCTTAGCAGATGCTGGGCAGCTATGCAGGATAGTGGTCATTCTTCCTTTTCTCCTGTCTCTCCCTTTCTCTTTTTATCTCTAGTGCTCCATCCTGCCTCTTCCAAACACAGTGGAATCTGTATACCACCTTCAGGAGTTTTTGGAGGTGGTCTTGAAGTCTTAAAGCTGGCAAAGAGGGTGAAAGGTGCTGTTGGGCAGGAAAAAGATGTTTTTCCACTTTTCTAATTCAGCAGAGTCAGTCACTGCTCTGGGTCCAGGCAACTGAATCCTTGGGGAAACACACCATGAAACACACCAGTAAGGACCATGCAGGCAACTGCATGTTTGGTTTCTCTGTGTATCTCCTCGTACAGCTGCTGGGATATAAGAGATACCCAATGTTTGTTAATTGAATGAGGAAATGGGAATATCATGAACTTAGAGGAATTCTGGTGTAGGAGATAAGGACTTACTGCTCATCTATACACCATGGGATATGTTCAGGCAAGCAAACATCCTTCCTCTTCTGGGACCCCTTAGCTTTGCACACACTTGAGGAATCTCTCTCTCTCTCTTTTTTTTTTTTTTTTTTGATGGAGTCTCACTCTTGTTGCCCAGGCTGGAGTGCAATGGCACAATCTCAGCTCACTGCGGCACCTCTGCCTTTCGGGTTCAAGCAATTCTCCTGCCTCAGCCTCCCAAGTAGCTGGGATTATAGGCACCCACTACCATGCTGGGCTAATTTTTGTATTTTTAGTAGAGATAGGATTTTGCCATGTTAGTCAGACTAGTCTCAAACTCCTGACCTCAGGTGATCTGCCCACCTCAGCCTCCCAAAGTGCTGGGATTACAGGTGTGAGCCACCGCTCCCAGCCGAGGAATCTCTTCTTTGACTTTTCAGTCCTTTGAGACAAAGGAGAGCCTAGGGGCAGAGTTACCTAAAAGGTTGTGAGGCAAGAGGAACTAAGGGGCCTCCAGGTATGGTGGGGAGATCTAGTGTAGAAGTCAAACCAAATTGCTGTGCAAAAATCACCCAACCTCACATCTCCATGCCTTGGCCCAGCCAGTAGCTTTTGCCTAGAATATTCTTGTCTGTATAGGGAATTCCTACTCTTTTTCCTTAAAGATTCTGCCCCAGATTTCACCCTCCTTTGGAAGTTTTCTGATCCTTCTTGGCAACATTACATCTTCCTTCTCTGCTGATATAGTATTCTGTGTATGACTTTTTTTTAACACTGGATATTTATTTTCAGGTATCTGTTTTCTGCACTAGACTGTGTCTTCTGGAGGATATATTTTATTTATCTTGATTTGTTCTATGCTTAGCATAGTGCCTGAAACATGGTAGACATTTTAAAGAGGTTTGCTGAGTGGGAATCACATTACAAAGCACTGAGAATGCACAACGGAGAGAGCGCCGGCAGGGCTGCCCTGGACAATTGTGTAAGTTGTGAACTGCACATCTGGATGCAGTGGTTCTCATCTCTGGATCCCCAACATCTGGGTGGAGAGATGAGGAGCTTTGGGCTCAAAAAG
Source organism: Homo sapiens (assembly GCF_000001405.40). Taxonomy (NCBI): domain Eukaryota; kingdom Metazoa; phylum Chordata; class Mammalia; order Primates; family Hominidae; genus Homo; species Homo sapiens. The sequence continues at coordinate 152,150,875 of NC_000004.12, read as the reverse complement.
AGGTCATCTTAGGGCCCTTCTGTCCCTTTCCACCTAGTCCCCAGGGCTCTGAAATGGTTTAAATTCTTGAGGAGACCATGCCTTCCAGGACCAAATGAAGTCCCTGCTTTCCCCCAAATCCCCCCCTCTGTACCTAGTGCCTCAGGTTTTCCCAAGAGATTGCAGTCTTGATCTTTCATTTCTTCAGTAAACAAATAGCTTGGAGAATTTTGGTGTGTTTTAGTTAAAGAATAATATTGAGACCAGATTTTTTTCCTGTTAGGATTACTTGAAGAGACTAGAAAGTAGAAAATCACTGTGCCCAGTTGGGTGGAAAGTGGGAGTGGGGTGGAGGGGAAAAGGTTGTAGAGAGACTATGTTAAAGACCAAGAAGACATCCCTCAATGCCAGGGGCCTGCCCTGTTAGCTCTTTCTGGGTAGGAAATAAGCAAATGTGCACACGTGAACTTGAAAAACAGCTAGGTTTTAACCACAATGGAAGGGAGGCTGGGGTTGGGAGAGGTGGGCTTACAGGGCAAGGCTGTTAAGGGAGCTGGCTCCTTTCTTTACCGGTTGAACATCTGTGTCCCCTCAACATTCACATGTTGAAACCTTACTGCCCGAGGTGATGGTATTGGGAGATGGGGCCTGTGGGAGGTAACTGGAATTGGATGAGGTCATAAAGGGAGCCCTCATGAATGGGATGAGTGCCCTTTAGGAGCCAGGAGATTTGCTCCCTCTCTCTGCCCTCCACCACATGAAGAGACAACCAGAAGCTGGCAGCTACCAGAACCTGACCCTGCTGGCACCCTGATCCTGGACACCCACACTCTAGAATTGTGAAAAATAAATTCCTGTTGTTTATAAGTCATCCAGTCTGTGGTACTTTGTTATAGCAGCCAGAACCAAGACACCTGGTTTCTCTTGTCTGGCCTCAGCGTGCATTGCCAGTCTCTCTCAGGGTTGTTCTGCAGCTGGGGGTGGGCATGGGCACAAGGAGTGCTTTGGAGCCTGGGGGAGGAGGAAGTGAGAAGAGGCCATCAGCGTGGTCTGGACCCACAGTCAGCCCTTCCCCGCTGTGAAACACCACCTCTTTTGAGTGTATTTTCTATGAAGCTAAAGAAATATTTGTCCTATTGCCAGACTTGAATGACATTAAACAGGGTCCAGCTTTGAGTCTTGGAAACTGGAGTTATAGAAGGAGGAAAGGATCTTGTCTACCACATTTGAAACTTGGATTTTAGATGAATCGCGTATAATTAGCACAAGCTAGGACAGAGGGTTCGAAAGTGTATTCTGAGGAACCTAAGATCCCTGTGGATATTTTTGAGATCGTTTGAGTATTTTGCAAACACTTGATTTGAAATTTTATTTTATTTTATTTTGAGACAGAGTCTCACTTTGTTGCCCAGGCTGGAGGGCAGTGGCACAATCTCCACTCACTACAACCTCCGACTCCTGGGTTCAGCCCTCCTCAGCCTCCCAAAGTGCTGGGATTACAGGCGTGAGCTACTGCACCCAGCTGAAATTTTAAAATACCATATATTTTAATGTAAACAAACAATATATTATATATCAACCTTTAACAATCAGCACATTAACTTGTGCCTGCCAACCTAATTTTGCGTGTATAAGCCCAGATATCGGAATAAAGCTTTTCCTGATATCACTGTTAAGTGAAGAGTGTCTTGAGTTTGCAAAGCAAATTAAAAAAAAAAACAAAAAACGAAACTGGTACTCCTTTTGCAGCTACTCATCTGTGGAAATTAGACTTCCCTCACTATTACACACTCAAAACAAAATGCTAAAATAAATTGGATGCTAAGACTGATATGACTTCAATTTATATCCATAACTCTCCATTTTAAGTTTTGTGTCTCAGCAATTCTTCATTATCTTCTTATAATAAAAGTTACAAATTAAAGCCTATAAAATAAATATTTAATAATAATTTGTCAATTTTAATCTGTTTTATACATTAGTGTATAAGAATTATTGCTGTTGCAAAGTACAGACACCCAACTAAAAATGGCTTAAGCAAAAAGAGGATTTATTATCTCACTTAAAAAGAAATTCCAGGGTTGGTTAATTTGATGGCTCAGAAACATCCTCAAGGACCTGGGTTCCTCCCGTTTTCTGTTTAGCCTTCCTCAGGGTGTGATCTTTGTGCTAACCCTTATCAAGGTGGCAGGAGGGCTGCCATAGTTCCAAGCACCCTGCACAGACATGGAAATATCCAATGGGGGAAAAGGGCAAAATGTCTCTGCCTAGGAAAGATTAATTTCTTCAAGAAGCTCCTGTGCAGGCCTCCTCTGCCATGTCCCAACCCTGTCTAAACCAGTTGTGGCAAGAAGGCCTTCCATAATTGGCCTTTCCTGAACCATGAATGGAAGATGTAGACCCTGAACAGGATCTGGGCTCAGCCAGCAAGAACAGAGAGGAGGAATGCTGCTGGTACTCTACTAACAGTGTCTGTGAGAATTTGGCTTCCTTATATGAATCATTTGATTAAACAATGTGGCTAGTTTAAAAATTGGTTGAAAAATCTTCTGGGAGTATTATGAACTTTTCCTGGGCTGGGCTGTGGGGCTGTTTTCACTGCTGGTCAGATTTTCTGGGACGGGAGAATTCCCACCTGTGTTAGCCTTGGCACCATCCGCCTGCTCTTCAGTGCATTTCCTTTCTTGTTAGCACTGGCTGCCATCTGTGTGGAAACTGACAGTTTACAAAATATTGTTATGTATATTCACCTATTTAATTCTCAAACTAGGAAGTAATCTCCAGGCTGGATGACCATTGAATCACCTGGGAGCATCTTGAAAAGAAGAGATTCATGGGCCTCCCGCTGGATCCACCGAACCAGAACCTCCTGAGGTAGAGCCTGGGAATTTATTTTTCAAAAAAGTACTCTAGGTATTTCTGCAATTATAGGAAACTGCAAGAGGTTTGGCATGGCTGGGGAATTGATGTCGCTGAGGATGAGGCTGCAGATGTGAGCAGGGGTCAGGTCTTACAGGGACTCCAAGTTTAGGACTTGGACTTTGTCCTGCAAGGCGGGATCAGATGAGCACCTTTGCAATGGCTCTCTGGTGGAACACAGTGGATTGACAGGTGATGGGCATTAAACCAAAGCAGTGGGAGTAGAAGAGAGGAAAGGGCAAAAGAGAGGCTAAGGAAATGCAATCAACAGGTCTTAGTTTCTAATTAAATTGAGAGGAAAGAAGACTGAAGTGGCTCCCAGTTGTCTAGCTTGGGTGATTCCCTCTCAACAGCTGGCTCTTCTGTCACTGGTTTCCTGGCTGAGGAAGACAGTGCTGTAGACAGAAAGATTCTCAACTCTTTCACCTCAGTCTTTTCTTAACTTCCCTCCCTATTCTTTCACTCCCTACTTGTTCGTCCTAATCCTGAACTTACCAGCATTGACTGCTGTAGTGATTTCCTAATTCTCCCTTCCTCTCTTACAACTCAACCTGACCATTCACCTTTCATCACAAAAGAACAGTCATAAATAACCAGGCTTCCATTGAAGATCTGCCTACTGACATTTTTTGTCTGCAGAAAAAAGGAATAAAGCAAGTCCATGTCAGCTGGAGAGAAAATATTCCTATACAACCAAAGCTAGGAGAGGAACAGTGTGGAGCTGATTTTGATTTAAAGAAAATGTTCATGGTTAAATGAAGAAAACAGTGAAAAGTACGTACTATGATGTCTACACTAGACCAGAAGATATTTGAATTCTCAAATTATACTATTGTTTACTGTATTCATTCTATTGCATTGTCTTCTAAGAAAAACAAATTCTAATGTTTTGCAGAAAGACTAATGGAAACTGCAAGAGGCTGGAAGGTGTTAATACCTATCCTTACCCATCATTATGGTCACGGCCAATGCTCCCATAACAAAAGACAGGTTAATAAAGGAAAAGTATAACCAATTTATTTTAATCAAGGTTTTCTCTGACATGGGAGGCTTCAGAAGTGAAGATCCAAAGACCCAGGGAAATCTGTCCATTTTTAGGCTTAAATTTAATGAAAAATGGATAGGAAAGAAGACTGGACAAAAAGGGTAGCAATATGGATTGGCTGTGTCCCCACCCAAATCTCAACTTGAAGTGTATCTCCCAGAATTCCCATGTGTTGTAGGAGGGACCCAGGGGGAGGTAATTGAATCATGGGGGCTGGTATTTCCTGTGCTATTCTCGTGATAGTGAATAAGTCTCATAAGACCTGATGGGTTTATCAGGGGTTTCTGCTTTTGCTTCCTCCTCATTTTTCTCTTGCTGCCATCATGTAAGAAGTGGCTTTCACCTCCCACCATGATTCTGAAGCTTCCCCAGTCATGTGGAACCATAAGTTCAATTAAACCTCTTTTTGTTCTCAGTTTCAGGTATGTCTTTATCAGCAGTGTGAAAACAAACTAATACAATACATTGGTACCAGGAGTGGGGTGTTGCTGAAAAGATACCTGAAAATGTGGAAATGACTTTGGAGCACAGGTTGGAACAGTTTGGAAGGCTCAGAAGAAGACAAGAACATTTGGGAAAGTTTGGAACCTCCTAGGGACTCGTTGAATGGCTTTGACAAAAATGCTAATAGTGATATGAATAATAAAGTCCAGGTGGAGATGGCCTCAGATGGAGATGAGAAACTTGTTGGGAACTGGAGCAAAGGTGACTCTTGTTACATTTTAGCAAAAAGACTGGTCGCATTTTGCCCCTAACCTAGAGATTTGTGGAACTTTGAACTTGAGAGAGATGATTTAGGGTATCTGGCAAAAGAAATTTCTAAGCAGCAAAGCATTCAAAAGATTACTTGGGTGCTGTTAATAGCATTCTGTTTTAAAAGGGAAAGAGAGCATAGAAGTTCAGAAAATTTGCAGCCTGATGATGCAGTAGAAAAGAAAAACCCAGTTTTTTGAGGAAAAATTCAAGCTGGCTGCAGAAATTTGCATAAGTAGCAAAAAGCCTAATGTTAATCCCGAAGGCCATGGGGAAAATGTCTTCAGGGCATGTCAGAGATCTTTATGGCAGCACCTCCCATCACAGGCCTGGAGGCCCAGGAGGAAAAAGTGGTTTCATGGGCCAGGCCCAGGCTCCTCATGCTGTGTGCAACCTAGGGACTTAGTGCCCCATGTCCCAGCTGCTCCAGCTGTGGCTGAAAGGAGTCAATATAGAGCTTGGGCTGTGGTTTCAGAGGGTGGAGGCCCCAAGCCTTGGCAGCTTCCACATGGTGTCAAGCCTGTGGGTGCAGAGAAGTCAAGACTTGAGGTTTGGGAATCTCCATCTAGATTTCAAAAGATGTCTGGAAATACCTGGATGCCCAGGCAGAAGTTTGCTGCAGGGGCGGGGCCCTCATGGAGAACCTCTGCTAGGGCAGTGCAGAAGGAAAATGTGGGTTTGGAGCCCCACACAGAGTCCCTACTGTGGCACTGCCCAGTGGAGCTGTGAGAAGAGGGCTACCTTCCTCCAGACCCCAGAATGGTAGATCCACTGACAGCTTGCACCGTGCACCTGGAAAAGCTACAGACACTCAACACCAGCCTGTGAAAGGAGCCAGGAGGGAGGCTGTACCCTGCAAAGCCACAGGGGTGGAGCTGTCCAAGACCATGGGAACCCACCTCTTGCATCAGCATGACCTGGATGTGAAAGCTGGAGTCAAAGGAGGTCATTTTGGAGCTTTAAAATTTCACTACCCCACTGGATTTTGGACTTCCATGAGCCCTATAATCCCTTTGTTTTGGTCAATTTCTCCCATTTGGAATGGCTGTATTTACCCAATACCTGTATGCCCATTGTGACTAGGAAGTAACTAGCTTGCTTTTGATTTTACAGGCTCATAGGCGGAAGGGACTTGCCTTGTCTCAGATGAGAATTTAGACTGTGGACTTTTGGGTTAATGCTGAAATGAGTTAAGACTTTGGGGGACTTTTGGGAAGGCATGATTGGTTTTGAAATATGAGAACATGAGATTTGGAGGAGTCAGGGGTGGAATGATATGGTTTGGCTGTCTACCCACCCAAATCTCAACTTCAATTGTATCTTCCAGAATTCCCACATGTTGTGGGAGGGACCTAGCAGGAGGTAATTGAATCATGGGGGCCAACCTTTTCTGTGCTATTCTCATGATAGTGAATAAGTCTCATGAGATCTGATGGGTTTATCAGGTATTTTTGCTTTCACTTCCTCCTCATTTTTCTCTTGCCACTGCCATGTAAGAAGTGTCATTCACCTGCTGCCATGATTCTGAAGCCTCCCCAGCCATGAGGAACTGTAAGTCAAATTAAACCTCTTTTTATTCCCAGTTTGGGTAGGTGTTTATCAGCAGCATGAAAACAAATTAATACAGGTAGGATTTAATGGTAAGAGAGTTTGGGGGGAAACCTAGCAAGGCCTATCCAGATTCTTCTTGGCCTCTCTGTGTAGCACTTTTCCTTCCCTGGTATAGGGCAGGACCCCTTAGGAATGAGAGTCTTATGGCCAACTGTCAGTCAAAGTAGGTCAGAGAACTTCTTTAAGGACAGCTCCTACACAGAAAGGCAGGAGAAGGTTAGGGTGACTTTGCTTCTGAGGTTGCTTCGGCAGCCTTCCAACCTCCTTCAGTTCAAAGTACTCAGCATGCCAAAGTGCCATACTTTGGAGCGTGATTTTTCAGAACTGCAACAAAACTATTACTGAATAGTGGGAGGATAAAATTAAAATCCTTGAATTTCATGAATAGTGAATTTTAAGAAATATTTTTTGAAAGCCACACATGAAAAACTCTCAGAAATTTAACTTTTTTTTCAGAAAATGTTTGATTAGCATCATCTCCATCTGACCACTTCTGCCATTTCCAAGATTTCTAGGCTGACATATGCTCCATTCCTTTTCTCTACATAAACTCCCTATGTGTCCCCACTCCTTGCTCCACTCACTGGAAACCTGACTTGTGGTTCAGCTGCTGACAAATTCTGGATGAATACAAGAAGCTCACTTCTTTGCCACTAAAATAAAACACATGAAACACATGAAAGGGAATCATTTCATGTGTAAAAGACTAAAGGACTTTCTCTTTTTTTTTGAGACAGGGTCTCACTGTCATCCAGGCTGGAGTACAGCAGTGCAGTCATAGCTCATTGCAGCCTCGAAGTCCTGGGCTCACATAGTCCTCCTGCTTTAGCCTCCCAAGTAGCTTGGAACTACAGGTCTGAGCGACTGCTGTGGGCTGAGGAACTCTTTTTTTTTTTTTTATACTTTAAGTTCTAGGGTACATGTGCACAATGTGCAGGTTTGATACATAGGCATACATGTGCCATGTTGGTTTGCTGCAGCCATCAACTTGTCATTTACATTAGGTATTTCTCCTAATGCTATCCCTCCCCCAGCCCCTCACCCCCTGACAGGCCCCAGTGAGTGATGTTCCCTGCCCTGTGTCCAAGTGATCTCATTGTTCAATTCCCACCTATGGGTGAGAACATGCAGTGTTTGGTTTTCTGTCCTTGTGATAGTTTGCCGGGAATGATGGTTTCCAGCTTCATTTATGTCCCTGCAAAGGACATGAACTCATCCTTTCTTATGACTGCATAGTATTCCATGGTATATATGTGCCACATTTTCTTAATCCAGTCTATCATTGATGGACTTTTGGGTTGGTTCCAAGTCTTTGCTATTGTGAATAGTGCTGCAATAAATATACGTGTGCATGTGTCTTTACAGTAGCATGATTTATAATCCTTTGGGTATATACCCAGTAATGGGATGGCTGGGTCAAGTGGTATTTCTAGTTCTAGATCCTTGAGGGATCGCCACACTGTCTTCCACAATGGTTGAACTAGTTTACAGTCCCACCAACAGTGTAAAAGTGTTCCTATTTCTCCACATCCTCTCCAGCATCTATTGTTTCCTGACTTTTTAAAGATTGCCATTCTAACTGGTGTGAGATGGTATCTCATTGTGGTTTTGATTTGCATTTCTCTGGTGGCCAGTGATGATGAGCATTTTTTCATGTGTCTGTTGGCTGCATAATTGTCTTCTTTTGAGAAGTGTCCGTTCATATCCTTTGCCTGCTTTTTGATGGGGTTGTTTGTTTTTTTCTTCTAAACTTGTTTGAGTTATTTATAGATTCTGGATATTAGCCCTTTGTCAGGTGGGTAGATTGCAAAAATTTTCTCCCATTCTGTAGGTTGCCTGTTCACTCTGATGGTAGTTTCTTTTGCTGTGCGGAAGCTCTTTAGTTTAATTAGACCCCATTTGTCTATTTTGGCTTTTCTTGCCATTGCTTTTAGTGTTTTAGTCATGAAGTCCTTGCCCATGCCTATGTCCTGAATGGTATTGCCTAGGTTTTCTTCTAGTGTTTTTATGGTTTTAGGTCTAACATTTGAGTCTTTAATCCATCTTGAATTAATTTTTGTATAAGGTGTAAGGAAGGGATCCAGTTTCAACTTTCTACATATGGTTAGCCGGTTTTCCCAGCACCATTAATTAAATAGGGAATCCTTTCCCCATTTCTTGTTTTTGTCAGGTTTGTCAAAGATCAGATGGTTTTAGATGTGTGGTATTATTTCTGAGGCCTCTGTTCTGTTCCATCGGTCTATATATCTGTTTTGGTATCAGTACCATGATGTTTTGGTTACTGTCGCCTTGTAGTAGAGTTTGAAGTCAGGTAGTGTGATACCTCCAGATTTGTTCCTTTTGCTTAGGATTGACTTGGCAATGCGGGCTCTTTTTTGGTTCCATATGAACTTTAAAGTAGTTTTTTCCATTTCTGTGAAGAAAGTCATTGGTAGCTTGTTGGGGATGGTGTTGAATCTATAAATTACCTTGGGCAGTATGGCCATTTTCTTGATATTGATTCTTCCTATCCATGAGCAGGGAATGTTCTTCCATTCGTTTGTGTCCTCTTTCATTTCGTGGAGCAGTGGTTTGTAGTTCTCCTTGAAGAGGTCCTTCACATCACTTGTAAGTTGGATTTCTAGGTACTTTATTTTCTTTGTAGCAATTGTGAATGGGAGTTCACTTATGATTTGGCTCTCTGTTTGTCTGTTATTGGTGTATAGGAATGCTTGTGATTTTTGCACACTGATTTTGTATACTGAGACTTTGCTGAAGTTGCTTATCAGCTTAATGAGATTTGGGGCTGAGGTGATGGGGTTTTCTAAATATACAACCATGTCATCTGCAAACAGGGACAATTTGACTTCCTCTTTTCCTAAGTGAATGCCCTTTATTTCTTTCTCTTGCCTGATTGCCCTGGCCAGAACTTCCAACACTATGTTGAATAGGATTGGTGAGAGAGATAATCCTTGTCTTGTGCCAGTTTTCAAAGGGAATGCTTCCAGTTTTTGCCCATTTAGTATGATATTGGCTGTTGGTTTATCATAAATAGCTCTTATTATTTTGAGATATGTTCCATCAATACCGAGTTTATTGAGAGTTTTTAGCATGAAGGGCTGTTGAATTTTGTTAAAGGCCTTTTCTGCATCTATTGAGATAATCATGTGATTTTTGTCATTGGTTCTGTTTATGCGATGGATTCTGTTTATTGATTTGCATATGTTGAACCAGCCTTGCATCCCAGGGATGAAGCTGACATGATCGTGGTGGATAAGCTTTTTGATGTGTTGCTGGATTAGATTTGCCAGTATTTTATTGAGAATTTTTGCATTGATGTTCATCAGGGATATTGGTCTAAAATTCTCTCTTTTTGTTGTGTCTCTGCCAGGCTTTGGTATCAGCATGATGCCGGCCTCATAAAATGAGTTAGGGAGGATTCCCTCTTTTTCTATTGATTGGAATAGTTTTGGAAGGAATGATACCAGCTTGAGGAACTCTTAAAGACCAAGTGTCTACCATCTCATTCCCAAAAAGTGGGTGGGAACAATATTTAGAAAGAAACAGACATTTGGAATTTTTTTTAATGTGTTATAACTGTCCCGTAAGTTTTACTCAACAACAACAATGTATGACAAAAATACACAATTGTATTGATGTGTGAAAATACATGGGTGAATTTCAAAAGAATTTTGTTGAGTAAAAGAAGCCAGACCTCCCAAATGAGACTATATAGTATATAATTCCATTTTAATAAAATTTCATAAACTAAAAACTAACCTATAATGGCAAAAACAAAACAAAACAAAACAAAACATCGGTGGTTGCCTAGGGCTGATGGGAAGGAAGGACAAATTACAAGGGAGTATGAGGAAATATTAGCAAGGATGGAGACATTCATAATCCTGATTGCAGTGAAAGTTTCACCAGTGTCTACCTATGTCAAGTCTCGTCAAATTTACACTTTAAATATGTGCAATTTATCATGCCTCCATTCTATGCAAATAAAGCTGTAACAAAAATAAACGAGGAAGAACAGACATTGATTCCTTCTCAGCTGAAATCTTCAACATGGGAATACGAATCATCTTTCTCCAGAGTAATTTTTCTTGATCACTTTACAGCTATTTTTTTTTAATTATACTTTAAGTTTTAGGGTACATGAGCACATTGTGCAGGTTAGTTACATATGTATACATGTGCCATGCTGGTGCACTGCACCCACTAACTCGTCATCTAGCATTAAGTATATCTCCCAATGCTATCCCTCTCCCCTCCCCCAACTCACAACAGTCCCCAGTGTGATATTCCCCTTTCTGTGTCCATGTGATCTCATTGTTCTATTCCCACCTATGAGTGAGAATATGCGGTGTTTGGTTTTTTGTTCTTGCGATAGTTTACTGAGAATGATGTTTTCCAATTTCATCCATGTCCCTACAAAGGACATGAACTCATCATTTTTTATGGCTGCATAGTATGCCATCGTGTATATGTGTCACATTTTCTTAATCCAGTCCATCATTGTTGGACATTTGGGTTGGTTCCAAGTCTTTGCTATTGTGAATAATGCCGCAATAAACATACGTGTACATGTGTCTTTATAGCAGTATGATTTATAGTCCTTTGGGTATATACCCAGTAATGGGATGGCTGGGTCAAATGGTATTTCCAGTTCTAGATCCCTGAGGAATCACCACACTGACTTCCACAATGGTTGAACTAGTTTACAGTCCCACCAACAGTGTAAAAGTGTTCCTATTTCTCCACATCCTCTCCAGCACCTGTTGTTTCCTGACTTTTGAATGATTGCCATTCTAACTGGTGTGAGATGGTATCTCATTGTGGTTTTGATTTGCATTTCTCTGATGGCCAGTGATGATGAGCATTTTTTCATGTGTTTTTTGGCTGCATAAATGTCTTCTTTTGAGAAGTGTCTGTTCATGTCCTTCGACCACTTTTTGATGGGGTTGTTTGTTTTTTTCTTGTAAATTTGTTTGAGTTCATTGTAGATTCTGGATATTAGCCCTTTGTCAGATGAGTAGGTTGTGAAAATTTTCTCCCATTGTGTAGGTTGCCTGTTCACTCTGATGGTAGTTTCTTTTGCTGTGCAGAAGCTCTTTAGTTTAATTAGATCCCATTTGTCAACTTTGTCTTTTGTTGCCATTGCTTTTGGTGTTTTAGACATGAAGTCCTTGCCCATGCCTATGTCCTGAATGGTAATGCCTAGGTTTTCTTCTAGGGTTTTTATGGTTTTAGGTCTAGCGTTTAAGTCTTTAATCCATCTTGAATTGATTTTTGTATAAGGTGTAAGGAAGGGACACAGTTTCAGCTTTCTACATATGGCTACTTTGCAGCTATTTTTGCAGGTTTCCATTTCCCCACTAGCTCTGCAAGTCATGTCAGTAGGTCCTTTCTATTTACCAGACACTTGGACATAATGAGACTTCCAGAGGCACAGGCTGACCAAGATGTAAAATGTGACTTTTCTGGTTTTCTGGGTCCCACTCGAGTTCTTGGTTATTTCCATTCCAGCCCGTGAGCCAGCGTGGGTGGCAGGGGCCTGTCTCTGTGCCTGTGCTGTGCTACCTCTAGCTGCCCTTTCTCCTGTGTGCGCTGGGAGTATTGTCAATGAGTGGCAATTGGCATGTGGAGATGAGCAAGAGTTCAGGTGGCTGGAGGAAAACTGGCTCCCTTGGGGAGAATGCAGCACAGGAAGAACAAATCCCCCTGTGGAAGAGAAGCATAAAAGGGAAATCAGAGCAGGGAGGGGCCATTTCTATGGACAACTTGCAGGGGCAGGGGTTGTCCCTGCCTGTGTTGGCCCCAGAGCTGGAGGGCTGCTGGAGGTGAGGTCCCAAAGTCCCTCTTTCCTCCTTCAAGTCTTTGCCTGTCTGCATCTTGCATGAACAGATGGCACTGTGGCATTTGTGGTCATGATGCAGCCGATCCTCCTGAAGCATCCTGCTTCATCATGCTCTCCGGAGTTGATCTGCTTAGAGGTTAGGGCTAAGGCTTACAAACTGATACAGAGTGCAGTTGCATTTCCTTGCCCTTTCCAAATCTCCCTTTGCTATCCTGGTAGATATTGCCGATCTCCAAGCTCTTACAGCTAAAATCACTCAATTTTACATAAATGAAGCTGTTAAAAAGAAGAAGAAGAAGGAGAAGAAGAAGAAGAAGGAGAAGAAGGAGAAGAAGAAAATGAGCAGGAGAAGGAAAAGAAGGAGAAGGAGAAACAAGTAGAAAAGAGACTGACCCTTCTCAATGGAGATTCAACTATGACTATTTGGCTATGATTCCAACAGTATTATATGTATTGAAAATACTTGCTGTACTTGATTGAGGGGCTATTTCATAGTCAGGCACTTCACTAAGCACTTTATATACCTTATCTATTTGAATACACACCATACCCCTGGAAGTTGTTGCGATCCATATTCTACAGATGAGAAAATTGAAGCTCTAGGAAACAGAGTGACTTCCCTAAGACTACATAGAGCTGCTGAGATTTGAACTCAGGTATGTCTAGCTGTAAACCCAGTTCTCTTTTTTACATAGCAGACCACCTACCCATTCCTCAGGCAGCATTGAGTTAGACACAGTTGGCTTGCCTCACATCTCTTTGTTCAGAGTCCCATTCTGGGTTTTGTATGCTCTGGGCCAAGTCTCTCCATCCCCAGCCTCATAACAGGTTGTCAAAAACTATGTTGGCTGGTAAAGAATTTAGGTATAGCACTTCCATTTTCAGAACAGAAACTAAAGACCAAAAAGCAGTCTGAGCATCAATGAATGAATCTGGAGGACTCTAGTGGGGTCAACAATGCACAGTGCAGTTGCATTTTCTTGCCTTTTCCAAATCTCCCTTTCCTGTCCTAGTAGATATCGCTGACCTCCGAGCTCTTTCTCAAATCAGTCCCAAGCAATCTCATAGTCAAGGAGACAATTTTGAGGTGGGAGGGACGTGGGTGAGCCCCTGAGCAGGGCGTCTCAAGGGTTACTAGGTGGATGCCCATGCCAAGTCCCCTCTGTTCATGGAGCCAGACATGCCCATCCCTGAGGGGGCTGTGGCATTAATTTGTTTTCCTTCCTGGGTCTGCCAGGGCCTCAATGTCCTCTCATAAAAAGCAATGGGGAGGGAGTGCAGAAAGAGAAACAAGAGGAAATGAAAGCTCTTTTGGGAAAGGCAACTGTGACAAATTGAAAGGGTGGAGGAAATATGAGCACAAACAAGAGAAGGGAGAACAGCCTGGAAGAGAGGGAGCAAAAGAGGCCTGTATCTGCAGCCTCTGGACCACAGAGCACCGATTTGTTTTCTATAAAAAGAGATGTGTTATTTTCCCCCTCTCTTGGCAAATAATGACAAAGAAGAATGGTTACGGAGTTTGCTGAAATAGAATAGTCTGCGGGGGTATTCTGAGTGAATGAAATGTGCTCTCAGATATCTTATCATGTTCCCCACCAACTTGTTTTTATTTCAAATTGCCTACAACAGGTGCCAGAGTCTGGGCAAACTATAATATCATACCTTGCAACAGCTGTGCGTGGAACACACATAGAAACAGTAAAGAAAGGTTACACAACGTTACTGGTCTCATATGGCTCAGAGCAGCTCTAGAATTTAAAACATTTCCCCATCCTTGAGTTAAATTGGGCCCCCATGATATGTGTTCTGTAACTTAATATGAAAGGTTGCTGGTGGATGGGTTGATACCATGGCCACCAAAGTTGGTGGTGGGCACCTGCAAGGAACACGTGTGTCCTGAGTGGGCAGTACCGCAAATACAGCCCTTCCTGAAATGGTCACTTCTCATAGTACAGTGTTTGCTCATGTGTGCAAGCAGGCTCTCCCCTGCATATTGGAAAGATGAAACAGTTTAATGCAGATGTCAGCCATACCTAAGACACTTCTCAAGATGCAGCCCAAACAGAATAAAGTGTAGTCTGTGAAAACAGTTTTAGCACCATCATTCCACTTGTTTTTTCTTGTTCAAGAAAACAAATATGAATGCAAGTGAGTGACAGTGGTGGCATTGAATTGGTTCTAATTTGATGGAAAACTAAAATCCCTACATTTCCATTTTTGATTTGTAACAGACTTACAGATGCACCACCTAGAGTTAGTGATGATATGTCCATGTGAGAACCAGGACTGCATCTGAGAACCACTGGCTAAAAGGACTTTTTAAATTTGATAAAGTATGTTACAGTAATATAGAACATTATTTGTTTTCTCCAGGCATTTTCCTGTATGGGATTTGAAATGGAACAGAATGTTCTTAGCGGGTAGAAGGTTAACCATGTGTATCAGTCAGGATTCTGAGGTGCAAGCAACAGAAACAGATTCTGGCTGCTTTAAGCACAAAAAGGATATATTAAGAGGATAACATTTGGCTCACAGAGTTGCTGAGGCTATGGAGGACCTGCACATTCAGAACAATATCCAAAATCAGCTGCAGAGCTTGCCTGGTAAGGGTCTGGACTCTGCTGGGCTGCCTCTGAGCCCTAATGCTATGACCAACCCTATCTATACCAGCAGCACCAGCTCTGCTGGCTCAAAGGCTCCATGTTTCTGTAAACCCTGCTACTACCAGAGGGTGTGCCTCATGGCCCCTGCTCCTATGAGGCAGCCCCAGACAACTGGCCAAGTGGAGGGCATGAGTTGGAATCCTAGAAAGTGCTTGGTAGTAGATGTATTATGAGGGAAATCAGTGGGTAATCTTAATTCTGACATTTTGCTAGACTGTGGACTGGGCCACCATGTTTCTTATTCACATCTCTATCCCCAGGCCCTAGCATAATACCTGGCACTTAGAAAGGGCTCAATAAGCATTTGTTGAAATGAATTAAAATTGAATTTTAAATTTGGAAGCACCCTTTCCAAGGGCTGGCTGCCAGTCACTATTGCAAATTAGTTCTAGTAAATCAAAGTAAATTAGAAATGCAATAAAAAATAGAGTCTCTAAGTCCAGTGGTTACATGCACTTACCTACCACAGCATTTGCCCTTAGATCTGTGGCTTAGTGGTTTGTTTGTTTTTAAGCTCAATGACAGCTTTACCTTTTCTAATAATAATGATGTGTGCATGTGCCTGTGTCTCTGTGTGTCTGTGCATTTCCATCCATGTAAACATGTTGACAACAGGTTATTTTTTAATCACGAAATGAAACTCACATTAGCCTTCATCTGGAGGCCAGAGAATTCCAGAGTATTTGCTCTTGTTTTGTGAGTGTTCTTTGATGGGGGAGAGGGAAAGGAAGGATGATCCTTTCCCCTGTGCAATCTCTCTCTCTCTCTCTCTCTCTCTCTCTCTCTCTCTCTCTCTTTAAAGACCCACTTGCAGTGGGTGGGCTACTATATTAATCAAATATGCACATATCGTTCTCACTTAGAAGTGTAAGCTAAACACATGGTACACATGGACATAAAGATGAAGAAAATAGACTCTGAGGATTCTAAACCTGGGAGGAAAAGAGGAAGGTGAGGGTTGAAAAATTACCTACTGAGTACAATGTCTAATATTTGGGTGATGGGTACCCTAGAAGCCAACCCCCACCATTGTGCATGTAATACCTATGTAACAAACAAGCACATGCATACCCTGAATCTAAAATAAAATTTGAGAAATGAAATATACACATCATATTCTTATTGAATTACTGCAGATGTTTTGCCCTGTTCATTTCTTCCTTGTCACTTGCAGAATTCCAGAGTTCAACACTGGAGAGTAGAGAGCATTGCAGAAGATCATTCCTTCAGCAGATTCAGCAAGATGGTTATTCTTAACACAAATTAGTGTTGGAGTTTTGCTGTACGATTGAAGTATGGATTACTTGCCGCAGCATACATGCCAAAAAAGTTTTACTTGAATCTACATAAGCCATACGTTTTTATGTCTTTGATTCAGAAAAATCCTTTTAAAGGTCCAAAATTTCAAAGTCATCATATCTGGAGAAGAACACTTTTCATGAGCTGGGATATCCTTCTTCTTCTTCTGTCCTCCAACATCGGAGCTCCAGGTTCTCAGGGCTTCAGACTCTGGGACTTACACCAGAAGCCCCTCATCCCCCACTCCCATTTTGGTTCTCAGATCTTCAGACTCAGTCTGATTCAAACCACTGGCTTCCCTGGTTCTCCAGCTTCCAAAGGGCATATTGTGGGACTTCTTAGCCTCCATAATTGTGTGAACCAATTCCCATAATAAATTCCCTCATATATAAGCTATACATATGTTATTGATTATGTTCCTCTGGAGAATCCTGACTAATATAGATTTTGTTGCTTAAAAATCATCATGACCTGGCCGGGAGCAGTGGCTCACACCTGTAATCCCAGCACTTTGGGAGGCCAAGGCAGGCAGATCACGAAGTCAGGAGATCGAGACCATCCTGGCTAACACGGTAAAATACCATCTCTACTAAAAATGCAAAAAAAAAAAAAAATTAGCCAGGTGTAGTGGCAGGCACCTGTAGTCCCAGCTACTCAGGAGGCTGAGGCAGGAGAATGGCATGAACCTGGGAGGCGGAGCTTGCCGTGAGCGGAGATCACGCGCCACTGCACTCCAGCCTGGGTGACTGAGTGAGACTCTGTCTCAAAAAAAAAAAAAAAAAAAAATCATGACCTAAGTTCCATTTGTTTTAACTTCAATTGGATTAAACTCTGAACGTGCCCATTTTCTACCCTAAAGAGTTATTTTCTCAGGATAGGAGGGTTGTTTTATGGTGTGTGTGTGTGTGTGTGTGTCTAGTTTCCCTAAGTGCATTCTTTCCCTCATCACTGCAGAAATTATTTTTAAAAATGTTTTGCATTCTTTCATTTTGAAAAATGTAGCATCTTGATTCTCACTATGGTTAAAATAAGTATATGTGAACTGGAAAAAAACTAGTAAGATATTAAAAATATCTATGAGTAGAATAATGATCAATTATTGCATTATTTTCTTGTACTTTTCTGTAGTTTCCAGTTTTTCAATAATGAGCATGTATTACTTTCATGATCAGAAGAAAAACACATATTACAGGCATTTTTTGCAATATTATCATTCTTGCATTCTTAAAAACTCCCATTCTGAAAAGTTATGCACCAAAAATAACAGAGCTTATGGGGAAAATAGGATTGGGACAAATCACTGAAACCTATGGAAGTTTGAAAGCAGGATATTAATAAAGATCACTAGTAATCCTAGTCAAAGTACTGACATAGGTATATTCAGGAATATGAAGCCTATGGCTAATACTTCTTTTGAAATATGTTTTAGAGGGCATTCGCTTTTGACTGAGAACATTTTCATCAATATTAAAATTTGGATCTAGGTTATAGCCTTCTTCATTAACTTCTTGTTTTGACTCAGGGCATAATATTTTATCTGCACTCTCACTCTGCCCAGACAGTTTAAGAAAGTGCAAACATAGAGTTCTGGAAGCCACTGCTTGAACCAGAAACTACTTGAACTAAAGAAAGGCAAGACTGCAGATTTTCAGGGTTTTTTTCCCTGAAGTTTTAGCATATACTTTAGTTTTGAAAAAGTTTACTTCAAATTGCTTCAAAATATTAACATGCTGGGGAAAGTTGCCTCAGAACCAACACAACTTCTGCATAATACTGACTCATCCCCTGCTTGATTACTTGTAAGCTCATTTGTATTAAAAAAATGCATTGCCACAGTACAGACTTTATTAAAACTCTATGCCCAGCAAAGATGGTGCCTAGAATGTAGGCAGCTGGAAAGAGCAACAAGGAGAAACATATGAGCAGGGCAGCCAAGTAGTCTGAAATCTAAGGAAAAACAGGCCCCTCCTAGAAAAGATGGGCATTAACATTGGCTCCCCTATGGAGGAGCACAGGAGGAAGAGACATCATGTGCCATACTCATGGATATGAAGAGTTAAGCTAACATTTTAATAAATAGTAAAAAACGAGTCTGGCTACTGAGACAGTATAGAACCCACGGACATAAGAGACATTGTATCTACCCCAAGGCTCTTATCCAGGGACCTTCTCCAGGTGCTCACAGGTAAGACTGGGGCAATGGTGGGAGACCTGAGAAAGCAGATCTGGAGGAAGAAGCAGCTGCCAATGCAGGAAAGGCAAAAGCCTTCACTTCCATTGAGCAAAAGCCTTGAGCTCCTGAAGGTGGGCAATAAATCTTGACACCTGCAGGATACAGGGAAACGGTAAAGAGAAAAACACTGTTACCTCTGGGCAAAGGGCCGGAGGCACTCCTGGGCCAAGGATCCTACACCAATGCTGTGAGAGGTCTTCTACTGCTGGAGGAGGGCAGGATGATTCACCAAAGACACAGGACACAGTTTGCCTGCCATAGGGAGGAGGGGTAGAATCCTTGAAAAAGCCCCAAGAATGATACCCAGGACACAGAGCCTGCCTGAGACTGTGGGTGAGCTGGGAAATAAAGAGCAGCCCCCTCCCACTTTCCACTACCAGCAAATCCAAGTAACAAGCAACAGCTGTCTACTGTTATATACAGGCAAGAGTATTAAAAGAGACTCTCTTTGAGGTACAGGCACATAGTAAAGGCTGAAACATGATGGTAGACAAGAATCTTTGAGAATAAATCTCTGGAATCTTATTCCCTCTACCCTAAGTATAATTCAAAGTTAGACCAGGATTTCTCAAGCTTGTCTTATTAACATTGTTGGCCATGTCATTATTTGCTGTGGGAGGCTGTGCTGTGTGTTGTAGTGTGTTTAGCAGCATCCCTGGCTTCTACCCACTATACTGCAGTATCATCTCTTTTTCCCAGTTGCGACAACTAAAAAAAATGTCTCCAGACATTGCCAAATATTCGCTGGGGGTTGGAAGTCACCCCTGGTTTAAAACCACTGCATTAGAGGAATTGGAAGCTACTACTGAACAAAAGGTGGCCACAAACCCAAACCCAAGTCCACCTCAACTCCTAACTAGATTGACTCAACACTAAAGCCCAGACAGAAGAAAAGACATGCTCATTTCTAGACAGAAATAATACTTATCTCAGTCTCTATTATTTTACACATGATTCCAGCACGCAACAAAATATCATGAGACAGAGGAAAATGCAGGAAAAAATCAACTCGAGACAAAGTTATCAACAGAATCAAACTCAAGGATGACCTGGATGTTGGTACTGGCAGACAGGAAATTACTATAATTAATATTTAAAAGCTCTAGTGGGCTAGTGAAGAACATGAATAAACAGATGAAAAATTTGAGCAGAGAGATGAAAACTATAAGAAAGAGTCAAATGAAAATGCCAAAAATAAAAAGAGATGAAGAATGCCTTTGAGGGCTCACAAGCAGAACTGACACAGTGGAGGATCAGTGAACTTGAAAACAGGTCAACAGAAATTACCCAAACTGAAACACTAAAAGAAATAAAAAGTAAGAAAAACAGAATAGAACTGTAAGACAATATCAAATTGTTCAATGTACCCGTAATTGAAATCCCAAAAGATAAGAAAGGGACAAAGCAGAAGAAATATTTGAAGAGACAATGGCATAGAATTTTCCAAAAATAAAGAAAAACATTACTGGACAGATCTAAGAAGTTCAGACATCCCCAAGCATGAGAAATTAAAAAAAAAAAGGACGAGAAGGAGGAAGGGGAGGAGGAGGAAGAAGAGAAACAATATGCCTGACACATCTTATGCATGCACATTCCTGTAAACAATATTTAAAGAAAAATAGACACAAGGAAAAAGATGAGAATTGCAACTGATTTCTATTGTGAAGCTATACAATCCAGAAGACAACACAGTGAAAAATGTAAAGTACTGAAAGGAAATATATAAACAAACAAACTGTAGACCCAGAATTCTGTATCTAGCCAGAGTATTTTTCAAAATGAAAGTGAAATAAATACTGTTTTAGGCAAACAAAGGCTGAGAGTATTCACTACCTGCAACTCTGCACCTTTAGAAATATTAAAAGAAACTCTTCTAGACAGATATGACATCCAACAGACACTTAGATTTACAAACAAAAAATAAAGATCTAAGGAAATGGTTAAAATAAAGGTAAAAATATTTTTTGTTATGTTTAATCATTCTCTAGAATGAAAGATAACTGACTCTCTAAAACAAAAATAGTAGGAGGGAGGAATGGGAAGGAAGAATGAGAAGTTTACTGTTGTAAAGTCCTTACATTATACATGAAGTCCTATATTATTTGAAGGTAGATTGTAATTAATTATGACATATATTATAAAACATAGGACATCCATTAAAAAATTTTAAAGGCATAAATAATAAGTCAATACTAGAGACAAAATTGAATAAAACGTATTCAATCCAAAAGCAGGCAAAGGAGAACAACAACAACAAAAAACAAATAACACATTGAACGAATAAAAAACAAATAGCAATATGGCAGGTAAGTCCAACCATGTCAATAATTACATTAAATATAAATGACTAAACACATCAAATTAAAAGACAGACATTGTCAGTTTGGTTAAAAAAGCAAGATAGATGCTGTCTATAAGAAACCTACTTTAAATACAAAAATATAGAGAGGTTGAAAGTTAAAGGATGAAAAAGATATATCAAGTATACCAAGTAAATGCTAATCAAAAAAGTAAGCATGACTTCATTAATATCAAAGTAGACTTTAGAATAAGAAATATTACTAGGGTTACAAAATTATGTAAGATAATAATAATAAGGGGATCAATTCATCAAGAAGACATAACAATCCTAAAGAAATATGGACTGAACAATAGAACTTCAAAATACATAAAGCGGCCGGGCACGGTGGCTCACGCCTGTAATCCCAGCACTTTGGGAGGCAGAGGCGGGCGGATCATGAGGTCAGGAGATTGAGACCATCCTGGCTAACACAGTGAAACCCCGCCTCTACTAAAAATACAAAAAATTAGCCGGGCGTGGTGGCGGGTGCCTGTAGTCCCAGCTACTCGGGAGGCTGAGGCAGGAGAATGGCGTGAACCCGGGAGGTGGAGCTTGCAGTGAGCCAAGATCGCGCCACTGCACTCCAGCCTGGGCGACAGAGCGAGACTCCGTCTCAAAAAAAAAAAAAAAAAAATACATAAAGCAAAAACTGAAAGAACTGAAAAGAGAAATAGATAAATTCAAAATTGTGACTAGAGTTCAACAATTCTCTCTCAGCAATAGATGGAACAGGCAGACAGAAAATCAGTAAGGAGATAGGTGACTGAACAACACTATCAACCAACTTGAGCTAACTGACATTCATAGAGCACTCTACCCAACAATAGCACAATATACATTCCCTTTTCACATGCACATGAAACATTCACAAGATATAACATATTCTGAGCCATAAAATAAATCTTAGCAAATTTAAATGAACTGAAGTAATGCAAAGTATGTTCTCCTGCCAGAGTTCTGGTTTAATAGAATTAAGCTAGAAATCAACGACAGAAAGATATCTGGAAAACCCACAATATTTACAAATTAAATAATATACTTGTACATAACCTGTCATCAAAGTGGAAGTCACAAGGGAATTAGAAAAAAATTTTGAGAGGTCTCGTCTTCACTGCTCTGTGTCCTCTGTTCCTAGAAGCCCAGCCTCTGTGGCCCTGCGACCTGCAGGTATTGGGAGATCCACAGCTAAGACACCAGGACCCCCTGGAAGCTTTGAAATGAAATTTTCTGATTATGGAATTGCTACAATCATGGCGGATGGGAGGCAGGACTAGATTGCAGCTCCAACTCAGATGGACAGAGCAGTGTGTGGAGGCTCGCATCATGAATTTTTTGTTCCAGAAGGACTGCAGGAATAAATCAAGAAACCTGAGAGGACCCACAGACCCCTCCAAAGGAAGTGGATTGCTCCTGCAGAACTCAAGAGACGCCCCTAATACTGTGCTGGTACCCATGGCTGAGAGACCCATAGACAGTTCACATCACAGGACTCTGCAGAAAACAGCCAGTATTAGCCTGGAGTCTGGTAGACTTGCTGGGTGGCTAGATCCAGAAGAGAGATAACAATCACTACAGCTCAGCTCTTAGGAAGCCACATCCATAGGAAAAGGTGGAGAGTACTACAGCAAGGAAACACCCTGTGGGACAAAAGAATCTGAACAACGGCCTTCAGTCCTAGACCTTACCTCTGACAGAGCCTACCCAAATGATAAGGAACCAGAAAACCAACTCTGGTAGTATGACAAAACAAGGTTCTTTAACATTCCCAAAATATCACACCAGCTCACCAGCAATGGACCCAAACCAAGAAGAATTCTCTGATTTACCTGAAAAAGAATTTAGGAGGTTAGTTATTAAGCTAATCAGGGAGGCACCAGAGAAAGGTGAAGCCCAATGCAAGGAAATCCAAAAAATGATACAAGAAGTGAAGGGAAAAATATTCAAGGAAATAGATAGCATGAAGAAAAACCAATCAAAACTTCAGGAAACAATGGGTACACTTATAGAAATGCAAAATATTCTGGAAAGTCTCAGGAATAAAATTGAAAAAGTAGAAGAAAGAAATTCAGAGCTCAAATACAAGGTCTTCAAATTAACCCAGTCCAACAAAGACAAAGAAAAAAGAAAAGAATAAGAAAATATGAACAAAACCTCCAAGAAGTCTGTGCTTATGTTAAACAACCAAACCTAAGAATAATTGGTGTTCCTGAGGAAGAAGAGAAATCTAAAAGTTTGGAAAACATATTTGGGAGAATAATCGAGGAAAACTTCTCCAGCCTTGCTAGAGACCTAGACATCCAAACACAAGAAGCACAAAGAACATCTGAGAAATTCATTGCAAAAAGATCATCACCTAGCCACATTGTCATCAGGTTGTCTAAAGTTAAGAGGAAGGAAAGAATCTTAAGAGCTGTGAGACAGAAGCACCAGATGACCTATAAAGAAAAACCTATCAGATTAACAGTGGATTTCTCAGCAGAAACCCTACAAGCTAGAAGGGATTGAGGCCCTATCTTCAGCCTCCTCAAACAAAACAACGATCAGTCAAGATTTTTGTATCCAGTGAAACTAAGCTTCATATATGATGAAAAGATACAGTCTTTTCCAGACAAACAAACACTGAGAGAATTTGTCACTACCAAGCCACCACTACAAGAACTGCTAGAAGGAGCTCTAAATATTGAAACAAATTCTGGAAACACATCAAAACAGAACCTCTTTAAAGCATAAATCTCACAGGATCTATAAAACAAAAAAATAGAATTTAAAGAACAAAAACCAAAACCAAGGTATACAGGCAAGAAGTAGCACAATGAATGGAATGGTACCTCACATTTCAATACTAATACTGAGTGTAAATGGCCTAAATACTCCACCTAAAAGATACAGAACTGCAGAATGGATAAGAATTCACCAACCAACTATCTGCTGCCTTCAAGAGACTCACCTAACACATAAGGACTCTCACAAACTTAAGGTAAAGGGGTGGAAAAAGACATTTCATGTAAATGGACACCAAAAGTGAGCAGGAATAGCTATTCTTATATCAGACAAAACAAACTTTAAAGCAACAGCAGTTAAAAAGACAAAAAGGGACACTATATAATGATAAAAAGCCTTGTCCAACAGGAAAATATCACAATCCTAAATATATATGCAACTAACACTGGAGTTCCCAAATTTATAAAACAATTACTAATACACCTAAGAAATGAGACAGACAGTGACACAATAACAGTGGGGGACTTCAATACTCCACTGACAGCACTGGACAGGTCATCAAGACAGAAAGTCAACAAAGAAGCAATGGATCTAAACTATACCCTGGAACAAATGGACGTAACAGATATATTCAGAACATTCCATCCAACAACTACAGAATATACATTCCATTCAACAGTGCATGGAACTTTCTCCAAGATAGACCACATGATAAGCCACAAAACGAGCCTCAATAAATTTAAGAAAACTGAAATTATATCAAGCACTCTCTCAGACCACAGTGGAATAAAACTGGAAATCAATCTCCAAGAGGAACCTTCAAAGCCATGCAAATACATGGAAATTAAATAACCTGCTCTGGAATGATCATTGGGTCAGAAATGAAATCAAGATGGAAATTTAAAAATTCTTTGAACTGAACGAGAATAGTAACACAACCTATCAAAACCTCTGGCACACAGCAAATGTGATGCTAAGAGGAAAGTTCATAGCCCTTAAACACATACATCAAAAAGTCTGAAAGAGCACAGATAATGTAGGTCACACCTCGAGGAACTAGAGAAACAAGAACAAACTAAGCCCAAACCCAGCAGAAGAAAGGAAGTTACCAAGATCAGAGAAGAACTCAATGAAATTAAAACAAACAAACAATACACAAGATAAATGAAACAAAAACCTGGTTCTTTGAAAAGATAAATAAAACTGATAGACCATTAGCAAGATTAACCAAGAAAAGAAGAAAGAAAATTCAAATAACCTCAATAAGAAATGAAATGGAAGCTATTACAACTGACACCACAGAAATACAAAAGATCATTCAAGGCTACTATGAACATCTTTATGTACCTAAATTAGAAAACCTAGAAGAGATGGATAAATTCCTGGAAAGATACAATCCTCCTAGTTTAAATCAGGAAGAATTAGATACCCTGAACAGACCAATAACGAGCAGCGAGATTGACATGGTAATTAAAAAATTATGAACAAAAAAGGTCCAGGACCAGATGGATTCACAGAAGAATTCTACCAGACAGCAGTATTCTACCAGACATTCAACGAAGAATTGGTACCCACCCTTTTGACAGTATTCCACAAGATAGAGAAAGAGGGAACCCTCCCTCATTCATTCTATGAACCCAGTATCACCCTGATACCAAAACCAGGAAAGGACATAACCAAAAAAGAAAAATACAGACCAATATCCTTGATGAACATAGATACTAAAATCCTTAAAAAAACACTAGCTAACCAAATCCAACAACATATCAAAAAGATAATTCACCATGATCAAGTGGGTTTCATACCAGGGATGCAGGGATGGTTTAACAAATGCAATTCAACAAATGTGATACACCATACAAACAGAATTAAAAACAAAAATCTCATGGTCATGTCAATAGATGCAGAAAAAGCATTCGACAAAATCCAGCATCCCTTTGTGATTAAAACTCTCAGCAAAATTGGCATACAAGGGACATACCTCAATATAATAAAAGCCATCTATGACAAACCTGCAGCCAACATAATACTGAATGGGGAAAAGTTGAAAGCATTCTTTCTGAGAACTGGAACAAGACAAGGGTGCCCACTCCTCTTCAACAGAGTACTGGAAGTCCTAGCCAGAGCAATCAGACAAGAGAAAGAAATAAGGGTGTCCAAATTGGTAAAGAGGAAGTCAGACTGTCACTGTTTGCTAATGATATGGTCATTTATTTAGAAAACCCTAAAGACTCCTCCAGAAAGCTCCTAGAACTGATAAAAGAATTCAGAAAAGTTTCCACATACAAAATTAATGTCCAAAAATCAGTAGCTCTTCTATACACCAACAGCAACAAAGCTGAGAATCAAATCAAGAACTCAACTCCTTTTACAATAGCTGTAAACAAACAAACCAAAAAAAATGAAAACAAAACAAAACAAAAAAACAAAACTTAGGAATATACCCAACCGAGGAGGAGAAAGACTTCTACAAGGAAAACTAAAAACCACTGCTGAAAGAAATCACAGATGACATAAACAAATGGAAACACATCCCATGCTCAAGGATAGGGTAGAATCAATATTGTGAAAATGACCATACTGCCAAAAGCAATCTACAAATTCAATGCAATTCCCATCAAAATACCACCATCATTCTTCACAGAATTAGAAAAAAACAATTCTAAAATTCATATGGAACCCAAAAAGAGCCCACATAGCCAAAGCAAGACTAAGCAAAGAGAACAAATCTGGAGGCATCACATTACCTGATTTCAAACTATACTATTTGGCCACAGACACCAAAACAGCGTGGTACTGGCAGAAATAAACCCAAATACTTACAGCCAACTGATCTTCAACAAAGCAAACAAAAACATAAAGTGGGGAGAGGACACCCTTTTCAACAAATGGTGCTGGGATAACTGGCTAGCCACATATAAGAAAATGAAACTGGATCCTCATCCTTCACCTTATACAAAAATGAACTCGAGATGGATTAAGGACTTAAATCTAAAACCTGAAACTGTAAAAATTTTAGAAGATAACATTGAAAAAACCCTTCTAGACATTGGCTTAGGCAAAGATTTCATGACCAAGAACCCAAAAGCAAATGCAATAAAAACAAAGATAAATTGCTGGGACTTAGTTAAACTAAAGAGTTTTTGTATGGCAAAAGGAACAGTCAGCAGAGTAAACAGAAAACCCACAGAGTGGGAAAAAAATCTTTACAATATCAATCTATACATCTGACAAAGGACTAATATCCAGAGTATACAATGAATTCAAACAAATAAACAAGAAAAAAATAAACAATCCCATAAAAAAATTGGCGAAGGACGTGAATAGACAGTTCTCAAAAGAAGATATACAAATGGCCAACAAATACATGAAAAAATGTTCAACATCACTAATGATCAGGGAAATGCAAATCAAAACCACAATGTGATACCACATTACTCCTGCAAGAATGGCCATAATCAAAAAATCAAAAAATAATAGATGTTGGTGTGGATGTGGTCAACAGGGAACACTTCTACACTGCTGGTGGGAATGCAAACTAGTACAGCCACTATTGCAAAACAGTGTGGAGATTCCTTAAAGAACTAAAAGTAGAACTACCATTTGATCGAGCAATTCCACTCCTGGGTATCTACACAGAGGAAAAGAAGTCATTATATGAAGAAGATACTTGCACATACATGTTTATAGCAGCATAATTTGGAATTGCAAAAACGTGGAACCAACTCAAATGCCCATCAATCAACGAATGGATAAAGATACTGTGGTACATGTATCTCAGCCATAAAAAGGAATGAATTAATGGCATTTGCAGTGACCTGGATGAGACTGGAGACTATTATTCTAAGTGAAGTAACTCAAGAATGGAAAAACCAAATATCGTATGTTCTCACTCAAAAGTGGGAGCTAAGCTATGAGGATGCAAAGACATAAGAATGACACAGTGGACTTTGGAGACTCAGGGGGAAAGGGTGGGGGATAGAAGACTACAAATAGGGTGCAGTGCATACTGCTCAAGTGATGGGTGCACCAAAATCTCACAAATCACCACTAAGGAACTTACTCATGTAACCAAACACCACCTGTTCCCTAATAACCTACGGAAATAAAAAAATTTTTTTAAGGAAAAAAGTTTTAATGGAATGCAAACAGTATATGAAAAGTTGTGAGGTGTAATGAAAACAGTGCTTAGAAGGAAATGTATAGCAATATACACCTAATTAGAAACAAGAAAGATCTCAAATCGATAATCTCAGCTTTTATCTTAAGAAAGTATAACAAAGAACAAACTAAACCTAACATAAGCAGACAGCAGAAAATAAAAATAGGAGCAGAAAGCAATAACGCTGAAAACAGAAAAACAATACAGATAGGCAACAAAACAAAGAGCAGTTTCCTTAAAAATAAATAAATGTGATAAGCCTTTATCCAGATCAAGAAAAAAAAGAAGAGTGAAGACTCAAATACCAGCATAAGGAATGAAAAAGGGAACATTGCTATAAATCATACAGACTTTAAAAGGTTAAGAGAGAATATTATGAACAACTTTATGTCCATAAATTCAACCAGTTGGGTTATAAGACTAGTTTCTTAAAAGGTATATTCAAGAAGCCATAGATAATCTTAATCGTTTATATCTTATTTAAAAAATTTAATTTTTAGGTAAAAACCTTTCTATAAGGAAAATTCAAGGCCAAGATGGCATCACTGAGAAGATTTAGGAAAAAATAATACCAATTCTACAGCAACTTTTTCAGAATATGGAAAAAGAACAAATGCTTCCCAACTCATTTTATACCAGCATTATGCTGATACCAAAACCAGAGATATTGCATGACAAGAAAATTACAAACCAATATTCCTCATGAACATAAATGCAAAATTCATCAACTGAATATTTAAAAAAATGAACCCAGCAATACATAAAAAGGACAATACATTAGGATCTTATCCTGGGAATGCAAGACCAGTTTAACATTTTAAAAATCAGTCAGTGTAATTTACCATATATACAGACTACAGAAGAAAAATGAGGGCATCTCATCTGTTTAAATTTAAAGTCCATTCATAATAAAACAAAAACAAACAAAACTCTCAGCAAGCTAGAAATAGAAAGGACCACTCTCAATCTGATAAAGGGAATCCACAAAAACCCTACATCTAACATCATATTTAGCAGTGGGTGACTGAATAATTTCCCCTAAAACGGAAAGCAAGGTAAGGATATCTATTCTCACCACTTGCATTCAAAATTGTCTTTGAAGTCCTAGACAGTGAAATAAGACAAGAAAAAGAAATAAAAGGTATACAGTTTAGAAAGAAAAAAAACTGTCTCCATTTTGCAGACATCATAATAATCTATACAGGAAATTCTAAAGAATCTATTTTTAAAAGCGACTAGAATTAGTAAATGAGGTTAGCAAGGATACAGGATATAAAAATCAGTATATCAAAGCAATTATATTTCTATATACTAGCAACAAACGTTTTTCAGTTAAAAAATGTCATTTCAAGGGAGGTATCATTTACAATAGCATCTAAAAATATTAAATACTTAGGTTGAAATATTTTTTAAATGTGCAAGATCTGTATTCTGAACACTACAAAACTTGGATGGAAGAAATCAAAGATCTGAATAAATGGAGATATATACTATGTTTATGGAAGCTTATATTTTTAAGATGTCAATTATCCCCAAACCAATCTATTGATTCAATCGACCCAAAAATTTTCAGCAAGATTTTTTGTAGAAATCAATAAGGCAATTCTAAAATATATATAGAAACTAGCATAGCCAAAGTTAAAAACAAATAAATTTGGGAGACCCATGTTACCTTACTTCAAGGTTTATTATAAAGCACAATAATCAAGATAATCTTATAATGGTGAAAAGATAAACATCTAAATCAACTGATCAGAGTAGAGAGTCCACAAATATAACCACACATATACCATTCATTGATTTTGGACATAAGTTCAAAGGCAATTCAATGGAGAAAGGATAGACTTTCAAAGAATGATGCTGGAAGAATTGGATATCGATATGCCAAAAACAAAGAAACAAGAACATGAATTCATACTTCTATAAAACATGTAAGAGAAAAATTTTGTTACCCTGAGTTAAGCAATGAGTTCTTAGATATAAAACCAAAAACCACAATCTAATTGACCACTTGGGCTTCACCAAAATTAAAAACTTCTGCTCTTTAGAAGACAGCGTTAAGAAAATTAAAAAAAAAAACACAGACTGGGAGAAAATATTTGCAAAGTCCATCTCTGACAATAATAAATGGCTTATATGCAGAATACAGTTAACCCTTGAACAATATGGGTTTGAATTGTGCGAATCCACCTATACGCAGATTTTTTTTCAATCAAATGCTGAAAATACAGTATTCACAGTATTCATGGGATACAAAAACTATGAATATGGAGGGCAAACTTTTCCTTCAGGCAAGTTCCCCAGGGCAGACTGCAGGACCTGAGTATACTCTCATTTGGTTATAAACGGGGGCTCTGGAACCACTCCCCTGTAGATACTGAGACTGTATACAGAACTCTCGAAACTCAGAATTAAGAAAACAACTACATAAAAAATGGCCAAAAATTTTAACAAATATATCATCAAAGAAGCTATATGAATGGCAAATAAGCAAGTGAAAAGGTGTTCAATATCTTTCATCATATGGAAATGCAAACTAAAGCAACGATAAAATACAACTACACACCTAGTAGAATAGTTAAAAGAAAAGAAAATCTCACAATACCAAGTGGATGTGGAACAACTGGAATTATAATACACCGCTGCTAGGAATAAGATGTACAGCTATTTTGGAAAACAGTTTGGCAGTTTCTTACAACATTAAACATACACTTACTAGACAACCAAACAATCTCACTCTTGGGTATCTGCCAAAGAGAAATGAAAACCTATGGTCACACAAAAATCTGTCTCTTAGTTTCTTTTCTGTTGCTGTACTGGAATAACTGGGACTGGGTAATTTACTAAAAAAGAAAATTTATTTCTTACAGTTCTAGAGGCTAAGTTGAGGGGCCAACTTGTGGTCCAAGACTGAGGGGCCACATCTGGTGAGGGCCTTCTTGCCGGTGGGGACTCTCCGTAGAGTCCCGAGGTGACACAGGGCATCACATGGCCAGGGGGCTTAACGTGGTAGTTCAGGTCACTTTCTCTCTTCTTATAAAGCCACCAGTCTCACTCCCATGATAACCCTTTAATCCATTAATAAATGAATGGACTAATCCATTCCAGAGGGCAGAGCCCTCATGACTTAATCACCTCTCACAGTCTCCACCTCCCAATCCTGCCACACTGGGAATTAAATTTCAACATGAGTTTCGGAGGGGATGAAAATTCAGATCATAGCAACATGTGTTTGAATGTTTACAGCAACTTTATTCATAATCACAAAAATGCAAATGTCCCAAATGTCCTTCAACTAGTTAATGATAAATAAAGTATGGTACATTCATACGTTGTAATACCATTCGGCAATAAAAAAGGAACATGCTATGGCTATGCGCAACATGTATATATCCACAATGAATCATGCTAAGTGAAAGAAGCCATATTTGAAAGGCTACATACTGTATTATTCTATTTATATAACATTCTAGAAAAGGCAAAATTATAGAGACAGAAATCAGATCAGTGGCTGCCAGGGAATGGGGCTGAGGGGGTCAAACTTGATGATGAAGAGGCACGAGGGAACTTTTTGGAAAGATGGAAATGTTTTACATCTTGATTGTAGGGAGAGTTACATGAACATCTATATTTGTTTAAACTGAGAGAAACGGTGAATTTCACTGTATATAAATCATATCCCAATAAAATGTCAATCTGAGCAAAAATCTAAAATGTTTATAGTAAAAACTGAAAATAAATTAGTCCCCCAGTTCCCCAAGTGACCTGATGTTCACTGCTCATAAGACCGTGTGCTGTCTTCTGGGTGGGAAAATGTTTGGGATCCCAAGAACTCAGGTCAGACCCATCTCTGCAAAGCAGGTGCTGGACAGCTTCTCAGGGGTGGGGCCAGTTTCTGCTGTGTGACCCTGTTTCTCTCACTCCTGCCTGCAGGCTGCCTTCAGACTGATGCCCTGTGGGTGCTGAGCTCCCGCCACACCTGTTCCCAGAGATTCTCCTGATGTCATGCGGCTGAGCCTTTGTAAGGGGGGATTCATAGCAGCCTCCCCATGCGCACGTTAAGGCGCTTGTGGTAGGTGCTGCAGCCCTCGCCAGCCCCCCAACTTCAGAGTGAAGCTCCAGTTGACCCTCAAAGTTCCTTGAAGCAAACCTCTGTGCAAGTGAAAGGGTCCGGAGCCACCACAGTGGGGGCGGGGTGTCTTGGTGGCAGCTTAAACTGTTTTGCAGCCTGTGCTTTTAGGGACCCAGGCCAGGAGTTAAGACTCCTGCTGTTAACAGTCACTTTATCCTCTCCGCCCACTGCACAGAGCCTGGCAGGAAGGCAGTCCAGAGCAGCAGGTCAACAGATGTATACGGGCTGCTGAGTGGAGACCCAGCAGGGAGGATTAAGGCGCTGGAAAAGGCCACTCTGCCTAGACTTTGAATTCCTCAGTTCCTTGGGGCTAAACATAACACTGCTTCCTCAGTGGAGCCCCTCTTCCCTTGCATTTATAAACCTTAACTCATGCATTGATGCCATTTAACTGCCAGGTAGCTAGCTAGAACTGGAAATGTAACCTTTAATTTGAAGGTCTGTACTTGAAGAAATTGCTTGTCTGCAGTGCTGAGGTTCTGGGAAGGTAGCAATGAGAAGGAGGGATTGAAAAGAAGGGAGAGTCACAGCTGAAAAACAGAATCTGGTGCCTCTGTGCTCCATAATGTCTCACCTTTCCTTTCCAGAAGCCCCCAAGCTCTGGCTTAGCTAAAATTATTTTGATTCATTTGGCCACCCCTCAAGATATTCAGCCAGGACACTTTGATTGGACAAAAGGGAAATGGGTTATTTAAGTGGCCCGAACTTCAGGAACAAGATATGTGTTTATACCTATTCTGTTGCTCCATTTCGGCTCCATCGGATGATAGAGAGGAAAGACTTCCTGGGCTCTCTATAGCAGAAACCTGTTGGCAAGGCAAAGACCACCTGGCCCCTGGCCAAGCCCAGCAGAGATGCTGCTTGAGAGAGACAAGTCAGCGAGTATTTGTGCAGGCTCTGGTACCTGGAACAAAAATATGCCGAGCCGCAAATTATGGCTTTCAGATGTCACCACTGCCATCTGACATTGTGTTTTAGCTGTTCACATCTTCATTACTGTGCCG
The DNA here is from genome assembly GCF_000001405.40 of Homo sapiens. Taxonomy (NCBI): domain Eukaryota; kingdom Metazoa; phylum Chordata; class Mammalia; order Primates; family Hominidae; genus Homo; species Homo sapiens. Next base: position 152,118,171 of record NC_000004.12, on the reverse strand, counting down.
CAGCCTCCCATTAAGGCTGTTACTGTGTGTAAGACAGATTTATGTTATGTGGGTTTCTGTACACCCTGAGCAACAACACTCACAAGGGTTATCAGGCTGATTGCAAAAGCCCTATGGTGGAGATGCTCTGAGTCTATAGGTTGCTTTGTGGGGGCCCCTGTGTGCGTCTGTGTGTGTCTATGTGTGTGTGTACATCCCTCCTCCATGCCCCATCTTGTAACAGCTGAAAGGAATCAGCCTCCATGCTACAGGAACTTCTTCTTTGTATGGTTTTCTCATCTCCCTTTGCTCCCTTACGGCCCCCCTCCTGGCCCATGTGCCAGATCCTTCCTCCCCCTTCTCTCTTGCTCCTCTTTGAGGTGGTAACAGACCAACACAGCAATGCCCTTGTGACTCCCTTTTCATTTTCTCAGCCTCACTCAGATTAATGGAACAGAAACATGTGCTTGCATCTGATGCCAGTAATCATATCCTGAGTGACCACAGAGAGGGAGATTAAGCAAAGGTACTGGCCCGGTCCCGGGGGATACGGTTACAGGAAGAAAGTGTTTCTTGACAGCAGCCGCTCTGGCTCCCTCTCGCTTGCCCTCCTCCTTTCCTAGCTAGGCTCATTAAGTCCCTTGAATATTTTCCATAAGATTAGTTAAAATCTATCCAGCAACGGTCCAAGTCACTCAAGAACTGGGTTTTGATCTACATTCTGATCTTCACCCATGGATGTGAACAGAACATATTTCCATATTCTTTACTTTGATTTAGTCCCTGTGATTATATATTTTGGATGTGTATTTTTTCAAACAGTGAAAGGTAAACAAGTGTATGGTTATCTAACCTGATGACTTAATTCAGCAAGTATCAACCGTGAGCAAATGACTCCTTTAGTAGGACAACATCCCTGACCCAGAGGCAGGGCAATGAGGCACATACTCAAATACTGCAACATGAGATTCAGTGTGATGAGTGTGCAGGGATAAACTGAGTGAAGCCAGGGAGCACGGAATGGAAAGCACTCCTGGCTGGGGAAACTCTGGGAGGCATCCTGGAAGAAGTGGCATTTGAGATGACCCTAAAGGGAAAGGTAAGATTTTGGTAGACGTAAATAAAAAGAAAGGCATTACCTGAGAAAGGTCCAGCTTGAGTAAAAGCCTGGAGATGGGAAGACAGAGTGTTTCAAGATGAGTGGGAATTTGAGGTAAACTGCAGAAATGTGTACCTAGAGGGAAGGTGATGGAAAGTGGACTGGGAGAGCCTTGAATTATGATGGGTGTAAAGCCAGGCTTAGGACTTATTATCAGCAGTGGGAACCATTGCAGGTTTTAGGGCAGGGAGACAAAATAGTGCCTTCCTGATGGAACTTGAAGAGTGTCCTCAAAGAAGCACAGAATATAGATTGTGGGGAAAGGGGTGTGGGAGGAGGACAGAGTAGAGATGGATCCGTTAGGAGGTTACTGCAATGGTCTGAAAAAGAGTAGAATATAAGCACTTGATGGGAATACAAAGATGGTGATATCGGAGAGATGTGGTAAAGAGAGAACTTGCAATTGGTTGGATCTTGGGGGTAAGGCCATTGGGTAAGCCAGAGATGACGCTAAGATTTGGAGAGTGAACACTGGAGGGTGGCGGGCTCTTGGGAGAGGAGGTTATAAAGGGAGGACAGAACTGGAGCAGAAAATGACCCATTCCGTTTGGGATATTTAGACATTCAGAAGAGGCACCCGAGACCTGATGCCCGACAGGGGTTGGAGCTCAGAGTTGGTGCTGACAAGAGAGGCTGGAAGTGAGGACCATCTGCATGGAGGTGTCAGGTGAGGCCCAGGGTAGGTGAGATAATGAAGGAGGCAGCACAGAGGGAGGGGTGCTAAGCTCAGATCCCTGGGTAGGCACACACATTAAAAAGAGAAAACAACGGGAGTTTCCTGCCACGGAAACCCAGAGAGGGGAGATTTCCTGTGGAATGCTGAACCGGCTGAGGATGAGGGACTGGGGCAAGGCTGCAGGATTTGTGGCTGAGGAGGAGGTCCTTGGAGTCCTTCCTGGGGCTCCATCAGGAACGAGGTGGGGCGGAAGCCGGATTAGAAGCCCCGAAGAGCGAGTGGGTGGTGAGGAAGTGTAGGCAGCAAGTGTATTTCCTGGAGAGTTTTTAAAAATAGGACGGATGCACAATGCCCCTCATTTGTGCATAGTTTGAGGGCCTTCTGCCAGGGAAATCCAGGAGACTACGGAGGCTGTGAGGGGCCAAAAGCCACCATCTCTCGTGGGTGTTTGTAAGTTTCCCTCCAAGCCAGCAACCCTGGTATGTTGGTTTCCTCATGGTAGCAGGTGAGGAAGTGGTTGTATTTGTTGTCAGCATGTACTTGTTAATGTCACAAACCAGACCTCTCCTTCAACAAGGCCCAGAGCAGGTTGCCCCAAGGAATGAGCACTGACTTGGAGTTTTCTAAAATGTTCTGCATCTGGTTTTAGGGACCACCCTAAAGGGGTGACTGTGAAGGAATCACTGCTTTTCCAGGATCTTGGTAGGAGTTGCACGAAGAATAAACAAAGAGGCATGTCAGCTTCCAACGTCTCTTTTCTGTTTCTCAGGAGAAAAAAGACTCTAACCTTTTGAAGACAGACTTGAGGTTAATTGCTCTTTCCTCAGGAAAGCCTGCCAAAGAGAAAACAAATCCCATAAGTGATGTGACAATGCCCTAGGAAGGCAGTTGATTATCCTGGTTTAGGGAGAACAGGGACTCAACTGCCTCCCATGGAAACTCTCTCCTCTCCCTAGCTTCTCACAGGTGACCCTGACGACCCACCACCCCAGCTGTTCTCCATCACCTGACAGCTGAGCCTCCAAGATGCTGGCGAGTTCTGCCTGTGCATGGCTTTGACCAGCTCCAGCCAGAAAGAGGAACTTTCAGAGTCCAGGTTTGGGGCCTGTGGATGAGTTACCTGTTACCAAGAAAGGTTACCGAGTCTCCATCACTCTTTTGGGAATGAGGCCACTTCCTACTGACAGATCCTGTAGCTATTTATGGAGAGTTTTGGCCTTTCAGCATCCAATCCCTCTTTCAATCAGGAGGCGTTCTCCACTGTGTATTATCTGAGAGGGTCCCAATGTACCACCTCCTGCTGTGGAAGCCAAAGCTGGGGTGGGGGAAGCAGGAGGTGAGAATGTGACTCAGGATCAGTCAACCACATGGGACCCTGAATCTTGCAGGAGAGGCAGAAAGAGTCAGATGTGGTTTATAAATTATTGGCAGTTATTGAAAGTCTAGAGGTGCAGCATCAAGTGTCCAGCATGGTGACATCTCACTCCAGTATTCTAATTACTTTCTCCCGTAGTGAACTGGGCTCTGGTTCCAGCTCCCTGGCCTCCTTTGCTTTCTGTGTATTTCCTGGGCCTGGCCTGGCCTTCCAGCCTTTATGCCTTGCAGTGAATTTTCCTTTCATCCAAGTTAGTCAGACTGGGTTTCTGTTGCTTGCTGCCAAGAACCTTGACAATGTAGAACAGCGAAGGGATGTGCTATAAGGCATGAGCAATAGGTTCAACTGGACCCAAGACACACACACTGTATGAAAGTTACCCTCCTGCAAGCGACCCAGAATGTCAATCCTCCAGTGAGAGAGACAGAGAATAAATAAATGTCTATACATAAATACACACACACACACACACACACACACTCACACACACACACACATATGTCAGGTGGTGACAAGAGAAAAATAAAGTACAATGAAGGAGTAGAGATCGAGTGGGCAGTATTTTAGATGGGGTGGTCAGAGAAGGGGGAGGTGAGCAGAGGCCTGAGTGGAGTGACAGAGCAGCCAAGTCGGGTACTCAGAAGAGCTTTCCAGGCAAAGGGAGCCCCAAGTGAAAAGATGCCAAGGCAAAAAAAAAAGTGTCACCTCTCTGTCTCTCCTGCTGGCACAGCTTCCTGAGAGCAGGGACTCTGTCTGTTTTCTTCACATCCACCAGGCCTAGGACACTTTCTGTCATGTAAATATCTGTTCATGAATGAATATCTGCCTGGCACGCAGGGTACAGTTCTTCACACATCATTTGCAGTTCTTCCCGATTTGCCTACAGTGGGGCATAGGATGGGAAGGAACTCGTCAGGAGTAGGTTTCAGACATGGGACCTGGGTGAGACAGGATAGGTTACCTTAGTTGTCCCCTGAAACTCAATATGATCCTCATGCAGTTGTCAGGAGGGGTTATATTATTTCATGTTTGTAAAGGTCTTAGCACCAAGGGCACAGGCCTTTATGTTCTAGAGGTTGGCTGTTATTATTACTGTTCTTACCAATCAATAATAAACTGTAAATCTATATATATATCTATGCTCATTTGGACTTGGCCTGTTACTTCTTTGTATTGAATTGATAAAGCACTGATCAAATATTCATGTTATTTATCTGCTAAGGAACAAATATAGGCAGTCTCATTCACAATACTGTTATGCCTTAGCTTATCTCCCGGGGCCCTAGAACTTCCAATCCCTTTTCTTGATTCACAGGCAAAGTCAAGGGTGGTCTCTGGCCCCTTAGGCACTTGTTTATTCCCCTGAAGGAGAGGAAATAGTATCCAGTATGGAGCTTCCTCAATGGGGAATCCCTGTCCCCTGCCCCACTGTCGCCTCCCCTCATCCCTGCCTGTGGAAGTTGGAGACTAGGGTCTCAGATGGGGGCTGTGTTTATGGGAAGGGGGTTCCATGGGCCTCCAACCCCAGCTCTGGATTTACCCTCCTCCTTATCCCTCCATCACTCTCCTCTCCTCCTCCTTCCCCACTCTCTTCCCCTTCTCCTCTGCCTCCTCCTCCTCCTCCTCTTCCTCTTCTGACTTCGAGGCATCTTTCTCTCATCCTGGTGACCCAACTTGTCCTGGCTTCTCATTTGTGCCCCAGTCCTGCCCTGACCTTCTCTTGCTGGAATAATTCCCCAAAGTAGCCCCATGAAGAACCTCATATGACCATCCACTGTTGTTTACGTTACATTTGGCCTTAGGTAAGTGAGGTCAAATGAAACAAAACTCCCACCCAGCAGCCATCACCTCATTTCCCTTTGTCAGACACTTCCACTGACCTTGGAGTGAACTGACTGTGAAGCTTCTTTCAGTCTTAAAACAGGTCAGTTTTCACAGCTGGGAGGTGTGACCTTTCACACCACGGTCTCCAGGACAGGCTGCTTCTTCCCCTAGCATCTTCTCCTTTACTGCAGGCAGCCATCACCAGTTCTCTGGGTGAACATGATTGGTGACTCTATATATATTACTTTCAGGCATTTAAATTGGTATAATAACATTCTGGAGAACTATTTGGTGATATATAAGAAAAGCCTTAAAAAATGTAGATTCCCCTGACCCAGTAATGGCACCCCTAAGAATTTATCCTGAGAAAATAATCAGAGATGCAGCCAAAAATGTATGTATAAGAATATTTATTGCAGCGCTAGTTATAATGGTAAAAAAATGAGAAACACTCCACAAGGACTGGGTTAAATAATTTATGGTACTTTTCTATAAAGGAATACTAGGCGGTGCCTTTTTTAAAGGTGTACTTAAAGCATATTGGATGATGTGCATGATGGACGTTCTCCTTTTGCCTTCCAGATTCATCCTGCGCCACCCAGGCTCCCTGCCCTCTGAACTCCTTCTGGGTGTGTCCAATGGGAAGTGCACCCTGAGGAGCTGGAGGGCAGGATGGTCATATAAGGTTCTTCATGGGGCTACTTTGGGGAATTATTATTTCAGACAGAGAAGGTCAGGGCAGAACTGGGGCAAAAATGAGAAGCCAGGACAAGGCGGGGCACCAGGATGGGAGGAGGAGGCCTCAAAGTCAGAAGAGGAAGAGGAGGAGGAGGAGGAGCAGGAGAAGACAGTGGGGAAGTAGGAGGAGAGGAGAATAATGGGGTGGAGGAGGAGGAGGGTAAATCCAGAGCTGGGGGTGGGGGCCTGTGAAACCCTCTTCCCATAAATACAACCCCCATCTGAGACCCCAGGGTTTCATTCCTGGGCTTCTCTACTCAAGGCCATCGATTTGGCCAGGTAGCACCCTCCTCCACTCATCCTCCCTACCTACTTCCTTCCTGTCCCAGTAACTTCTCCCTCCCCTTGACTCTTCAGGATTAGGGTGGGAACAGCTTCATAGTGTGCCTACTCCAGGTTTATTTCAGCATTCCTTTTGGTCGTCTAATCTAGCCTCAGGAGATTAAAGGGAAACTTGTATCCTGCTAGGACCCTAACTGATGCAATGCAAAAAAAAAAAAAAAATATATATATATATATAAAAATATATATATATATATTTATATATATATTTATTTATATATATATTTATATATATATATTTATTTATATATATATTTATATATATATATTTATTTATATATATTTATATATATATTTATTTATATATATATTTATATATATTTATATATATATTTATTTATATATATATTTATATATATTTATATATATTTATATATATATTTATTTATATATATATTTATATATTATATATATTTATATATATTTATATATATTTATATATATATTTATTTATATATATATTTATATATTATATATATATTTATATATATATTTATTTATATATATTTATATATATATTTATTTATATGTATATATATATATATAGAGAGAGAGAGAGGTCAAATTGGGTTAGAAAACAGTACAATCCCAGCTCTATAATAAATAAATATATTTAGAAAGAAAAAATATATATATGCATCTATCTACACATAGGAGAAAAAAGAAAAGACTGGAAGGAAATAGACTGAATGATTAGCTGTCATTGCCTCTGGGCTGTGAGATTGTAGGTGATTTTTCTTGTCTACTTTATACAATTCTGTGATTTCCACATCCTTGAAAATTATTATGTATCACCTTTAAAGTGAAAAAAAATTAAATAAATGTATACTTTACAACAAAACTGAAATAAAATAGAAGAGTTAGCTACACAGTAACAGTATCCTGGCATACCAGTCACCCACAAGTAGCACTGCAATTAATCAATTTTAAGTAAATTGATTATTTGGCAAATTTCATGTAATTACATAATTTAGAAGGAAATATAAACATCTTAGGAGGAATTGTAACCAGGCCTTGACTCTTACCAGCCACATCTTATCTAATGCTTCTTAAGCCTCAGTGGTGCTTAATATAACCGCTTGCTGGGCCTGGAATCCTTCACAAGCTGCACTTGTCCCAGCTCTGGCTTTGACTCTGAGTCCAGTTGTGCTCAGGGTGGGGTGGGGACAGGGGACAGGGGAACCTAGGATCAAGCTGACAGATTAAGCCAATGCTTTGGCACCCTCCAAAGTGTATCCTTAAATATGGTTCCACACTCATTTAGTGGGGATAGAGGAAAATCTGGTTTTCCATTAGTAGAAGTCATGTGCCTCTCTGCTGAAAGTAAGGGATTTATTACAAACATCAAACACGGCATAACGTTTTGGCTTACTTGAAACGGTCTTTCCTTCACAGTTTTTCTAACACTCCTAAATGGAAAGAGTTGGCTACTTACCCACTCAGGACAGAGGTAATGCATATATCGATATGGTTACAAACACTTGTTCAAAATGTTCAAAAGTTGGTTTTATGTTTGCTTTGCTTTTCTTGGGGTGCGGTGGGGTGGAGTGGGACTTTCACGTGGGCAAAACTTTTCTGTAATGTTTGATGTTGTTCAGATGTCTTTTGTATTTTCTAAGTCAGATGATTTCTTTTGAGGTGTACTAAGGGGGTTACATTTTTAAGAGAGAAAATTAATTACTTGAACATAATAAATGCTCATTATGCAGGACTTCCTTTCAGAGTTTCAGCTCTCAGAGGCTGCACGTTAAGGAAATGTTCAGGTGGCTGTCTCAGGTAGGGGTGCAGCCTCCAGTGGCATTAGGCAACTTGCTTGAGCTCATCACAAAGATGGTAATGAGTAGCTAACCATTATAAAGTTCCTGCTACATGCCCGTCTGGGGTCTAAGTGTTTCCTTTATGCCCATTTAGTGTTCAAAACTGGCACTCTTATAATTTTTATTTTATAGCCAAGGGAACAGAGCACTAGGAGGTGAAAGAAGTTGTCTAAGGTCACACATCCAGTGAGTAGTGGAACCTGGATTTGAACGCAGGCAGGTTGGCACCAAATCAGGCTCTAAGGCCACCAGAACTTTCTGTATCCATCAGGAGTGTGTTTTATGTTTTGCTTGAGGATGGAGTGTACTTTGGCTGGAGTTTCCACTTCACCAATTATATCAAGAGTCTTGTGTGGAAAGCGGGGTTAACTGGCACCATCTTTCTGATTTATTCTCATGATCTTTCAGCTCCCCTCATAGATGAGTAACTGGGACAGCTGCCCAGCTCTTCTGCCTCTAAATCCAGCTCTGCTGGCCATCCAAATGTCCCCAGTCACGGCCTGTCAGAGAGGAAACATCAGACAGGATCTCTCAGTAACGGAGCCAAGAAAAGCTGCATCCTGCTGTTCCATGGGCTTTGAGTTCCTGCACACACTCTGCCTCCTGATTCGGGAAAGAGAAAACCACATTTGAATCTTCAGGCATCCTTTGTAAATAACAGTTTCCTCCCAATCAGGAAGAGATTACTGCAGTAACCAAAGCCCCTCGCACTCCCTCCCGACTCCAGAGGTGAAGGTGTTCACTAATTACCTTCACCTGCAAAGACCATGTCTCTCTAAGCAGTGTGCCCTCAGCAGGACTTTTTAAAAACCTGCTGCAGGTTAAAAAGCAGACCTGCTCTTAATTTATTAAAAGACTTGGCATTTTTTCTCCCCACTGAGCATTTTAAAATGCAATTAGACCAAATGGAATAATAATCAGGCAAAAGTACTCAGGCGTTTTCACACTGGGGACCACCCTTTCTCTCATGCTCTTTTCCATTTCTGGGCTTTATGTTGGGACAATATACCCATGGAGCATGGGGATGGCTCTAGGGATACGTTCATGGCATCCCTCCCTCACCCCATCCCCATGTTCCTGCAGCCCCGGGCTGTCTGGAATCAACCTCTGGATCTCCACCCCACCCTTTCTGGATGCCAGGGGCTCCTCATCCTAACAGTTCTGCAGTGTGCATGGGTCAGTCTCCTGGTTAGAGACATGGAATCACATTTTCCTCCAGACCAAGCCTGGGACATCTGCATTTTTAAACAAGTTCCCTAGGGAATTGTGATGCCCAGAAGCATCTGAGAGCCACTCTGAACTCCAGGAAGGAGGTTCATATCTACCTTTTGCTTCCTTGTATACCGAGCCCCAATACAGTGTCTAGAACACAGAAGCACTCAATGAATATTTATTGCATGAATGAATGGAATTTCATGAGACCTATTAGGGTTTTTTTTATTGAAGACAAAAAGGAAGTACAATTCCACCTCATTCATCAAGGTTAGGTATAAGGAAATGGAAGGTAAGGATATGTCAGGAACCTCCTAGTTTTAATTAACACATTCAAGTATATATACAGTGTGCAGGAATTTCGTGGTGTACGTAACATACACCATGGGAGTACCCACATGTTCTATGAATAGAAAGCTCATACCCATTATTACCTTATAAACACTGGCATGAGCAGAATAGAAAAACAAATGGCAAACTTAGCTGGAAAAGGGCAAGATGCTGCCTGCAATGCTGGTATCTATGCCATAAACTAAAGAGGTGAAGGTGTGTGGTTCCGTGATATTTATTTAAACATCTTTGCGTTGTATAACCTGATACATTCCATCTCATCTCCCCTCCCATCTCATCTCCGCCCCTCATCTCATCTTCCCACCCATCTCCAGTCTGGGTCAGGTGCCCCTTCATGTGCCCAAAGAGCAGTTGCTGTGCACAGCTGCACATGTTGTCTTATTAAAATATGCCAAGTGTGCCCGTTTGTGCTGGGAGGGCCTGGGGTACAGGGTCTGCGCTTCATTTGCCTTTATGTCTCCAGGGCCTCACTTGGGGCCCACTCACACCTAATGGGCTCTCCATGAATCTTTGTCGAGTCCATCCATCCATCAGGCAATGTGGATTTCAGTAATTAAAACTATTTTCACTGGACTGGGATTCGTTGACAGGAGAACAGCAAGTTCAGAGAGCATTGTGAGCCTCAGAAGGGAAGCTATTCTTGCTTTACCAGCTTCTAACTGTCCTATTCCCTTACCCAGCCCAGCCCTCCTCCTATGATTTAATGGGCAACTAATCAAATGAAGCCTTGTTCTCTAAAAAGAAACCAGCCAGTCTGAAAAGGCTTGCAGTGAATTCCTTATCCAATCAGGGCACTTCACGCTGAGAGGAAGAAACCAGATTTGGGTATTGGCCAGACTAAATTTCCATTCAAATTCTCCATCTCCTCCTTTCCCTCCTTCCTTACTTCATACCTTCCTGCTCTCCTTCCAGACCTCCCTTCTTCCATCTCCCTGCCCCTTCCTTTTGTCCAGATTACTGCCCTTTACACAGGCACTGCATCTGAAGCACGGTAACATTCTCTGTCATGTGTAACAGGCACCACATCAATTGCTCCAAGTTCAGCCTTTGAAAAATTAAAAGGGTAATTGTCACCCAGGCAGTTTGTTTGCATTTCACACCTCCTGGCATTTCCCTGGCCCACCACTGTTTTCCTTGGGAGGCCCACCAATTTACTCTTCCTGGTCTATGAGAAAAGTCTTGGACATTTGGGCATGCACATCAGACTCTCCTCCAGCTACATAAACATTGAGATGTCCATGCAATCCTTATTTGGCCGCAAACAAGGCCAGCTTCCCACTGGACTCCTCCAGGCCCTGCTCATGCATACCTGTAGCTCCATGTCCCTGCTAGGGTGTGTATCCTCAACGTCTCTAAGCCAGGGTCTTGGCACTCAGTTGGCTGACAGTTTTAATATGCCTGGGAGAAGAGAGACCATGGGTTTGACCTTCTGGCTTTATATTTCCAAGGAGGAGAAATTGGCTGGACTCTCTTTTGTGGTGAGTATTCATTTATTCATCACTTGACAAACACTCACTGACCACCACCATGTGTGTGCAGGGCAGAGGCAGGGTGCGGGCTCTGTTGGCATGTTGCCCAGCTTCATGCCCAGGAACAAAGTCCATGCACATTTGGTCATCCCATGCAATGGGCAGATGCAGCTCTCACCAGAAAGGCCACAAACTTGAATATCTAATCACACGAACATTTGAGGCCAGAGCATGGTTCAGACACTCTCTTACAGTGACCTTGTAGTCCCACGGAGTCAGCTTTGGATGGGTGCCCGGGATCCTCCTTTCCTTCTGGCGTTTTTCTCTCTTATTTTTTCCTGGTCGTCTGCTCAACCCCAGGCTGGATCCCCATATGGTCAAAGCCATGAAGGCTGCTCTCTGGTGGATCCTCAGAGCAGGAGAACCTTATCATTCCCCACAGTAGGAGGCAGAGGTCTTTCCTCCAAAGGGTGCATCATGAGACACACCTTACCTCTTGCTGGGAGTTTACCTTGCACTGTACCATAACTTTGGTGCCTCGATGTGCCTGAGGGCCTCCCTCCTCTACTAGAGATGAGGGAGAGAATGGACATGGAGGATGGATGGGGAGATCAGGGGAGGGCTGCCAGGCAAAATATAGGAATGTTTTATCCCATGCAGTATTTGAGACATAGACTGAAACATTGTTCGTCATTCATCTGAAATTCAGATGAAACTGGGTATCCTGTGTATTTTTATTTGCTAAATCTGGCAACCCTGCTAGGAAACACATCGTCACTTTAGGAAGATCACTCCTTACTTCCTGCCACCACTAAAAACGCTGATTCAGCTGGCTGGGGCTGAGTCAGCACTGTTTAAAAGAGGAAACACTCCTTTGAAAAATGTCTTTTATTTGGAACTTCCATTTGATTGAGTCATTGTTATCCAGGCAAACCCTTGGCAGAAGGAATGACTCAGCCTCCCGTTTCTCCACCCATTCCCGTGGCCTCAGAAAAATTCCTATTTTATGATGAGATGGGACCACTTTTCCTTTCCCCTGTGGATTAGAGCTTTCTGTGTATATTTTCCAACACAGACCAACATAACAAAGTACATCAAAGTAGATTGTTTAAACAACAGAAGTTTATGGTTTCCCAGTTCTGGAAGTGAGAAGTCTGAGGTCAAGGCATGGGCAGAGTTGGTGCCTTCCAAGGCCTGTGAGGGGACATCTTTTTCAGGCCTTCCCTCAGTGTCAGGAGGTTCACTGGCAATTTTTGGTGTCCCTTAACTTACAGAAGCATCTTCACACAGTGCTCTCCCTGTATGTGTCTCTGTGTTCAAGTTCTCCTTCCTTTTTTTTTTTTTTTTTGAGACAGAGTTTCACTCAGTTGCCCAGGCTGGAGTGCAGTGGCATGATCTTGGCTCACTGCAGCCTCCACCTCCTGGGTTCAAGCCATTCCCCCACTTCAGCCTCCTGAGTAGCGGGGATTACAGGTACCCACCACCATGCCCAGCTAATTTGTATTTTTAGTAGAGATGGGGTTTCACCATGTTGCCCAGGCTGGTCTCGAACTCCTGGCCTCAAGTGACCATCCCGCCTTGGCCTCCCAAAGTGCTGGGATTATAGGCGTGAGCCACCGCACTCAGCCCAAGTTCTCCTTCTTATAAGGACACCAGTCACATTCGATTAGGGCCCACCCTAAGGACCTTATTTTAACGTGATTACCTCTATTAAGATCCTATCTCTAAATAAGGTCATATTCTGAGGTACGGGGGGTTAGAACTCCAACATAGCTTTCTTTCTGGGGGTGGGGGGTTGAGGGATACAGTTCAACCCCTAATACAGGTGCCTCAATGTCATACACATTTATATTTGCTGGGAAGATAAGGAGACATTGGAGTCAGTGGTTTGGTTTCTTTTGCTGGCTTCGGGTTGATAATGATTTAAGGTTTTGGAGTAATGGAAGATAAACTGCTTGTCACTGCCTACTCTGTGTTGCAGAAGATTGCATTTCCGTGTGAGGCCGGCCCCAGCCTGGCTCTGCAGAGGGCTTTTCCATTACCTTAAGAGCTGGTGGTGATAGCCCCCATTAATATTCAGCCCTTTGGCCTCCACCCTCTTGCATTCTCTCAGTCCTAAGCACTTCCCTCTGACCCTCCAAGAGGTAACATCAGGGTTATTGTCCCCAAGAGACCTCTGCAATTACTTGCAGGGGGAACCCGGTGAGGCTTTGCTGAGAGTGTATGCCAGGAGGGGTGTGGGTGGAGAAAGGGAGCTTGGCGTGCAGATCTTCGCCCTCCCCCGTCCAACCCAATATTAGAATCAAGGGGAACCGCGATGTCTGTCTTTGCCTCTGCTTGCTTCCCTCCTCCATGCGGATGCTGGGAGAACAAGATTAAATTCCTTGTCAGCTTGGGCTCTAAATTCTCATTTGTTTATTAAGAAGATTCTGCTTTCTCCAAGGAGCCGTCTATCCTGCTCTCCTGGGCGCTGTCCATTACTAAAGAAATGAAAGGGGACAAAGGTCCATTTTTTGGTCATGGGTTTTTTATTTGTTTTTGGCATTTTTGTTTGTTTTTTGTTTTCTTGGGTGTGTGTGTGTGTGTGTGTGTTTTCAGATGTCTGTATCACCAGGGAGAATGTTTTCTGAAGCCTGTCCAGGAAATTTGGTTCTAAGAACAGCCTGCTAATTTGAGCATCTTCAGGGATAACTCGTGCGATGAGGCTGGCATGCTGTCCACAGACAGTGGCACCATGGCGGTGGGAAGTGCGGCCTGCATTCGTCTGCCAGGGCTGCCGTGACAAAGGACCACAGGCTGGGCCGCTTACCCAACAGAAATGTATTTTCTCACAGTTCTGGAGGCTAGAAGCCCAAGATCAAGGTGTCCGCAGATTGATTTGTTCTGAGTCTCTCTCCTGGGCTTGTGGATGGCCAAGCTTCTTTGTCCGTCCTCACATGGACTTCCCACTGCACACTAATGTGTGTCCCAATTTCCTCTTATAAGGACACCAGTTGTATTGGATGAGGATCCCCTCAGTAAACTATTTAACCTGTATTAGCTCAAGAAAGACCGTGTGTCCAAATACTGTCCCATTCTGAGGTCTCAGGGGTTAGGAATGAACCTGGAGAGAGGCACAATTCAGCTCATAGCTGTGCCCCTGTAGGGGACTCAGTAGGAACTCAAATCTCAGGCTGGACCTTGCCCTGGGTAAGTGACCTTGGGGAAGGGGAATGGTATCAGTTGGGGTTTTTTGTTGTCGGCAACAGAAAACCATCCAGGCTCACTGGAGCAATGAGAGAATTGAATGAGATGATCTGGAGAGACAGTGATGCCATGGAAGGCTGGAGGACAGGCAGTAACCCTGGCACCTTGGAGAGGGGGAGTAGAAGCCGCAGGAACTGCCCTTTGGTGGAAACACAGTCAGCGCTTGGTGGCTGAAGTGAGTGAACTCAAGAGTCCTAGAGGACAGCTGTCCTGCCGGGTTCCCTGCTGTGCTGGGGCAGGAGGAGGAGGAGGGGTCCAGACTCTTGGCCTCAGTGATGGGAGTCAGGGTACAGGGTTCACATCCTCCCAGGACCACCCAGAGTCCAGGGGGGTGAGCCCTCGAGAGAAAATCAGCAGCTGTCAAAAGAGGAAATGAATGTTGGGAGGCTGAAACAATGACAGATATCTATCGCATAACATTTCCTTGCTTGAAAAAGAGGGGCTGCATTGGACGACCTCTATGCTCCGTCTTCATTAAACATTTACTAAAGCTCTCCTGTCACTGCTTTCTTGAGTTCTGTGCCTTTCTTTGTCTGGGGGTGTTGAGATGCTTTGCTAGGGATGTTTTATTGCCTGCGGTGTCTCCCTTGGCCTTTGGTGTTCCCTGGAGTTCTCCTCAGTGAGGCAAGGGACTCTGTTTGCTCAGGAAGGTCACCAGGCTTAGAGTGCTATAAAAAACCAGGGAACAGCTTCCTGGTATAGATCAGTTTATTAATGTCTTCTTTGTGATCTGTACCAGTTGTAAATATTATATTCATTATAAATAATAATTCAACCTGCCATTCCTTCTCTGGTTCTCAGTCACCTTGTCTATAAAACAAGAGGGTTGAATTAAATGATTATTAAGGTCTCTTTCCTCACTGGCCCTATTGGATTCCATGAAAATTAAACTCCTCTGGGTAGACAGTCTATGGGGCTTGACTGTGAGGCATCCCCCAAGAACTTGGAAATGGGAAATACAATTTCCATCTGAGAGAAAAATTATAAAACCAGCCAGCACCAGATCAAAGAAGATCTATTTAAAGTCTCCTTATATGGACAGGATGAATTTCAGACCAGAGCAGCCTGGACTGACAGCAGGAACATTCTGAGGGACAGAAGGGCCTGTCAGAATGGATGCAGCGTCACAGACACAGAGAGAAATGAGACCGAGGAGGATCGTCGGGATGATTCAAGCTCTGACTGAGACAAGGCTGGGGTGATGGGTGTCCGCACATTAGTAGGCTCTGGGCCTCTCCTGGCTGCATCTCTGTTATGGAGAAGGTGAGGGGCATCCAGCTATCATGACTGGGTGCCCTAAAGCAGGGATGAAAGTCAACATCTTTAACAATCCATACAGCACAGGCACCACCCAAACAGCAAGATCTTCAGCTACAGCTGGAGCAGGGACCTAGGGTCCCCATTCTACCTGCATTTACCTTCTAGTGGCTGGGAGCTCTGTGAGGTCCCTGATATGAGAAGGGCAGTGAGTAGGAGCAGACAGGAGGCTCCAGGAGCAGGCTCCTTACCAATTAGCTCAGGATTTTAGTATGTTGATAACTTAACATGTTTGAGCTATTCGGTTCAACCCCTTTGTCTAATTCTAACTCACTGGGAAATCCCTGGATTGGAATGCAGTTTCCCATATGCTTTGATCTACAGGGAACGAACAGGCATGACTGGCTTACATAATTGTGAGATGACTATATTTTTCAAGGTAAACAGTTTCTGCTTTATCAGTCTCTTAGGAGCCTGGTTACATTGATCAATGTGAATTCACCCCTATGAGAGAAATCCACTCTTAGCTTGCTGACAAAGTCAATTGCCTCAATTACAAAAAAAAAAAAAAAAAAAAGATTCCCGAACTTGCCCCATAGAAGCAAGACAGCCAAGCTTAGAAGCAGCCAGCCCAGCCCTTTTTCAAACTTAGAATCAGTGATCCAAGGGTCCTTTCAGTATTTTTCCACAGGATCTCTGGCTGAATTTCCACAGCATGTGAAAATTCAACTATACACAAGACAGCATGATGCAGCGATTTTCTTTTTTTCTTCTCTCTCTCTCTCTTTTTTTTTTTTTTGCACATTTTATTTTAGTAGCACAACTCTTATTTTCAAATGATCTTACGAAGGACCTCAAGCTGCAGATATTCATGTCTTCACATCAGGCGTCTCTACTTGGGTGTCTGACAGGCACTTAAAATATAAGATGTCCAAAGAGCATTCTGGATGCCCTGCCCCCGCTGCACATGCTCCTCCCTAATGTGCCCTCATCTCTCAGGCCTAACACCTAAAATCATTCTATTCTCAGGTCATCTCTTAGCCTCAAACTCCTGCTTCCAGCTACAAAACATATGTAGAATCCCATCCCTTCCAAGCTAGGGCCCACATAGCTGAAACCTTGTTTTCAGCCAGTATCCCCTCTTACCTGGATGACTGCAACGAACTTATAATAGGTCTTCCCACTTTTATTACTGCTTCCTATACTTCCCTGGATCGGAATGCAGTTTCCCATATGCTTCTACCTACAGGGAAAGAACAGGTATGGCTGGCTTACATAATTGTCAGATGGAGCAACATTTGCTTCACTTAAAATTGTTTTTAGAAGTCTAGACTTTAGAATCTCTACTTGTTAATGACAATATAACAATGACCAATTACTACCATTTTAAACGTATTATTTCTCTATTTAGTGAAATAATACGTTTAAAATGTAGATCAGATGGTGACTTTCACCCTGTTCAAAGTGCTCCAACATCTCCCATCACTCTTAAACTGCAAACTCCTTACCGTGGTCTACCAGGCTCTCTGCCATCTGGTTTCCTGGTAGCCCATTGGCTGAACTGCCAGCTGCTGTCTCCTTGACTCCTGTGGCTCCAGACACACTGGACTTATTGTTGGTTCTCAAATGTGCCAAGCTTGTTCTCTGCTTTGCATTTGCTGTTTCCTCTGCTTAGAACCTCTGGTGCCCTTGACTTTGAATGGCTCACTTCCTCACACCAATCAAGTCTTTGCCTAAAGTCTCTGCCTTTGCTCAGAGAGGCCTTCCCTTGCCACCTCTTTAAAATAGCCTGCCTCACTCCTACTCTCGAGCTCCTCAGTCAGCCCCCACCCAGCACACACCACATTTCATAGTGGATGTTGTTGTGTGCCACTCAGATCCCCTGGCAGAACCGAAAAACGCTTGTCACCTTAGCTGCTGGGAGTGCAGGCTCCACCAACTCACACCTGAGACACTTTCCAAGCATTGCAAAGTGTCAGAGGTGTGTCATTTCCTCTGTCAGAGGAAGCTGCTCCACCCACATGTACACCCACTTCCTGGAGGCAGCTTGCATCCAAAGGCTGGTCACATGGGAGTGCAAATGCCCAGTCCTCCAATCTTAATTAGGACAACACTGCTTGTTGTCCCAAGCTGCAAAGCTCCTCAGGAGGAAGACAGAAAGCAACTTTTCCATCTGTCCGACCTGCGTCCCTCACCCTTCACACTTGTTGCTCCTGAGATCACGCCCCAAAAACCTCCTGCAAATCTCTTTGTCAGAGTCTACTTCCTGCAGAACCTGACCTGTGGGCCTCTACCCCAAATTGTGGGTTTTTAACTTACTTGTTTATTTCCTGTCTCTCCAACAAAGACGTAAGTTCTGTAACAGCAAGGAAAGGTCTATCTTACTCCCCTCTCTATCCTGGCCCAGACGCCTAGACAGTGCCTGGAATACGTGGAAGTTCAATAAATATTGAATGAATAAATGAATGCACCCCCCAATCTATATAATAGATAATAGGGAAACTGTCTTCCTGAAATTGTTTGTGTGTCAGGGGCACTCCTCCCTCTGTCACTCCTCTACCCACCGCTGGAGAAGTACCCAGGGCACCTCAGCAGCACCTTCAGGCAGAGTCAATTTTAGAATCAGGAAAGCAAGATTCATAGCCAGGTTCCATCACTAGCAAGCCCTTCCCAGTATCTCCTGGAGTCAGTATTGGGCCTTGCAGGCTCTTTAGCTTGTTCGACTGCGACAATGAGCGCCACACTCCGCTCCTGGAAAATAAGCTGGGAGAATGGAAAAGCTAATTGAATTGGTTCATCTCTCTGAAGCCAGTGATAAATCTTAGGGGTCTGAAGAAGGCCCTAGGGGATCTAATGCCCCCAGTGAGATCTGGGGTGGGGAAATTGACCTCAGACTCTGAACCTCGAATCAAGAGTGGTTCATTTTTACTACAGAGCCTGGAAGGGAGACTGCTTGGGACCTGCCCTTGGGTGACTCCTGCTGGCCCCTGGGGAGCCAAGTTTTATTCCAGTAGAATGTCCAGGAAGCTGTGCACCCTGGTGACAACTCACTTTCGCCTATGCCTTTAGAGTAAGTCTCCTTCTTGATTTCCAGGATTGGAATTCCCTGGAATGTTCAATGTGCCATCATTACCAGGACATAAAGAATGTTTCTGGGTCAAGAAGGTGCCAGAGATGGTTTAATGCACATCCTCATTACCTAATTGTTTTCTCCTGGTCTCTTCTCCAATTGCTTCCGTGTCTGATGAATTTTTCTCTGCTTTCATATGTGTTTTTGACAGAGACAGGGGAGCAAGGCTATCTGTGGGCTTTAGATCGCCTGACTTTTCTTTTGAGCATGATGAGTTGGAGTTAGATAATGCAGGGAGACCTTCCCCCTGAACCAGGGAGGGAAATGTGGCTGGGAATGCCCACAGACGGGTGATGCCCCTCTGTCCTCAAAGTGTGTTAGACGAGTTCTGCTCTCACCTGCCCCTAGACAAGAGGCAGTCCATTAGATACTTCGCATCTGCGGTAGACTGAACCAGCACCAGCTGTGAGAGTGGCTCTGCAGCTTGGATTTCACTTCCTCCAGAAGGCAGCCAGGACAAATGCTGCTGCTCATTCTCCAGGAGGAGGTTCCAGGATGATCCAGCCATTGTTCCTCTTCGGTAGCACAAAGGCAAGGTTACCCAGAGCGGACCCAGCAAATATCCAACAGCCTTTGAGACAGTCTGGACACATCCACAGTGGTTGTTGGATGGCTCATTACACACTCTCTGAGGAGACTGGTCTCGGGTCCCTAAGCAGATTGATGTTGGCAGTGGCCCGGGAGGCAGGAACATGCATGAAGGACACAGAGGCGAGAGGAGGCGGAGCTGGATGGAGTGCATCTAAGGCCTGGGGCCAGCCAGAGAAGACACATCTCCTCCTCAGCACCACTGAGGCCACACAGCCAGGCTTGTGAGGAGATGCCTCTGAGGACCTCCGAAACACACATCACTGGCTTGAGTATAAGAGGTGCTGGAGCACCTGTAGTAGCAAACATCCTCCTAGAAAGGCAGATAATGCCTCATCTCTGCCAAGGCTAAATTGTTTTTATAACATTCTCATCATTATTCTAAAGAATAAAACCATTACTAGTACATAATGTCCTCATCAGGGTACAAGACAGGCCCCAGGCTCTATTCTTGGCCCTGGCAGTTATCTGGTTGAGTGACTTAGTAATCTAGGCAAGAGCTGCCTCAACCTTTTTTTTTTTTAATTAAATTTTTTAGGCCAGGCACAGTGGCTCACGCCTGTAATGCTAACATTTTGGAGGCCGAGGTGGGAGAGTTGCTTAGGCCAGGAGTTTGAGAGCAGCCTAAGAAACAAAGCAAAACCCCATCTCTACAAACAAACAAAGAAAACAGCCAGGCATGGTGGTGCACCTGTAGTCCCAGGTACTTGGGAGGCTGAGGTGTGAGGATCACTTAAGCCCAGGAGGTAGAGGCTGCAGGGTGCTAGGATTATGCCTCTGCACTCCAGCCTGGGCAACAGAGTGGGACCCTGTCTAAAAAACAAAATTTTGTTTAAATATCTAGGCTTTAGAATCTCCATTTGTTAATAATAATATAACAATGACCAATTACGGCCTTTACTCTTGAATGGCCACTATGGGTCAGGCACTGTCCCAGGAGCTGGAGGAATAGTGGTAAGCAAGCTGACAACCACGCTCATATCCTGGAGCTCGTATCCACGGATCATCAGACAGGCAATACTTCCCCTGTTTTAGAGCTGAGGCCACTAAGATTTAGAGCCCTGAAGTGATGGCAGGTGAAGCACTTGCCCATGGCTGCCTGTTAATGGGTCATTGCCTCTTGGTGCTAACCTACCCTTCGGTGTTCCACTTTGTGATGCTGGGGCTGGGACTCTAAACCAATTTTTTTCTAGCCTTTGCCAGCTGCTCCATGGTAGATTCTATCAGTAAGGGGGTGCTAGGGGAGGCAAGAGAGGAGGAAAAGGGACCTGCTTCCCCCTGGGTGCTTTCAGAGCCTGCCTTTGTTCCTTCCTTCCTTCCTTCCTTCCTTCCTCTCTCAATCTTTCTTTCTCTCTTTCTTTCTTACTTTCTTTCTTTCTGTCTTTCTTTCTCTCTTTGTTTCTGTCTTTCTCTTTCTCTCTCTCTCTCCCTTTCTTTTTTTCTTTCTTCCTTTTCCTTTCTTCTTTTCCTTTCTTTCTTTTCTTTTCTTTTCTTTTCTTTCTTTCCTTCTTTCTTTCTTCCTTTCTTTCTTTCTTTCCTTCCTTCCTTCCTTCCTTCCTTCCTTCCTTCCTTCTTTCTCTCATTCTTCTTTTTTTTTTTTGTTAGACGGAGTCTTGCTCTGTCGCCAAGCCGGAGTGCAGTGGTGCGATCTCAGCTCATTGCAACCTCTGCCTCCTGGGTTCAAGTGGTTATCCTGCCTCTGCCTCCCAAGTAGCTGGGACTACAGGCACATGCCACCACACCCAGCTAATTTTTGTATTTTTAGTAGAGACGGGATTTCACTATGTTGGCGAGGATGGTCTCAATCTCCTGACCTTGTGATCAGCCCGCCTCAGCCTCCCAAAGTGCTGTCCGAGGCTTTCTTCTCTGCCATGGTCTTTGTGAGCATCACTCCAGCCTCTGCACTTGCCTAGCAGCTGCCGTCACAGCTTTTCCAGCACTTACAGAACCAGCCTTGGTGTGCCCCTTCTGAGACTCCAGCACCAGCCCAGCAGAGCCCCCTCCTCAGAGAGCAAAGCCTTGGCTCCCTGGGGCCTCTCCTCCAAGCTTCTAGCTTCTAGCTTCCAGGTTATAGGAACACCATGGTGTTCCCAATTCCAGCTTCTTCTCTTGGTTCCCCCAGGCCTAGTGTGGAAGCTGCTTCCTCAAGCTGCCACCTCCATGGTATCTTAGTGTTCCTTCTCTAGCTTTCTTTTAATTTTCTAGTTAACAATGATTTATACCTAGCTAATAAGTCTTTATATAAAATCCTTCTGGCCAGAATACCTGGTAGGGCTCCTGTCCCCTGACTGGTCCCTGCTGAATGCACATGGTCATGAAACTGACCCAATTTTCCGACAAGCTGGATGCCCGTAGAAGCAAAGCTTGAGGAACTTACATTTGTACAATGAGGCGCACCTGCTGCCTGTGGACCAACTCCTCTCCCTAGCCCCTCCTGTTTTCCTTCCCAGCTATGTAAACCCCTAACTTTATTCAGCAGGGGAGGGACAGATTTGAGGTTTGGCTCCTGTCTCTCTGGCTGAAGTCCCCCAAATAAAAAGCCTTCTTTCCTGGAAATATTCATTGTCTCAGGGATCGGCTTTCTTTGTGGTGAGCAATGGGACCTAGACTGAACTCCTGCCATTCGGTAACAGTTTCACCTGGCTGAGCCAGTACAGAGCTGGGGCTTTGACGCTGGCCCACTCCTTCCACAGACCTTGCTGTACCCATTGTGCTCCTGGGTGATGTCTGGCTGGCAGCAGATCACTGGAGAGGGCATTACTTCTGATCACCAAGCCCCCTAAGAAGGCCTGGCTCACTTTCCTTCATGAGAGACAAGGAAGACAGTGTCCACATGCCCACTCCCCAGGGAGAGGGGCACTTGTTGCTGAAAAAATGATGTCAGTCTGCACTGGTACCCTTGCCTGCCCACAGCACTTCTGAGGGCAGCTGGTGGCAGACCCTCCAGTGCCTACCCCACAGCCATCTCCCTTGTTCTTTCTTGCAGATGGGACCTGTGATTGGGTCAGGCAGAGGTCTCTTGGTCTTGGGCAAAATAGACCCTTCCCCCCAACACAGGGGATGAATCATGATTGCTCTTAGCCAACCATGATTATGTCCCTTCATTTTGCCAGTGGTTGGGGATGTGACTCAGGTATAGCCAGTGAGGAGAGAGACAGCAAGAGAAATCCACTGGCTATGGAGTGGAGGCAGCCTGGATGGGGCTTCTGGCTGTCTCACTTCTCATCTCTATAACCTTGGGCTTGTTACTTAAACTGTCTTGAAATCATAATAGCGACATCATAGGCTTGTTGAAAGGATTAAATAGGAAATGATACATCAGTGAAAGCACCTTTCTGTGCCTGCCAGGTGCTTAATACATACGTTTCCCGTTTCAATGTCCAGCCTTGTTTATGAAGTACACAGTTTTGTATTTACTCTGGCTAGTCTCGGCATCAGTCACTATTGGGTACCAGTAACAAATTTTCATTTTAACATAGATTCTTGGCAGGGTGCAGTGACTCACGCCTGTAACCTCAGCACATTGGAAGGCTGAGGCAAGAGGACTGCTTTGGTGAAGAGGGGGTTGCTATGCCCTCCCTTCCTTCTAGCCTGGAGCTCCAGCAGCTGTCTTAGGACCATGAGATAACAATACCAAGGATGGAAAGTCAACAGCTAAGGGCGTCAAAGCAAAGAATGAGAAAAAGCCCGGATTCCTCACAGCACTCCACAGTCTTGGACTCCTCTGCTGCTTGCAACCAAAAGCATTCCCATGTGCTATAAAATGAGCATTCCTAGCAGACACGGCCCCACTGTGCCAGCCCTCACACCTGCTGCTGTAGGCTGCACCCCAAAAAGGCAGCCCCATCCTGACAGCTGTGGCCGCTGGTTTGCACTGCAGTGGTGGCTCCTAGCCCTCCACACATGCACTGTGTGTTCTGAGGCTGGGATCCAGCACAGCCCTTGGAGCAGGAGGATGTATAAATAAAAGGCCTTATGTTTTATAGGCTAGTCAATATTTATTCAGCCCCAACAGAGCAGTGGACTGGAAGGAACAGAGAGACTATAAAATGTGTTCTGTATTGAAGCCTGAAATCATGCAGGGGAAAGGGGCTTCTCAGTGCTCACCCTGCAGAATAGTCCTCAGCACAGCAGAGCTTCAGAGGCCTCCTCTTTGAAGGAAAGGGGCTGGGGCAATCTGGCAAAGGAGGACAGAAATGAAGCCAGGGCTGAGGACACAGGAATGGTTGAGCTCTCAATGCAGTTCTAACAGGTGGTCATGGATAGTTGATCTCAAATGCAAACGATCTGTACCAGAACAGGAGTCCCTGTCCCTTGTCTTCAGAAGCCACTCTTCTCTCTCTCCTTAGAGCATCTCATGGGAAGCCTACACTTTTAAGAGCAGCAATGGTGCGGTCTTTTTAAAGCCCTCTGGAGGGGAGTTTGTGTGTGTTTGATGGAAGGCACATCCCCACAGGATTTTTGGGTCCTCCCTGCCCCTCAGTTTTCCCTGCCATGTAACATTCCTATGTTCTGTTGACTTTGCCACTCTCTGCTCTCATCTGGGCTGCTGCATTTTCTCTCCTCTCCCCACTCCCTGTTACACAGTGTCTTAGTCTGTTCAGGTTGCTATAACCAAATACCTTAAATTGAGTGCTCATAAACAACAGAAATGTATTGTTCATAGTTCTGGAGGCTGGGAAGTCCAAGCTCAAGATGCCAGCTGATTCCGTCTGGTGAAGTTCCTCTTCCTCATAGACGGCACCTCCTCGCTGTGTCCTCACATGGTGGACGGGGCAAGCTACCTCTCTGCAGTCTCTTTGGTAAGGGCACTAATCCATTCTTGACGGCACCACCCCCATGACCTCATTACATCCTAGAGGCCCCGCCTCATAATACTATTGCATTGGGGATTAGGATCCAACATGAATTTGGGGAGACACAAACATGCAGATGATAGGACCCAGCCTTTACACAGATATCTGATATTTTATTTGGGCAGATTAGAGGATTCTCTTCTCTACACAAAGCTTTCAAATCTCCCCCTGCATGACTGAATCAGGCTCCAAGTCTGTTGCCTGATATTCAGAGCCGTCCCCTCTCTGCCCTCAAGCGTCCAGCCTGACCTTGATCTCTCCCTTGCATACACCCTGTGTGCTCCACAGAAACGATCATGCCTCTCCCAACCTGCTTCTCAGCCTCTTCTCCGTGCCTTTTCTTAGGCTGCTATTGGCAAGAACCTAACCAAATCCAAGGCTCAGCTTAGCTACCTTCCTCCTTTTTCTTCAATGTCTGCTTTTCTCACTGGGAGAGCACTTCCTTCCTTTAGATCATTGTAATAATTAACACCCATTGCACTAGAATTACTAAAATTCGCAGCTTCATGCATTTCTTCCCCCTTTCTCTTACATAATGGATCAGTGGATTTCAACCGGAGTGATTCCCACCTCTACCACAGGGCATACTGGGCAGTGTCTGGAGGCATTCTTGGTTGTCACACTACGGTGATGCTACTGATGGGTAGAGCCAGAGATGCTGCTGTAAACTCCCTGCAATGCCCAGGACAGCTCCCCACACCAAAGAAGCATCTTGCCCAAAATGTTAACAGAGCCAAGGTTGAGAAATCCTGTATTAGATTATAAGCTTCCTGGAGGCAGAGACCACACTCCTATTCTTTTTATTCTCCATAGTACACAGCTTGACATAGAATGTTATTCAATTATTTAAAATGAATGACTATAAATGTTTAATATGCATTTATATACCTTGTTTTGAACCTGTAGGTAGAGGCCTACTCCCCAAATAGTGGTGCCTCACCCACATTACCCACATAATCTTCCCATTGTCCAGCATGTGTAGCATCTCTGAGGGCCGATGACTGGGTAACCCTTCATCATTGATATTCTCTAAGGCATTCTCTGCTCTGCTAGACTCCATAAAGCAAAGTCCCAGCTCATATTCTCTCAGCTCCTTATAGAAATTCCTTCACTAAGCTGTGCTTTAGTATATTATGTCTTCTGTCTTTATAGAGGGTCCATAAAAGCAGCGCTCTGTTGAATGGTGTTTCTGACTCTTTTGCGGAACTTTCGTTAGCAGTATTTCATGCACTCACTGCACTGGAAGTTGACCTTAATGTGGCCCCCTTCTTTTACAAATGAGAGTAAGAGAGTAAGGTTCTCTGTGTCACTCAGTGTCCTTTATCCAAGGACCTACGTGATGAATTTCTACCTAAGTTTCCTACCAGGAAAACGTTTTGTCTCTGTAGATGAATATGTATGCTTTACCTTGTTGGAAAACAAAACTCTGTGCAATCCAATATGCTTCTCTTTTTGGCTTAGCTGTCAGAAAAGTTAGAACCAAATTAAATGCCCAAGTGTTAGAATCTGCTCCACTCAGGTGTCTAAAACCATCTATTTCTTTTGCATTC
The DNA here is from genome assembly GCF_000001405.40 of Homo sapiens. NCBI lineage: Eukaryota > Metazoa > Chordata > Mammalia > Primates > Hominidae > Homo > Homo sapiens. The sequence goes on along the minus strand of NC_000004.12, from coordinate 152,092,602 downwards.
TTCAGCAAGAGTGTTATCCTTAAATGCCTTCTCTTGCACTGTATTTTAATCTTTAAGCTGCCTCAAGTCTTTTGGAAGTAAGTAGGATACAAATCTTAACTTAAAGAAAAAAAAAAAACTTCTGAATGTTATTCCAAGCCATCTTCTGTTGTTGAGTGTGAAATGCTTTGGCTATGGAGTGGAGGCAGCCTGGATGGGACTTCTGACTTTCTTACTTCCCATCTCTATAACCTTCGGCTTGTTACTTAACCTCTCTTGAAATCATAATAGCGACATCATAGGCTTGTTGAAAGGATCAAATAGGAAATGATACATCAGTGAAAGCACCTTTCTGTGCCTGCCAGGTGCTTAATACATACATTTCCGATTTCAGTGTCCAGCCTTGTTCATGAAGTGCACAGTTTTGTATTTATTCTGGCTAGTCTCAGCATCAATCACTATTGGGTAGCAGTGACAAGTTTTCACTTTAACACAGATTCTTGGCTAGGTGCAGTGGCTCACGCCTGTAACCTCAGCACTTTGGGAGGCTGAGGCAGGAGGACTGCTTGAGCCCAGGAGTTCAAGACCAGCCTGGGCAATAAAGTGAGACCCCATCTCTACAAAAAAAGTTTTAAAAATTAGCAGGGTGTAGTGGTGCATGCCTGTAGTACCAGCTACTGGGAGACTAAGGTGGGAAGATCGCTTGAGCCCAGGGAGGGCTGCATTGAGCCAAGATCATGCCACTGCACTCCAGCCTGGGTGACAAAGCGAGGCCCTGTCTCAAAAAAAATTTTTTTTAATATGAAAACAAAAAAAACATAGATTCTTATATTTCTCATTAACCTTCCCATTTAAAGGTCATGTAACTGATATAAAATTATCACTCTGTTCCTGTGATTTTAATTATGAAGGTAAGTTATGTAAACGACAGCACAACACTCCACTTTGTGGAAATGGAACCGAGGTTCTTTGATTGGCTGTTTTGGTTGCTATTTTCAGAGCTTGGCACTGTTTCTGCTTCTGCCTCTTAGGCTTATAGATGGCTTTGAGATTTCATATTGTAAATATAGGGAATATGGCCCAAAAAAGGCTACTTGCTTTTCTTCTTGCCTTAAGATGGGATGAATTTAGAAACGAATGAGGAATATAGAACATTCTACATATATTTGTCATTAAATGGTTTCCCATTTGTTTAGAAACCCCAGGACCCATAACAGAACAATCGCTTTATAAAACAATCTTAAATTTTTAGAGTGGCTTAATTCTCATAATTCCTTGTGAGGAAGTCAGTGAAGAAACAGGCTCAGAGAGACACCAGGGTGTGTGCCGGTCCTATAGCTGCTGGTTATTGTACCTGCCTCTGCAGGGCTAGTTCCAGTCCTCATCAGACCTTACCCCTCACGTAGGACTCTGGTGCCATGCTCCCTAGATTACTAAAAGGCTCCAATCCCAGAGACATTTACATTCTTTACTGAGTTCAAAGGACAGGAGTTGGGATTAAAGTTAGTAAACCTTCCAGAGCTGTGCTGTGTAATTCAGTAAACACTAGCCGCATTTGGCTCTTTAATTTAACTTTTAGTTAAGATAAAATAAAATTTAAAAACCCAGTCTGTCATTTGCACTGGGCACATTTCAAATGCTCAACAGCCACATGTGGCCGGATGGTAATCATATTGGACAGCCCAGGCGTAGACCGTTTCCGTCATTGCAGAAAGAGCTACAGTGCTATTCTAGAGCCATTTCCTACCTGCATGGGGGCAGAGGCAAAACAGACATCATTGCATGTCAAGCATTTCTTACATCCCTAAAGAGATGAAAGGAGGAGGGGCTTTGCCACCAGGGCTCTTGACAGTGACTCACCCCAGGCCTATCTTTTCTGTTGCCTGTACATTTTACACTCAAAGCCTCTTACACAGTTAGAGAGAGCTAGTTAGCGCAGGCAGTGACCAGGCCTGGGAGCAATTGGCAACCGCCAATGTGCTTGTGCATTTAGCGGAGTGACTTAGTTAACGTTTGGAAAGTGGGGAGCAATCTTAAATACCTTATGGAGAGCTGCACGCAGTGGTTCATGCCTGTAATCCCAGCACTTTGGGAGGCCGAGGCGGGCGGATCACCAGGTCAGGAGTTCAAGACCAGCCTAGCCAACACGGTGAAACCCCGTCTCTGCTAAAAATACAAAAATTAGCTGGGCGAGGTGGCACATGCCTGTAATCTCAGCTACTTGGCAGGCTGAGGCAGGAGAATTGCTTGAACCCGGGAAGTGGAGGTTGCAGTGAACCGAGATCACGCCACTGCACTCCAGCCTGGGTGACGGAGCAAGACTCCATCTCAGAAAACAAAACAAAACAAAACAAACAAACAAAGAAAAAAACCTTATGGAAATATTGCCCTTAAAGCATTTACTTTCTCAAATAGAGTTCCCCTTCTTGCATGGCCATGGTGAAAGATTCAGTATCTACCCCTGAACAGGAAGGGCAAGGGATCATTAGGTTTCTGAAAGGCCAAACTTGGCTTCCATTTGCCCCTTTTTATATTGATTTAGCTAAATTAAAGTGTTTCTGATATAGTATTTAGGTGCTTATGTGGTTTCTAGCTTCCATGTAGAAACCAGGGAGGTTTCTACATTATGTATCTTGGTATATAAAAATAAACAAACAAAATGCCCTCAACTCTTGAGTCTCCTGTGTCTCTGAATCCAGATAGTCTCCTAGCTGACCTTGACTTTTCTTAATTCTCTGCTTCTCTGGAGGATTTGGCTCAGGGACAGATCCCTTGCTGCAGCACCCGCATGGTGCCTTTGAAGCTCAGAACAATCTTTTATTCTGGTCCCAAAATAGTGCCTCTGAGATTACCCCTGATACCCAGGCTGTCATTATCCTACGTTTCTGGCTCTGCCTTCCCTTTATTCAGATAATGTCTGGCACACTGAATGTTGTGGCTTTCTTTTGCCCCTGACTTCCCACTTCTCCCCATGTACTTTGTTAATAATAATAAGCACCATCACCACCCACTGGACACTTATTCTGTGCCAGAAACAGTAGTGAGTGCTTCACTAGAATTAATCTCTCCACCTCCACCACCACCACCTTGCTCCAAGCTGCCTTCATCTTTCACCTGGAAAGATGCTTGCAGAAGCTTCCTGACAGGCTTCCTTTCTTTTGTCTTTGTTGCCTTCACTCTTCTCTCAACAGAGCACCAGAAAGATAGTGTTAAAATGTGAGTTAGAGCATATTCTTCCCTACTGCTCCAGCATCCTCTCTTTTGACTCAGAGTAAAATTCAGTCTTTGCAATGGCCTATAGTACCCTGAGCAATCTACCTCTGCACCTGCTGGCATTGCTCTGACCCCACTTCCTACCACTTGCTTGCTTCGTGCTCTGATCCAGCCACGCAGGCCTCAGGGCCTTTGCACATATGTTTTTTTTGCCAGATATCCCCAAGGCTTGCTCCCTCACCTCCTTTATGTCTTTATGTCTTTTTTTTTTACTCTGATATCTCTTTCTCAGTGAGGAATTCCCTGGTCATCCTATTTAAAATTACACACACACACACACATGTGCACACATACACACACATACACACAATCACCCATGCACACTATTTATCTTCATAGCACTTATCACCATTAACATGTCATATACTTTACTTATTTATTTATTGACAGTCTCTCTCAACTAAGAATCCAAGCTCCATGAGTATAGAATTTTGGTCTGTTTTGTTTATTGATATATTCCCAGCACCTAGCACAGTGCCTGGCACATAATGTGCTCAATATGTTTTTTTTTTATTAAGTTAATGAATTCTCATATACCCTTAGATTTCAGCTAATTCCTGCTGTATAGGTGGGGAAACTGAAGGTGAACATTAAGCAATTTTCCTGAGATCACCGGTTCCTCGGACCTCAGAGCTGTGTGCTTCTCCCCAACACACGCTCCCCCCATGATGCTGACCCAGTGTGTGCCCCTCTAGCCACCACTCTGTGCATGCTCCACAGCCCATTCATCCTTCTGGTGGAGGACTTCAGAGTGTGCCAGCCTCCACAAAAGCAAGTTCAGCAAGTTCCTAAGATACTAAGCTACCGTCAGGCAGAACTTCTGAAAACGGCAGCATCTCCTTCCCATCTGGGCCAGAAAAGCTCAAAAACTACGGCCTTTCCAAAGACCCTGGTGCAAACCCATTACAGTCATGGGTAGGTCAATAGCAGGGTAAGATACTTTCCTACCAGACAGAGTTGGGCAAAAACAAGTTAAATATTTTATTTTGATCTAGGATGGGGTAGTGAAGATGACAGCAAATAAAGACTGGACTTTAAGCATGTTTTCTGTTATGATCAGAAGGTTAAATTTTAATTCAATTGTAATTAGAGATGTAGAAAGGAAGAAAAGTGTTTTAAATGTTAGTTAGTGAACAGGTATAATGAAAAGTAAAGTTTTATTCAAGAATGAGGAACCACTGGTATTCATTTTTAAGTTTATTTGAAAAAAAAATTTTGGTAAAATATACATAGCATTGGCTGGGTGTGGTGGCTCACACCTATAATGCCAGCATTTTGGGATGCTGAGATGGGCGGATCACTTGAGGTCAGGAGTTTGAGACCAGCCTGGGCAACATGGTAAAACCTCTTCTCTACTAAAAATACAAAAATCAGCCAGATATGGTGGTGCACACTGGTAATCCTAGCTACTCGGGAGGCTGAGGCAGGAGAATCGTTTGAACTTGGTAGGCGGAGGTTGCAGTGAGCCAAGATTGTGCCACTGCACTCCAGCCTAGGTGACAGCAAGACTCCATCTCAAATATATATATAATAAAATGTACCATCTTAACCATGTTTAAGTGTATAGTTTAGTAGTGTGAAGTATTTACATTGTGGTGCAATTGATTTCCAGAACTTTCTTCATCTTGCAAAACTAAACTCTATGCCCACTAAGTAACTCCTCACTTTTCCACCCCTGGCAACATCAATTCTAGTTTCTGTTTCTATGCATTTGACCACTCTAGATACCTGGCATATGCAGACTCCTGTGACATTTGTCTTTTTGTGATTGGCTCATCTCGCTCAGCATAATGGCCTTGAGCGTCACGCATGCTGTAGCACGGGTACTCTTTGAAACCAGCTTCTGTGTGCGCTTCATTTTATTGAGCAGGGTGTAAAGTTCAGAGGCTATTTTTAGAGTTGTTTATTTTCTAATAAGTATTTTGTCTGCATTTATGATATGTAAAAAGTAAGGCTTTGTTTGTAACCATCCGTTTCAAACAGAAAGGCTTGCCACAGAACAATGCTTTTCTATTTAATTAAACCTTTCCATTAGAATAAAATCATTTATTAAAACAATTAATCATCAATAAATAGAGAACAGCACTTACATAAGACACACAATGCAATGCGTGTTTTAGAGCAGTGGTCATCAAACTGCCTCCAGGAGTCCTGGGTCCTCAGAGATGTGTCAGGGGCTGCCTGAGGAGGGGTCTCGTGGTGGGGGTTGAATTCCAACCTCGCCCTCTCCTCTCAGCTTGAATCAGAGCAGCTCCAGTAAACATATCTCATATTTTGGGTCCTGCATAATATTTTATTTGAATAAAAAAGTGCCACGGTGCCACATTGTTTTGTCATTAGTGCTGTCCACCAATAATTCTGGTTCTTCCCCCTTCCAGGTGCATGGTAGCATTGTCCTTCCTGGCCTCTAATGGTTGGGTGGAGCCATGTGACTGATCTGGGGCAATGAGCACATATCTCTGGTTTGGCACATTTCATTGCCAATGCGGGACCATCCAGATCACCCTCACCCCTCTCTTTTTTGTTTTGCCATGTTTACTGGCCTTGCTTCAAGTAGTGGCCACTCAGCCTGGGTCCCAGGATGAGGATGACAAACAAGGATGGCACAGAGCAGAGTGTTCAGACACCCTTAGATAGATATTCAGCATGAGTTAGAATAATCCTTTTCTGTTTTAACCTACTGAGATTAGGGGTTGATACATCGCTGCCGTATAATCTAGCCTATTGTGACTAATATACACAGCTTTTAAAAAGTGCGTGAAACACCCTTTTGGAGATGTATGAGTGTTTATGTAGATTTGGGTGCCTTTTCCCTAATCTTTGACTCGTCTTAAACCTTGCTTAACTCAGTCTTGTTTTCCGTGGTCTTAGATTAGACTCGAATTTATTTATCTTCTCCTTTTACATGCCTACCCCCCATGTTTGACTGGGACTCTTAGAAATTCTGGGAGTTTCACTGGATAGTTAATTTGTGCAGCTTTTCTGGGGCTGTAGATTTAAACTTTTCCCAAGAAAGGAATCTCTTGATTGCCACAGGTTTTCTCATTTAGCAAATGATGCTGAGTAATCCTTCTTCCCAATCCTCTACCCCCACCTTGACTGTATACGTGAGGAAACCAATTACATTTCCATTTTTCCCCAGCATCAAGGTTGAGCCAGAGCTGGGAGAGAGAGAGAGACAGAGAGACAGAGACAGACAGAGACAGAAAGGGGAGAAAGCACGAAGGGGAGGAGGAGAAGAAAGAGATGGGAAACATTGTTTGGCTGCTGGGTTATACTGGGTTACGTCGCTGGTCTTTTCTTCTAATGATGGCCTCCTTTCTAAGTCAGGGTTTACCAAAGTTTAGTCCTGCTACATCAAAAACAACAACAACAACAAAAAACGTGGTGGGCTTGTTAAAATGCAGGTTACTATTCAGCACCCACTGTGAATATCCAGTGAATATTCAGGTGGTTTCCACATATGTTAGAGTTTGACAAACATGTTTATAAATCATTCTGGGTTCCCTCTTTGATCATGGAGCATCAAAAACATTCTTTCCCTTTGTAATATTGAGTGAGATCTTGTTTTTTTTCAGCTTAGTCTTGGTATCCAAATTACTTTCTGCTAAAAAAATTTTACAGTTACTTAATTCTCAGCCTGCTTCAGAATTTACCTTTTCTTATATGTAAGCAGAGTATATAAATATTTAGAAATATAAAATAAAGTGAAATGTTTGTATTTTGTGCGCTTATCCTTTATATCCATTAAACTGTTACATTCTTTCTTTGAAGACAAAAACAAAACAAAACAAAACAAAACAAAACAAAAAACACCCAATAACTGATTGTGATAAAGCCAAGTGAGGGTAGGGAACCTGGTCCTGGGCCCCAGGATTGTCAGTGAGGCAAGTCAGTGGCAATTGACATGGATTATCAATTATGTGTCTAAAACCTGACAAGTATTATCTCATGTAAGCCTTGGAACTGACTGCCCTTTGAGGGAGGAATTATTGTTTTTACACGGAAAAGATCTATGCTCAGAGAGGTAAAGTAACTTGCCCAAAGCCACACAACCGGTAAGTATCAGTGCCTGACTTATACCCCAAGGCAACTGGCCTTCAAAATCCATATTCTCTGCACCAAGCTGTACTGCCTCTGTGAGGGACTATCTGAGACAGACGCGGAGGAGGACTAGAATGGTGGAGGGAAAATTCAGGCAGAATGGGGACAATGTCCCAGAGATCAACTCCACCAAACCAAATCATACTTAATTTGCAAGACGGACCGCAGGTTATAGCATGAAAAACTTGGAAAGATTGCACTGCACGCCAGCATCTCCTCTGAAGATTTGCCTGGTCAGGGAAAAAAACCCACGTTCAATATAGATGTTATTTCATTTGGTCAAAATAGGTCAGAGGAATTGGGCAGAGTGATAGGTGGTTCTTTATCAGGAGTTGTGTTTGACTGAGGAAATTAAACTCTGATGGAAAGAACACAATGAAGCCACAGTGTTGATGTCAGCTGGGTAATATCAGGACTCTCTATTGAGGCAAGGACATTTACAGTTTCTATATGAAATGTCATCAGGACAGGTTGGCCAACGGAGACTATCTTAGAAATAACTGCCTACATGCAAAAAAAATCTATATGCAGCTGCATTTCTAATTCTATTCCTGCAGGAGTGGGACGGGAAGAAAATAAGCTAGGAGGGTACATTCTCTCGTTCACCTTCATTATAAACAGAAGGTGCACGTTCAGGTTTATTCTCCTGTTACCCACTGGAAATCTCCCTGGACTTTTCGTGACAAGTGCTGGCTTCATGTGCCCCCACAACCAGCCTGATGCATAATTTTTATTAATGCAATTGGCCTTGAATGACACAGGTTTGAACTCCGCGAGCCCACTGAAATGCTATTTTGTTTTTCAATAAAAGTTACACAAATGTGCCTGCCTCTCCTGTCTCCCCTTCCACCTTCTCCACTTCTTCCACCTCTGCCACTCCTGAGACAGCAAGAATCCCTCTTCTTCCCTCTCCTCCTCAGCCTACTCAACAAGGATAAAGACCTTTATGATGATCCACTTCCACATAGTGAATAGTAAATATATTTTCTCTTTCTTATGATTTTCTTAACAGTTTCCTTTCTCTAGCTTACTTTGTGGAAAGAATACAATATATGATACATATAACACCTAAAAATATGTGTTAACTGACTGTTTATGTTATGAGTAAGCCTTCCAGTTAGCGGTAGGCTATTAGTAAAGTTTTGAGGGAGTCAAAAGTTATACCTGGATTTCCAACTGCATTGGAGGTTGGCTCCCCAATCTCCATGTTGTTCAAGGGTCAACTCTTCCTTTCTTTGGATTTTAATTTAGTTGAGTGTAAAGTTCCTTTCTATGTCTATATCCTTTTCAGCAATGGCATGCTGTGGGGACATAATAAATGCTTATTAAACATGATCTTTCTCTGTTGTGAGTTTTCTGTACTTATTATGAATTGTCATTGGAGGAGAAATGCTCTGCAATAATATGTGTCAACTTTTTAATAAAAACTGTTATATTGAGTGTCTGCAAAGAGCTATTCCAGTGTAAGTTATTAGGATACCACAGCACTAATTTTTAGGAATTGATATATACTTATGTCGAGTGGCTTAAGAGCACCTGAGCTCCTGGAGCAGGTTGAATTGTAACTTAGACGTTTTGCTACTTGGCATGCAGGGATGCTTCTCCATTAGCTTCAAAAGCTTCTCATGGTGTGGTTGCTTTGCTGATTGAGTCATGTAGATCACTCAAATTCCTTGTGATGGTTTACACTTTAATCGTTCTCTCACGGTAATATGATGGCAATTGGTGTCGTTTAATCTACTGTGGTGTTTAATGCCCTGAGACTTCTGGGGATTTCACACAACCCATCAAACATTAACCTACACTACCTATTTACTCCATGAAAGAAAAATCTCCCTTTTCCTCAGGCACCCCAGCTTTTCAAGAAGCTGGCCGAGGTGGAATTCATCCCACTGGTTATGTCTCAAACTGGATAGAGGTTTCATGTGTCCCAATTCTTCTGAGCTTCATGGCTTTTTCACTTTTCCCAAGGAACCCTTAAAGTCACTGAGTTTATTCACTCATGGGCCTTCGCCCTCCGCTCCCCTCCCCTCCCCTCCCCTCCCCTCCCCTCCCCCTCCTCTCCTCTCCTCTCTTCTCCTCTCCTCTCCTCTCCTCTCCTCTCCTCTCCTCTCCTTTCTTTCTAGAAGGAGTCTCTCTCTGTTGCCCAGGCTGGAGTGCAGTGGCACAATCTCGGCTCACTGCAATGTCTGCCTCCTGGATTCAAGCGATTCTCCTGCCTCAGCCTCCCAGGTTTTTCTTTACTAGTATAATTTCTCATTTTCCCTCACTTCAGACTCTACTACTGTTTGAAGGCTGAGATGAGCCAAGCGCAGAGATAAGAGGGCGTTCTGCCTTAAATTAGGGTACATTCTCTTGTTCACCGTCATCATAAACAGAAGTTACACATTCAGGTTTATTCTCCTGTTACCCACTGGAAAGCCCCCTGGACTTTTCATAGCAAGTGCTGGTTCCATGTGCCCCCAACACCAGCCTTACACATAATTTTGTTAATGCAATTGGTCTTGAACAACACAGGTTTGAATTCCGCAAACCCACTGAAATGCTAATTGTTTTCAATAAAAGTTACACCCAATGTACCTGTCTCTCTTTTGTCCTCTTCCACAGGATCCCACTCCCTCCCGGGACCCCACTCTGTTTACGCAAATGATTTTTTAACCCATTGTTTAGAATTTGCCTACAAAACCAACTTAAGGTGCACCTATGGATAAAGGCCTGAGAGGTTCCTCAGCTCTGATGTGTTCCTAAGCTGGTTACCCTTGAACTTGGTCTGCCTCCCTAAGCCCCCATTCCTCCTGCAGTACAAAAATGTCAGTGCAGCACCTCATGAAAACCAATATTGTATGGTATCACCCTCCTGTGGAAATAAATGACCCTAGCAGAATGGGAGAATAAACTCACCAAGAACATAAATAACCATTATGGGCATCTATGCATGACTGCAAGGTATTGGATCCAGAATCTGACAAAACATTAGAAAGATTTGTAAGTGGTTGTGGCTGTAAAGGTGGGAATCAGCAAACCACATATCCCCAGCATTTTCAAATTTATTTTATTTTTGTCAAAATAGTACACTTAAACTTGATCTTTGCTTTCTTGAATGAAAAAGAAACAAGATTCCAGTGGGTAGCTATACTATCCAGGTGCAGATAGGATGCTAGAGGGGCTGTGGTGGATCAAGGTCCTGTAGGATCATTGCCTTCAAAGTTATTCCCTTCAGATGGAGATATGGGAGAAAAGGGGAAGGAAGGGCAAATACTTTAGCAGGCCAGGCTCTCAGTGACTATGCAGAACTTCAGGGAACAGGAAAAGCAAATTGGAAAACCAGCAGCCTTAGAGGTGGGAGTCGGGGGAGGGCAAAGGCCAGCTGTATTAGTCTGTTTTCATGCTGTTAATAAAGGCATATCTGAGACTGGGTAATTTATAAAGGAAAGAGGCACAGTTCCATGTGGCTGGGGAGGCCTCATAATCATGGTGGAAGGTGAAGGCACGTCTCACATGGTGGCAAACAAGAGAAGATAATAAGAGTCAAGTGAAAGGAGTTTCCCCTTATAAAACCATCAAATCTCATGAGACTTATTCCCTACCACAATAACAGTATGGGGGAAATGACCCCCATGATTCAATTATCTCCCACTCTGTCCTTCCCACAACACTTGGGAATTAGGTGAACTACAATCCAAGATGAGATTTGGATTGGGACACAGCCAAACCATATCACCAGCTTTCTCTTAGTCAAAGGCCGAGTATTTCTTACATAGGTTACTCACATTATTTCCTCTTATTTTGTTCCATTCCTGTGTTCCTTTTTTTCCCTGACCATAAACATCACCAAGGTTGGCCAATCTCCTATGCACCTGCCTCATTTCTTCTTCCTACAGCTATGGCAGAGCCTCCTAGTTGACCATGGCTTTCTTTCCCCCTGAGCCCACACACGGTCTCAGCACATTTTTTTCACATGCACTCCAGTGACCTTGACCCTCAGCAGAAACTAGATTTCAGGACGGAACTCATCATCCACTCTGAGTAGGCCCTAGAGAGACAGTGTCTCATAGCCACAGTTTCTCTCTAGCTCACCACGCATAGTAGATGCTCAAAAACTATTTGGTGAGTGAATGAAGAGACATGACTAGTAATAGAACCGTAGTAAATTCATCTGGAAACTTACAAATAATCTTGGAAGAGGGAAGACAAGATTCTAAGATAGTTTGAATTATTTACGTGCCCTATCTGTTCCATTCTTTGTTGTGCTCAATAACAAAAACAATAGATAGCTAGCTATAGTTGGAAAACCCATGTATAGGTTAATATTGTAAGAAACAACAATATAAGGTTTTTAGAAATGGTATGCAAGATTAATGTCAGCTAAAATAATACTTCTAATAATGTTTTACTGTTCATTATAGAAAATCTGGAAAATAGACAAAAGTAAGTAAAAGAAATCAGAAATCACAAATAATCCCACCCAAATAAATACCATAACAACTGTTAATATTTAACCTTTATGGTCTTTTTTGGATATACAGAATTATAACTTTAAAATGATTTTTCTTCCTTCCTCTTTCCTTCTTTCATTTCCTTTCTCTCTTTCTTTATTTAGACAAAATTAAGATCGTGCTATGCATAGTCCTGCAACCCACCTTTTTTCACTTAAAAATTCATGTTGAACATCTTTCCAGATAAATGTCTACAATTTAGTGCTCAGAAATGAATTCCTAGTTTTCCATCAGAATGCAATTTTCTCTTTGGGGTCAAATGCTGGATAGTAACAAACCAACATCTTCCAGAAAATGCCTTCGTATAAGGCATGTTAAAAAGAACTATCAAATTTTCTGCTTCCCCACCTTTTCCCAGCCCCCAAATCACTAACAAGTGAAAAATTTCTGCTACCATTGAGATGACATTTAAGTATCAATAATTCTATTGGAAGGAAGTTCGTGGTTGTGTGAAAAAGAGAGCCTCTCAGCTGTTCTGTGAAGGAAATGAACATTTGATTTTCTGTGGGCCTTTTCTAAACTGGAACAATCCTGCAAGCAGGAAAGCAGAGAACAGTGCTCTCTCCTCATGGGGAGCAGCAGTAACTTGGGACCCACCACCTGCTGTGGATGGCAGTTGGCTCTGGGTTTTTTTAAGCACCCCAGGAGGGCTGAAATGGTGCTACCCAGAAACCACATCAAAACGGACCCAGGGCCTGCAGCAGCACAGTCAGCATGGCCTTACCCAGCATCAACCTCCACCGCAGGTGGCAAGAGCAGTCAGATCTAAAAATCATATCCGCTGCTTCAGTAAGTCAGGAAAGAAGAAATCTGCAACCGGAGGATTGCTATGAAGAAGATGCTTCAAAGAAACCAGTAATGAATAGGATGATTCCATTCTACACCATTAAGTACAGCCCTGAAGCCTGTGGACAGAGAATACCTGTAGAAGGGACCATGCCTGTGCTCCCTTTAGCTTGGCAATTTCTTCTTTGAAGCCTCACCGGAGTACAGACAGAGGGCCAGGAGTGCCTCTAGCTCTTTGCTTGAGCTGCGTGTTTGACCATACAAAGAAACTGCATCTCCACATCTAAGATTACCTCTCTGATGTGCTTGTCTACAGGGAGGGCCATACCTAACTAACCCAGCCCCCAAAAACAGCTGCCCACCCTACTCAGATGATTTCCAAGGAAGGAGGTTGTTCAAAGACCCCTGGAAATCTTTCCAATGGCTCATAACCTGAGTAGGTCATAGCCCTAACCTCTTTGGCTGCTGAGAAATAGTCTCTGGCCTTGTCTTCAGTAAAAGAGAGCATCACCCTTGCAAAACTCTCCCTTTGTACCCTCAACTCAAGCTTCCTTGTCTTGGTGAGGGATTGCTTAATTAGTGGTAACAGAAACCTACTCAAGCTAGGTGAAGAAAATAATAAAAAGTATTAAGATACCGAGTTATCTCACAGAATCCAAGGGCTGAAATGCAGCTGAGTCTTGAATTGCAAATTCCAATGGGGCCTGGAATTTACAATATGTAAATTGGAAATGTGCTTGATGCGAGCAACCAAAACAAATAAATAAACAATAAAAAAGAAACAAAACAACGACTAAACCCCAACAACTAGTTATATTGGCTTAAACAATCAGAAGTCTTATTTTTCTCATGAAATAATTTCAAAAGTTGCACTTATCCATGTCATTAGGAATTCAGGGGTGGAGCTTTTGTCCACCCTTGAATGGTTGCAAGGTGGCTGCTGATCATCAAAGGAGGAGGTCTGCATCCTAATCTGGAAAAAGACACAGGGACATAAAATGAAAAGGAATGTTAGACACATCTAACCTTTTGGAAAGCTCTCTGAGAGTTTCCACCCAGTGATATCTCATTGGCTAGAATTTAGCCACTTGGTGATCCATGACTGAAAGAAAGATGAGAAAGCTTTTTTTTTCTTTTATTATACTTAAGTTCTGTGATACATGTGCAGAACGTGCAGGTTTGTTACATCGGTATACACATGCCATGGTGATTTGCTGCACCAATCAGCCTGTCATCTACATTAGGTATTTCTCCTAATGCTATCCCTCCCCTAGCCCCCCAACCCCCCAACAGGCCCCAGTGTATGATGTTCCCCTCCCTGTGTCCATGTGTTCTCATTGTTCAACTCTCACTTATGAGTGAGAACATGCAGTGTTTGGTTTTCTGTTCTTGTGTTAGTTTGCTGAGAATGATGATTTCCAGCTTCATCCACGTCCCTGCAAAGGATATGAACTCATCCTTTTATGGCTGCATAGTATTCCATGGTGTATATGTGCCACATTTTCTTTATCCAGTCTATCATTGATGGGCATTTGGGTTGGTTTCCAGTCTTTGCTATTGTTAATAGTGCTGTAGTATATATACGTATGCATGTGTCTTTATAGTAGAATGATTTATAATCCTTTGGGTATATACCCAGTAATGGAATTGCTGGATTAAATGGTATTTCTGGTTCTAGATCCTTGAGGAATTGCCACACTGTCTTCCATAATGGTTGAACTAATTTACACTCCCACCAACAATGTAAAAGCATTCCTATTTCTCTACATGCTCTCCAGCATCTGTTGTTTCCTGACTCTTTAAAGATCGCCATTCTAACTGGCACGAGATGGTATCTCATTGCAATTTTGATTTGAGAAAGCATTTTTTTTTAGTAGGCCAATTGTGACTTCACATACAATCTGTTTCTGCTGGTAAAGAAGAAAAAGAAAGGGATATTGGGTAGCAGTTATCTCCTGCAGTGCAACAAATGACCTTAAAACCTAGTGGTTTAATGCAACAACCACTTTATTTTCTTGTGATTTTTATGGGCCAGGAACTAGGGCAGGGCTTAGGATGGATGGTTCATCTCTTCTCTACATGTCTGGGACTTCACATGCAATGGCTCAAACACCTTAGTCAAGCTGGTGTGGCTGGGTCTCTCCCCTCTGACGGTGTCAGTTAAGGTAGCTAGACTGTCCTGGGGCATCCAAAACAGACTCACTTGCATGTCTGGGGCTTGGTCTTTGCTGTGGGCTGGGACCTTTCAGTTCTCCTTCACATAAATTCTCTCTCAGTACATGGTCTTTATAGTTCAGAAACCAAGGCCATGCATTACTACATTTGATCGGCTTCCAAGAGGGTGAAAATGAAAACTGCAAGGTCTTTTAAGGCCTGTCCTGGAAATCACACAGCATTACTCTCAACACACTCTCTTGGTCAAAGTAAATCATAAGACCAGCTGAATTTAAGGGCAGGTGAACAGACGTCACCTCCTGATGGGGAGAGCAGCATGCACGCACCGGGTTGGGAGGACTGTTGGTGGGCATCCTTGCACAGAATCTCCTTAGCCAGCCACAGACACCAAGGTTGCTCGCTCTTTCTTCCTGTCCACATGGCACTTTGCCTCTGCTTTTCTCTACAGGTCTATTCATTCTTTCCCTGCATTCTCTTTTTCTCTGAGCATCCAGCTTAAACATAGCTGCCCTAGAAAGGGCAAACAAACCAAATATCTTAGACTAGGTAGCTTATAAACACAAGTTTATTGCTCACAGTTCTGGAGGCTGGGAAGTCTGAGATCAAGACACTGGCAAATTCGGTGTCTGTTGAGGACCTGTTTCCTGGTTCATAGAAGGCCATTTTCTCGTAGAGTCCTCACATGGCAGAAGGGACCAGGGATCTCTCTGGGGCCTCTTTTATAAGAGCATTAATCTCATTTATAAGGGCTCCACCCTCATGATCTAATAACCTCCCAAATGCAATATCTCCTAATACCATCACCTTGGGAGTTAGGATTTCAATATATGAATCTGGGAGGGTGGTCACAAACAATAAAATCATGGCACCTTACCTTTATGAGTTCTGAATCTATAGCCAAAAAATGAGTTGCTGAATCCCTATTCCTCTAACAAGTGGTGTAGGGGCAGTTAAAAAATCACTAGGTGATCCTCTCCTCTAGACCAGAAATCTCAATGCCCTTAGGTATTTCATGAACATTTTTCTACAGCTCACTTGGGAACTAACCTTCAAGAAAAAGGCATTACCCAATAGTAGGTATTCGACAGTGTGTGTGGATGTGGATAATGTTGAATAGCAGCATAAAACCATTTGGAGAGCTTTTAAGAAGCAGTCCATGAACATGTAGTTTATATTTTGATTTTTAAAGCTCTAAATCAAAAGAAAAACCAATTTCTATCAGAGTCCATTGTTTTCTGATGGGTGAGGGGGCGATTTTTTATCTTGATGCCTTTCTCTGCACACACACACACACACACACACACACACACACACACACACTACGCTCTGTTACCAGGTAAAAGCACTGTTTCCATAAACAGCAAAGAGACAAGCATCAAAGAGGGCATTCACCTTGTCCAAGTGAAGAGGGCTGCATGTAGAGAATCAGTGCCTCTCTAATTCTATACAAACGTCCTTCTGGTCCAAGGATGGGTGACAGAGATCTAGGCACCTCCCTACTTTTGGAAACAACTGGAGTAGGGTTTCTTAATCTGAAGTTCGAGGAAAGTGTGAACTTCCTGAAATTATATACAACTTTTAGCATGTGTGTTCATTTTTCTGCCCTGGTATCTGTAGCTTTTATCAGATTTCCAAAGAGGTCTATGAAACCCCTTTTCCCTCTCTCTCCAATCACCTAAAGCCAAGACCTGTTGAGAATGAACAAATACCCCTCAGGGTTTGTGGTGACTGAATGATACATGAGATTTATTGGGGTCACTTTTTAAAAATAAGGGCCTGCTTCTGCTGGGGTGCTTTTCATTCTGTTACATGAGGGACAGATATAAAAACAGTCATCATCAAATGAGGGCAGTGCAAAGGGACCCAGAGCTCAGTGGAAGCACAAGGCCAGGGCTGATGGCTGAAGATTCTTTTGCTGTTGAAACACACAGAGGTTGGAGAGGTACAGCCTTTTTAAGTTTGGCAATCACAGCAAAGCTTGTCTGCTTCCCTGCTTCCCTGAGCAGGGACAGAGTGGTCCCTTATCTGAGACGCTTTATCTGAGATGCATGTGGATTCAGCCAGTCGGTCTCCAGGCTGAACCCAGCATCTCGCTGGGTCGTTGGGCTCTCCTTGTGTCCCAGAACGGGGTCTGTTAGAAGTGGGAAATTGCTGGACTGTTCCAAAGGCATTCCTCCACCCTGTGATGCCACTTCCTTCTCTTCCAAGTATAACTGGGACATATAACCTAAAACAAGCAAAGGGTATCTCCCCTGACAATAGTCACAGGCTTCCTCTCCTTGCAAAATCCTTCTGCTCAAGGCACACCCCCTGCTGTCCTCAAATCTCCATTTCTCAGTGAGAAACTTGTGTCTCTGTAGCGCATCCCTTGCCCTCCTTTGTTAATGCATCTGCTCCTTCATGCTCTGAAGTGGAGGCTGGATGGGATTCACAAAGCCATCGCCCACAAAGACCCACGAAGCAAACTACCAGCAGAGATGCACAGGACAGTGAAAGTAACAAAGGGGGAAACTCTTCTCAAGAGGATTCACTTTCTTCCTCTGTCCACCTGCTCCTCTGTCCCTCTTGCTGAGGCTGATTTCCCAGAACTCATTTCTGCTAGGTAGATAGCAACCAGAACATCAATTTCCGTTCAATGCCGGCAGCCTCGACAGTTGCCATCCTCCATTCAAACATGTGAATGCTCTGCCTAAATTGCACATTTCTCATTTAGCACACCTTGAAAGGCTGTGCTGTCACTCGCTCATAATCTTGGAGCAGAGTGTTTGCACGAGCCGCGGATGGCACCGGGCAGCTCCGTGGAGGTGTCAAAGCAGCAAAAGGGGACACTTGAGCAGATCAGCTTACTTCACAGAGAGACATCAGCTTCAGCAATTAGATTTCTAGAAACCTGATGACGAGGAACACATACAGATGCTTGCTAACCACTATTGAAGAGAGTTCTGTGTGTGTGTTTTAAGATGCTTAAAAAGAGTTTCTGTTGTTTCCTGCAGGAGAGGACTGAAAACAATGGTATATTTGTCATATACCATCTGTAGAGTGACCTTTACCTCTGGATGACTCTAGAGTTTTCAGTCAGCATCTGTTGCTGTTTCCTAGCTCTTAGGGAGGCTGAAGAAGTCTTAGTAAGCTACCTGCCCCTCTGAGGCCCCATTAGACTCTATGGGTACAAATATTTCAATGGCACTTTCACATATATTCTTATAGCTCATTCTTCCAGCAACCCTATGAAGTAGGTATTAAGAGCTCCATTCTTCAGATGCAGAAACTGAGGCTCAGAGAAACTGGGATACTTGCCCAAATTCACACAGCTAGGAAGGGGCAGGGCCTGGTTTGTTTTGAGGTCTTCCAAAGTGAGTCCTGGGTATAGCCCACCTGACCCAAGGCAGCCCCATTCTCAGGCACCTCAATAAGACTTAAGGTGCTGAATAATATTAGGGTTGGAGAATTTCATTCCCTGCTGTCTTTTTCTTTGGACTTGGCTGGATGCACTGTATTCTTTAGTCTCTTGGCATGAGAGGAAGTAGACAGTGATGACAGTATTCTGAGACTTAATTAACTAATGTCTTTAACATTCAGCTGCCTTGGGCAAAAAGTTCTATGCTACAATATTCTCAGAAAATTCTATGGACAGAGGATCTAGCTTTTCAATTGCAAAAGTCCTTTATTACAAGGGGGTTGGGGAGGCGGGGTGAGGAGGTCTTCTCTTATGCAGCCAGGCAGGGAAGAGAGTTTGGCATCAGAGAGCAGAAAGCCAGCTGCTGGCTGCCACCACCACGCAATCTCAGGAGCGAGGAATGAGAAGTGACTCAGACCAGCCCTCACTCCCACTCCCAAGGAGAAGTGGCTCTCAAGGTGCCATGTGACGGACAGGTGACCTTGATCAGGATGACTTGCTTCCTTATTGTGCAACAACGTCTCAGTGTGGTGTAGGGGAGCACTGCCCCCTGAGATTTGATGTCTCAGCCTTCATGATAAACACGGCTAAATGAATTAGCAAGAAAAGAATTAATAGCAAGAAAAGAATTAATCGAATTTGATAGAGATTGTTTTGCTTATCTTGTCTTTGCTAACAAAACCGAAACAATTCTGGAGTTGTCATGGGCTTTTCTCTTCCCCCTTCTTTTTGACAAATCTCCCACAATACTCAGTGCTGGGAGATGCCCAGGCAGGAGCTTGTACTGCAGATCACATTGCAAGCCTTGCCATTTCAAGGCCTCCTTGGAGACGGCTTTTTATTTGCCACTGAAGCCTGGGGATTACTTTGATATGGGGGCCACATGGCTTACCATTGTTTCTAAGCAGAATCATAATCCAGTCTCACTGATTAAAAAAAGAGGGATGGGGCAGGCGAGAGCTGGAGGTTACCAGGATCAGGTCCAGTAAATCATGCCCATGTCAAAGGGCTACCCTTGAGCACCTAAAATGCCACCTGCACTCTCAGCCTAGGGAAAGCATTCCTTTCAGAGGGGAGGAGAGCAGAAGGAGGCAGCTTCAGTGTGGAGTTTGGGGCTGTTGCTGTAAGGCTGAAATTTCATAGGAGGAAGATGAGCTGATGAGGTTGAAAATAGCTGTTTTCATTTCCTTTAGAAGAGCCCCCACACTCTTGTCCCAACGCTCAGTAACCCTGTGACACGCTCACGGGCTGTCATCATCAACATACTTAATGATCCTGCCCCAACTGCGCAGGCCACAAATCACTCTGCGGAGACGCTGTCTGAAAGGCTGCCCAAGGTGTCTGCATTCCTCGACTTGAGACAGGGGAGGAAGACTGGGGCTCGGGTAAGGACTCTCCTCATGTAGTCACTGAATGAGGCGGCTGACCCTAATGTAAAAGTCGAAGCCGAGAGATAGAGAGAAAGAGAGAGGCAGGGGGAAAGGGAGATAGAGGCATCTGGAACAGCAGAAATGCTTGAAGTACTGCTCTCTCCCTTAGGGCCCTGGTGCCTTCCTTTTCTGCAGGGTCACGGGAGTGACTGGAGTGGAGGCTTGATGGGCAGCTCACTGTTGGAGAAGAGGAGGTTAGGAAGTAGGGCTGAGGCAGGAGCAAGGAGAATTGGGGCCTGTGGTTTCCTCTTTGGGAACCTCCAGCCCAGTGCCCACTTGTGATTGCTTTAATGATTCGAGCAAGTTTGCTAAGACCCCTCCAATCTGCCTTTCCCAAGGATCACATTCAGTTCCCAGAGGTTTCCAGGGGCAAGGATGGGAATCTAATTGATGTGTCTTACCATGAGAGTCCTTTCCTCTTCTCTCTATCAAATAGGGATTAACAGTGTTTGTGGGAGGATTTTTTCCCTCTCACCTCCAGTCACCCCACAGCCACCTTGTTCTTTGCAGCGAGGGAGGATTTTCTGCTGACAGGGAGTTCTGTGGACTCCATTGCAGGTTTTTGAATGCAGCACATTCCATCTGTGACAGTCACAGCAGCTTGAGGTCCTGGGAGTTCTAGTGTGGGATTCTGGGCCTGAGCTCACCAGGGGCATCCAAGCTTGGAAGTGTGAGGCCAGAGTTGTGTGGGGGGAGTGGCGTTCCTAGGAGTGGCCCCTGGCTCCCAAGCGGTGCTGTGTCACTGACTCAGCACACACCAGGGGACACGGGGCTCCATTTTCTCGTCCATTAGAAGTGACTGCTAAATCCTGGCTGGTCGCCCTCCTGAAGTGGTTTGAGATTGATTTTGTAAAGCTGGCAGGCAGGATTAGGCCATGCCACTCAGCAGAGCTGCTAGGGAACACTTGCTAGAAATGCTAAAGACGATGAGGCTGATGGGTCAGCCCTGGCCCACGGAACACACCAAGTCAGCAGAGCTGGGGGCTAATGTGTCCTGAACTTTGTCCCATCTGAGAGGCAGGGGTGGCTCAGTGGAATATCATGGGCCTGGGTGGCCAGGCCTGGTTCCCACACTCAGACACAGTTCACTCTGTCCTCTTAATGCCCATCCTAGGCCGGGACAATTGTTCTCCCCACTTTGTAGTCAAGGTCACACTGGGGCACACTGAGGTTAAGGACCTTTCCTATGACTACACTGTTGGGAATTGGCAGGACCAGGATTTGAACCCAGGGAGTCCAGTTTCAGAACCTGAGGGTTGTAGGAAAAGCCCACTGGAAGAGTGGGGAGGCAGGAAGGATATTGGAGGAGAAGCCTCGGTTCTAGGGCTGACTGCAGTGGAACCACTGAGAGACCAAAAGCATGTCTTTTCACAGCCCTAGACTGTAGGCCCTTTATTTACCTTTACAATGAGGTTTTTGCGAAGATCATCCCTTCTATCTCTAAAATCAAGAAAACTGTAGTTCAGCATACTTGGGGGGGCATGGAGTTCCTGTAGAAGAGCTGGACAATCACCAGAAACTCAGGAGCAGAAGAAACCAGATATTCTAATAACAACAACCACAAGCACAATTGCCACCACGATTGCTCACATTTACTGACAGTTGTTAGGTGCCAGGCACTAAGCCTTTTGCAAGTATTGTTTCATTTAATCCTCATAACAGAACTAGGAGGTAGCTACTAATGCCATTCCTACTTTATGGATCCAGTAACTAAGGCCCAGAAAGGTTAATAAAGTCACCGGATATCACACAGCTTATAAGTGGTGGGAACCTGAAGCATTTCTCCCTGCCCTCTCTGCCCACCAAGTGTGTTCCCTTCCGCTACACCTGATGTGACAGCACACCCAAAAGCTCCAGAGAAGACAGTGTTTGGGGTTAACAGAAGAACAGCCTTCCCAAATGCAATTTCCACCAGCAGCTGCTGGTACACATCTGGCCTCGGAGACTTCCTTTAAGCCCACCTGGGGGCTGAAGATGGATTCTGCGGATGACGGATGACAGGGCAACCCTGAGGAGACTGTCAGCTTTCAGCTGCCTTCTACCTTTACGTACCTTGGGGCACCAGATGTTGGAAACTCACATCAGAGGACTTTGCCCTTTGCTTTCTTCCCTTTTGATTATATATTGAACTAAAATGTCAGCAGAGGAGTAGAGGACAAATAGGCTTTGTATTGATGCTTAATTGTGGTAAACATTTTCCAGGAAAAATTTAATGGCAGACTAGAAAACTAGAGTAGGTCCCAAAGAGCCAGGAGGAAGAGGAAAGAGTTGATTCCTAAGTGCTGAAAAAGGACGGGGAAGAGTGTAGGTGTAAGACAGTAAAAATGTATCCTTCCGGTCATGAGATTGCACCTGGAGCCAGGTGGACATCTGGGAAGAGGATAAGGCATGCATCTGTCTGTGCTAGGCAGGGCAGGCTACCTGCTGTGACAAATGACCCCAAAGCCCAGGCAGCTTTACTCCCCTTCCCCACCAGAATTTACTTTTCTCTAACCTCACTGACATCACAGCCCAATGAAGTTGGAGGCTGGGGGAGGTGAGGGATGGGCTCTGCTCCATTGAGCCACTTAGGGACCCAGGCTCCTTCCACTCAAGTCTCTGACATTCCCTTTGAGGCTGAGAGAGTTCTTTACTGTATTCTCTGTAACCAGAAGATGAGAGAAGAGAGATCACATGAAGAAGGCAACCTTGCTCCCACCACCCAGATAATAGGCCACACTTCCTCTCACATTCCATTTGTGGGAACTAATTTTATGGGCCCACCCGCATGCAAGAAGACTGCAAGTTGGCTTAGGAAGCCTTCCTGGAAGATGAGGATTGGGGTTGGTGAATTGCATTCTTCTTGCCGCATTCTAGGTTCCCCAGAAGTTGACCCCCGAGACCTTCCTCAAGTTTTAATAGAACCTACTACCTGAAGGTCTCTGAGAAAGTCCCAGTGACGATCATGTCCTTTTCCCCTGGCATGTATATAAGGGTGGAGAGAAAAGCCATTTTGTGGTTTTGTAGTGGCAAACAGTGCCGTAATCAAAATCCTTTTGGTCCTTCTGTTCATCATACTCCTGTGGACAAAGTCCAAGATCAGTCTGTGTACTGCAAATACAATGATGTACTTAGTCTATACGTATAATCTCTAGCCGATGGCTGCATGTTAACTCTCTGAGTCTGGCTACTGTGTTATCTAAGCCTATGATGGTCATGTGTGCTTATCTGAAGCCATGTAGGTAGTTTAACCAGTGGTTTTCAAACATGACTGTATTTTAGGATTGGCTGGAAAGCCTGTTAAGGCGCAGATGTTTTCCCTGCCACCACCCCAGAGACTCAGATTTGACAGGTCTGAGGTGGGTCTCTGCACCTGCTTTTTTTTTTTTTTTTTGAGACTGAGTCTCGCTCTGTCACCCAGGCCGGAGTGCCGTGGCATGATCTCGGCTCACTGCAACCTCCATCTCTCAGGTGCAGGTGATTCTCCTGCCTCAACCTCTGAGTAGCTGGGACTACAGGCGCACGCCACCACGCCTGGCTAAATTTTTTTTATTTTTAGTGGAGATGGGGTTTCACTATGTTGGCCAGGATGGTGTCGATCTCTTGATCTCATGATCTGCCTGCCTCGGCCTAGCACCTGCATTTTTAAAAAGCATCTTAGATAAGTCTGATGAACACCAAATATTGAGAACTATTGAATAGCACCATAGTTCAGTTTCTCAATAAGCAGATCATTTGGAATATACTTGAATTCAGAGAACTTGATATAGCTGATGTCACCTCAAAAAATAAGCAAGCAGACATGACACTTGACATAGTACATGCTAATGGGAAACATAGTTTTGGCCACGTGTCAGATGACATGGGACCAAGTCTTAACTCTCACTAACTACCCATGTGAACTCCAGTAAGCAAAGCACTTATGAAACACACTTCCTGTTTCCTCTTCAGAAAGTGGGAGCCACGGCCACCCCACACTCTCCCTACAGAGTCATTTGGCTGATCGAATACATTTAAGTGTGGTAGCACTTTGAAAAATATAAATGTCTACAATAGCAGCAGGTAATATCAATATTAGATAAACTGAGGGGGTTACTTACACTTCAATTGAATCATTTGCCTTCCAAAGAGATTTCCTAACATTCCTTAACATTTAAATGCTTGCTTACAGAAAACTAATTGGGAACCAAGGCCAGAGGAATGCACTATTAATGCATTGTTAAGGCACTAAGGTAATAAATCAGATATGAAGGATTCTGAAACAAGCATCTAAGCCAATAGATTGATTTACGAAAGTTCAGTTCATATGCATCCATTGCTGAAAGCAAGGTACAACTATAAGTAGCTCTTCTTCATAATTGTTATTAATGAAAACAGAAGTTTCCCTACCATTTTTGCATGTATAGTTATTTTATATTTCCTTTCCCCCAATTTCTTTCTAAAACCTGCTTCTCAAGAATAGTTTCTATTCTGAGAATGGCAGGTGGATTTATTTGCCACACTTTCCTTTGTTCTTGCTAGTACTGATCCTGTTTCCTAAATCTATGTCCCTAAGAAGTGGGACTGTTCTATGGTGAAATAGCCAGAGAAACAGGCTTTAAAAGCCTCAAATCCTTTCACTTTGCCTCATTTTATTAAGGCCAGGGATGCAGAATAGAGCCTAGAATTTTTGTTCTCAGGCATGGGTTTTAGGTCTGTTATAGCAGGTAAAGATGGTGTGAGAAACAGGCATTTTTAGAAGAAATTGTAAGTCAGGTATAAACGAATGCAATGGATTATGAGCAGGCATGGCTATTAAGTTCCATACCATCAATTGGCAGTGGCTACCTGGAATACAATGCTGAGGATTATGAGATCTTATTTGGGCACCCAGGAAGGAATGCCACAATTGATTAGTGATGTCTGCCATGGGCAAGGAGTGAGAAGGAGCAACATTGTGCTATCCTTGACTAAGACGAAGGCCAAGGAGTAGGAAGGTGGGAAAGAAAAGAAGAATGAATAGATTTCTGGAAATGCACAACTAATTGGCAGAATTTCTAAGTTAGTGTTGTCCAGACTTTCATCCTTCAAAGCCTACTTCGTATATTCTCCATGAAAACAACAACACATCATACATTTTTATAATTTGTTTCCTTGCCCATTTCCCCACAGCTCAGACCTCCCTCTCACTATCACCTTCAATCTTGTGAATTCTTTAAAAATTCTCTCTGGTCCCTGGATGTTCCTTATTTTCTTTCTACCCACCTGAAATTTCATAGCATATGAGGGTAAGATTTTTATTAACTAGTTTTATTTTTATTGCATTATTTGATATTCACTGACTGTGCTTTATCTGTTTTCACAAGCTAGATTTTGTCATTCTTGGGATGTGAGGCCCTAGAAAAAATGAACCTTGCCAAGTGCTGGTCTGTGAACAACATCATAGAGTGGCTGCTGTGGTACTCCACCCCAATCCCCTTTTCCAGTCCTAGGGCACTCGTTTCCCCAGACACTGGGAGTGTTGGTGGCTGACAGCTCTTAGTGCCATGACGAAGGGTGCCAGCTTCTCCACACAGCCATTAGCCAAGATGGTGCCTTAGATAGAGAGACTGGCATGGGTTCAGCACATCCTGTTGGGTTGAAGCTCAGCTTCACAGGTTCTAGTTTGTCCTGCATTCTCCACTTCACTTCCGTCTTCTCTTCTGACTGCCTATCCTGCAGACTTCAGGATTGAGCACCAGACACAGAAACAACAGACTCAGATAAACTATATAACCAGTTCCAATGATTGCATAGGTCATGTCCCTTTAACAAGTAAATTTCCAATTCTATCTATCTATCTGTCTATCTATCTATCTATCTATCTATCTATCTATCTATCCATCCATCCATCCATATATCTATCTACCTACCTACCTATGTATCTATCGATCCATCCCTCCATTTTTCCATTTACCTTCCCACTGAATGGTTCTCCTGAGACCAAACTCTGGTTGATGCAGTCACCTTGCAGTAATTTCCCCCCACTTGAAGGGAGCTATTGACCCTAAGGAGACAACATCCAATAACTAGTTGACGGGGTTATAGAGGCCTGGACCTCTTACTTCAGGGTAGGACAGCTCTACAGGGACTTTCAGCTCTTGAGCTCACTGTGGAGCTAGCTGGGGTCTCATCACGACTGCATCACTATCCAACTTCTCCCTATGCCCAGACTTGATTCCTCCACTTCCTCCTCTTTCTCCCTGCCCTGCTGTAGGGATTGAGTCCCAGGGCAGTCCCAGTAAATTTCCTGCAAGCGAACTCTTCCTTTGAGTCTTGTTCCTAGGTAACTCAACTGAAGACACAGTTTAGTATCATTCATTTCAGTTTGGCAAACTTTTATTTAGCATGTTTTTGAAGCTGGCACTGTGTGGAAACTCAAAATACAAAGATGAATGACACCCAGTTACTGCTCCCAGAGAACACATAATAGTGTAGACAGAAACATGGGCAGGTGATTTCAAGACATAGGCATGTCCAGAAAGCTGCAGTGGTAACCTATAGCCCATACAATTCAAGAAGGACTTCCTAGTATGCCTGACCTGAGTCTCAGATGAGTAAATGTTTGTCTGGTGAGGTGGGACGTGCACTCCAGACAGAGGAGACAGCATGAACAAGGACATGGGTCCTGAAAGAGCACACAGAGTGCACCTTGGTGTCACAAGAGAGTCAAATGTGAGGGCTGGAACTTGCACATTATTTTATGGCCAATGGAGAACCATGGAAAGAGTTTCTGCAGAGGAATGACATGGTCAGATTTGTATTTCAGAAACATCAGTCTGGTGACTTGAAGAGGAACATGGTTGTATTAGTCTGAGTTCTCCAGAAAGACAAAACCAATAGGATATACAAGAGGGGATTCATTAGGGAATTGATGCAAAGAGGAAGGGAAGCCCTATAATAAGCTGTCTGCAAAGACCAGAGCAGCCAGTAGTGTGGCTCAGTCCAAATCCAAGTCTGGGAGGATCAGAACCACAAAAGGTAAAAAAAAGATGGTAAAGCCCCCAGCTGAGGCCGAAGGCCCAAAACCCCCTGGGAAGCTGCTGGTGCAAGTCCCAGAGCCTGAAAGCCAAAGAACCTGGAGTCTGATGTTCAACAATAGGAGAAGAATAGGCATCCCACACCAGAAGGAAGACAGAGAAAGAGAGAGAGATCTCCCTTCTGCCTGTTCCAATTGGGCCCCCTGCCGATGAGAGGGTGCCTGCCCACATTGAGGGCATGTCTTCCTCTCTGAATCCACTGACTCGCTCTTCAGTCTCCCCTGGAAACACTCATACCCAGAAGCCACACTTCACCAGACATCTAGCCATCCCTCAATTCAGTCATGTGGACACCTACAATTAACCATCACAGCAGTTCACACTCCATGTCTATCTCAAAGTTCTCCTAGGGAGCCTTCCTCTACTGCAGTTCTGCAGCAGCTAGGAAGCTCAAAACTACACCTTTAGGGTGTAATTTGGGTTCTGGACATGATTTAGGTTTTATCAACCAGAAATATTTGCCCGGGATTTGGAAGGTGGAAGCGAGGCTGCACCCCTGGGGGTTCTGCTGGTCCCCTTGCTCACAGAGGCGCTGGGTTTTTCTGCCGTGGTTTCATGATCACAGTTTCTTTGAATCATGGCTGTTTCCTAATTGCCATGGCTTTCTGAGCACGCTGGCATCTGATTATGGCAATGGAGGCATGGTTCTGGAGCTGGCAGCTCAGGCATAAGCTTCTTTGTTTGACATGCAGCTTCTGGATTATAAAAGAGGCAGTAGATCCCATGCACTCAGTTTCTGCAATGTGGTTCCCAAAGCCATTTTCAAAAGCTCCACCTGCTTCTTCAGCTTTTCCAGCAATTCTGTAAGCCATTTAATACCTTGTAACAAATCACCATCTACTTAAGCTGGATAGAGTGAATTCTGTTCTCTGCGACTGAATCCTGATCAACACCAGTGCCAAGACTAAAGGCAGAGAGACCTGTTACAAAGCTGTTACAAATGTCCAGCCAGATGATAAACAGGGTTGTGGGGATAGGGAGGAAGGGAGGCATTAGAAAAATGTGGAGGAGGTAAAATTAGTAGCACTCAGTGATTAATTAGGTGTCAAGAATGAGAAGTTAGAAAAGTGATTGCTAGGATGACTCAGTTTTCTGTGCAGACAACTCAGATCAGATTTTGGGGGAGAAGCAACTTGGGGGGTAGGATGCAAAAATGAAGAGTTCAGGTACCTAGGGGGTGTCCAAGGAATTTTTCTCCTGTTTCATAATTAAATTAGCCATAACTGCACATGTAATTGTGTAATTATTACTATTGATTTCTTCCCTGGATCTATGAATTCTACAAAAGTAGGAACTACATATGCTTATTCATTCCTGGCACAGTCTCTGGCAAATAATAGGTTAGGTGTTCAACAGACATTTGTTGAATGTGGAATAAATGAGTTGGATAATAAAAATTGTAATGATCGTAGTCAGCATTATCAAGATGAGCAGTCTCAGGCACTGCTGCTATGAATAGCTATTAGACACTTGGCAAAATTGTGCTTTTTTGATAATGATGATGGCGATGTTGATGATGATGAGGATAATATGTTAGACCAGGAACATCTTTATGGTTGGAAAACCAAGCCAGAGGTATGGAATTTTATCAGCATTCTTCTAAAACCCAGAAAAAATAGGCCAGAATCTCCTATTTCCATCAAACTGTACTTCCGTTACATATTCATTAAGTGACAGCCGTGTGGTAGGCCTATTAGGAAGTTCTCCCAGGTGTTTTGCACGGGAAAAGGCTGCTGTTGATCTGTCGTATACTCAGTGAAATTGCCAGCTTTTGTAAATCAAAGCCAAAGCTGACTCCAGCGACTCAGAGAAAAGCACGCCCTCAGCCAGACTGATTCCTGCAGCTGCTCACAGGGCGAGGCAGCAACTGGATCATTATCTGCAACACGATCATGAAGCCGGGCTGTGCTTGGGGCAGGGTTCCCCTTCTGGTTTTGTGCAGTCACTACTGTACTGTGTATCTGCTGTGCATATGCTGTCTCCTACACGTGTGCACAGGAGGCAATCATCTGACCTGCCAGACCCAACGCCCCTTGTAAAACTACTTATTATGCCTCCTTACCTGCCTGAAGTGAAATTCAGAGATAATATAACCTAGATGCATACGTAAGTGCAAACAAATCCGTATCTCTTAACTGTAATAGTTAAGAGAGATATGATCGAAACTTACAATAAGTTGTGTGCCTCAACATGTGAATGACCACACTACTAGACATGAGGAAGTGCTCCGATGCTTGGACCCATATAAAATCCCCATGAATGTGACAGCTGCAAATGTAGACTCCTAAGGGTATGTTATAATATTAAACAATCCTTTGATAAAGTTCCAGTGCAATGAAGAAAATTCTTCCCTTGATTTACACAGTGGTGACATTCTTTGGAAATTCAGTGTATGTTAAAGTAAACAAACCAAAATAAAACCCCAAAACAAACAGACCAAAATGTTTGTTAAGGTTCTAGATGATTAAAAACAGGTTTTTCACCTAGGTATTGTCCAGAGGGATAAACAAAGTTGTGTGGGACTCAGGCAATTCTTGATCATGGGGACTGCCCTGGGCAGTGGCCTACTAAATGCCAGTAGTCACTTAATCATTGTGATGACCAGAAAACTGCTCTCCCAAATTTTCAAATGCCTCTTTGGGCACAGTACCAACCCCACTGAGAACCCCATTATTCCAGCAAGAGCTCCCCTATCAGATCACTCCATTGAGCAACCTGCCCACTTAAAAAAATATAGAGCCAGAGGACTGGAGTTAAGATTCCGGAGGACAACAGGAAGCTACTATGGTTTTGAAACTGTAATCCACCCACAAGGGTCAGCATAATGGAAATTTGCTCAGCACGCATTTTGCAAGGATTCACTACTAAAAAACTCATAAACAAATAGCAATGGAAGTTCAGCAGCCTTCATCTCTTTTGGTTACCTGGAGTTTATGCCTGGGATAGTAGTTCAGCCTAATGACTTGAAGTCATTATCTGGTTAGAAGTATTCAGTAAAAAGGGCCAGGCACTGTGGCTCATGCCTGTAGTCCCAGCACTTTGGAAGGCAGAGGTGGGCAGATCACCTGAGGTCAGGAATTCGAGACTAGCCTGGCCAACATGGCGCAACCCCATCTCTACTAAAAATACAAAAATTAGCCGGCTGTGGTGGCTTATGCCTGTAATTCCAGGTACTCGGGGGGCTGAGGCAGGAGAATCACTTGAACTTGGGAGGCAGAGGTGGCAGTGAGCTGAGATTGTGCCACTGCACTCCAGTCTGGGCGACAGAGCAAGACTCTGTCTCAAAAAAAGAAGTATTTGGTAAAAAGGATCATTTAAAAAACAATACTGAAGATTAGGGAGTAACTACCTCAGTTTGAATCCCGTTGTCACTCACTAGCTCTGTGATTTTGGGCAAGTTACTTTACATCTCAGTGCCTCACAATAGTAATACTGTTTCTGTTACATGCTGTCGAATACATCATAGTGTTCTTATGAGGACTGAGCGAGTTCATATTCGTATTAGAATAGTGTCTGGCATACAGAGTAAATACATCATATGGACATGTTAAAATAGCCTAATACATACATTTTAAAAACAACGAAAAAGTCTCATTCCTATAAAAAGTATTTACACAAATGAAGTATGATAAGCAATAAAAAGGAAGCCAGATAAATAATACAACAATTAAAAAGATGTTGCAAAGCCATTCAAGGCTGATTGTCAAATGGATATGGTAGCAATTTGAGAAATTTGGAGGAAAGATGGGTCTCAATGAGCTGATCTGGGGATGCCACACAGGGAAAGAAAGTCTTAGAGTGAGTCCCAAGGGACAGCAGTAATCTATACTGGTGAAACGAAGTGGATACCAGCCTGAACCACCCAGGCCTTGGGAAGCAGAGCCATCACAAGAGGCCTGGAGACTAGCTGGGGACGGGACTGTGACAGATCAGCCCCCAGCCCAGGGGGCTGCAAGAAGTCTCACTCCTATCCCTGTTTCTCTCCATCCTGTTAGGTAACTATTTTTATCCTTACACTTTTTCTTTATGGCAATATCAGTACATATTTCTAATTCCCCTCTTTTCTTACACAAAAGATAGCATTCTATATATCCTATTATTTGTTTACTTCTCACTTTAGAAAACATCCTGGGACTTTTTCCATATTGGCATTCAGAGAACTTCTTCAGTTTTTCTTTGACTGCTGCATAGTATTTTGTTGTATGTTGCACCATAATTTATTTAAATAGCCCCCCATCAATGATTATTTGGGTTGCTTCCAGTCTTTTGCCATTACATTGCTGTAATAAATAACCTTGTGCATATGTCAGGTATGCTGAGTGGATTCCCAGAAGCAGGAGTGCTGGGTAAATGGGTGAATGTTTTTGCAATTTTGGTAGCTATTGCCAGGTTCCCTATCATGAAGTAGTAGCATCATTTTGCATTCTCACCAACCATGTATGAGGATGTCTGTCCCCACAGTCTCACCAACAGAGGATGGTAGCAAACTTTTGGTTTTCTGCTAATCTGGGAGATGGGAAACTTTATTTTACTGTGACTTTTCATTTGCATGTATCTTATTGCCAGTGAGGTTGTGAACCTCCTCACGTATTTAAAGACCATTTGCATTTGTCTTCAATGTCTTGTTCTTGGCTCATTTTTTCTATCAAATTTTTGGGATTTTTTTCTATTTTTAGAAAATTTTTATTATGGAGATTAATGAACTGAAAATATCTTAACGCTTTTCTTTTGCCTTTTTTATGGTTTTGACATTATTTTAAAGAACTACAGTTCACCCTTAAACAACACAAGTTTGAACACGTGGATGCACTTTTACAAGGATTTTTTTTCCATAGCAGTTATACCGAGTATACCTGCCCCTCCTGCCTCCCCTTCCACCTCCTCTACCTCTTCTGTCTCTACCATTCTTGGGACAGCTAGACTACCTCCTCTTCTTCCTCCTCCTCCTCAGCCTGCTCAGTGTGAAGACAATAAGGATGAAAACCTTTATGATGATCCACTTACACTTG
The DNA here is from genome assembly GCF_000001405.40 of Homo sapiens. Classification (NCBI taxonomy): domain Eukaryota; kingdom Metazoa; phylum Chordata; class Mammalia; order Primates; family Hominidae; genus Homo; species Homo sapiens. The sequence goes on along the minus strand of NC_000004.12, from coordinate 152,060,916 downwards.
ATGAAAAGTAAATATATTTTCCTTATGATTTTCCTATAGCATTTTCTTTTCTCTAGCTTACTTTATTGTAAGCACACGGTATATAATACATATAAAAATTATGTTGTATGTGTTATATATAATACATAAAACATACAAATCAATCAAATATTTATGTTACTGGGAAGGCTTCTGGTCAAAAGTAGGCTATTAGTACTTAAGTTTCGGGGAAGCCAAAAGTTATATGCAGATTTTTGACTACATGGGGTGTTGGTGTTCCCAACCCCTGCGTTGTTCAAGGGTCAACTGTGATAACTTACTAAAATGATTTATTCAATATGTTAACATTGACTTAATAAATATATTCATTTAATAAATATATTGAATATATTTAAAATATATTCATTTAATAAATGTATTGAATATATTTAAAATATATTCATTTAATAAATGTATTGAATATATTTAAAATATATTCATTTAATAAATGTATCGAATATATTTAAAATATATTCATTTAATAAATATATCGAATATATTTAAAATATATTCATTTAATAAATATATCGAATATATTTAAAATATATTCATTTAATAAATATATCGAATATATTTAAAATATATTCAAAAAATATATTCAAGGGAATCCCACAATTTCAATATATTTAAAATCTATTCAATACATAAAAATATACATTTAATATACTAAAATTTAATAAATATATTGAATTCTATGCCAGCTATTGATGACAAAAATAAATAATTTAAGGGGGATTCTCTTGAAAAGTAACTAGTGCAGAAGATGCGCTCAAAATCTGATCTGGTGCAAGGAATGATAACAATATTTGACATTTGCCCTTTACGGTTTACAAGGTACTTTCACAATTATCATCTTTTTAGTAACTCATAGATAACTTCTAAGGTTGTATTAGTTAAGCGTTTGTTTCACTGTGGTGAAGGAAAACTGAAAATAACATTGCCTTAAGCAAAACAAAATGTTTCTGTCCTATGCAAGTTTAGATGAGAGGTCTAGGGCTGGTATTGGGCTCCATGGTGCCAAATATGTAGGCTCTTTACGTAACCTCAACCTCATGGCCCAAAATAGTGACATCTACGGTCCAGAGAGCAGGATGGGAGAGCAGTAATGAATAAGACAGCAAATGCATATGCTTAGTGTCTCTTAAAGACAGTTCCAGCTGCTATAAGACCTTTCCATTTATACCAACTTGGCCAGAGCTCAGTCACATGGCCACATCTATTTGCAAGGAAGGTTAGATTATTCCAGGTTGCCAGGTGCCAGCTAAAGATGGTTGACAAGGGAGCATTTATTACAAATGGAGAGGGGATACTGGGGTTCAACCAGAACTTTCTTCCAGAAAAATACATAGAAAAGGCATCATTATACTCATAATAAAAGGGGAGGAAGGGACAAGTATTTTCTTGTTAAAGACATTTAATTGAGCACATCTCCTTCCCCCTGACACCTCACAAAAAGAATAGCAAAGGTGGAAAAGGCATGAACCCCTAACAGTAAAGAGCATGAAGAAAGGGATCCATCAGTGGATGAGTGGTTTTAGCAAATTTCTGACAACCAAAAAGTGCAAGTGAGAAATTTTGATGGGGTTGCAATAAAGGATGAAGTCAATCTGCCTTGCAGAATTTGGGAAAGGTTCTGGTCCTGAGCTTTCAGGCAAGGCAGAGGGGAGGACTGAGGACTGGAACTGAAAAGAGAGATTGATTAAAGGTTTGTATACAAAACAATTGCCCACCCTCCCCCCATACAGAATGCATGACAGCCAGGAAGTTACCACCATTTCTAAAAAGCTTCGTTTTTCTCTAAAGAAATTATACAAATGGTCTGGAAAAAACTGGGACAGCTGGTATGACTATTGATATCACAAAAACAGTCCTTCTTATCCTTTCTTTTAGACATCTCCAGAGCAAGAGTCAGTTTCCTGCCTACCCATACTAGAGCAGAGTCTACCAGTCTACAAGTTCTATCCATGTATCCAGAACTCCTAATTCTTAACTCCTTATTCTTAAATATCAATAGACAATCAAAGTTTAAAAGCCTTGAAAACATCACCCTGAAGAAATAGAAATAATTCAAGAATAGAAGAGAAGTTAAAAATAAAATTCAACAATATCTTCAGAGTAAAGTGACCATGTAATTAATTTATTATCTAACCTGGAACAATTTTGAGAATGATATGGGGATCTATTAATAATTATGCCAGGACAGCAATATAAACCATGACTGTCCCCTACAAATCAAGATATATGATCACCCTACATCAGAAAGATTTAAAGGTATTGTATTCATAAATGAACACATGATGCTAACAAAAAGAAACAGAAGAGGTGACATTGCAGCTGATATCACAGAAATGCAAAAGGAACATAAAAGATTACTATGAACAACTATACACCAACATATTGAATTACCTAGGAGAAATGGATAAATTCCTACAAATATATAACCTACCAAGACTGAGTCAAAAAGAAATAGAAAATTTGAAAAGACCAATAAAAAGTAAGGAGATTAAATCAGTAATAAAATTCTCCCATCAAAGAAAAGCCCAGGTTGGGCATGGGGCACACACCTGTAATCCAAGCTACTCAGGAGACTGAGGGAGGATAATCACTTGAGTCCAGAAATTCAAAAGCAACCCAGACATCATAGCAAGACCCAACCTCAAATTTTAAAAAAGGAAAAGAAAATAAGAGAAAAGCCCAAGACCTGATTGGCTTTACTGATTGGCTTTCCAAACATTTAGAGAACTAATAACAATCCTTCTCAAACTCTTCCAGAAAACTCAAAGAAGAGATAATACTTCCAACCTCATTTTATGAGGCCATCTTTATCCCAATACAAAAGCCAGACTAGGACATTACAAGAAAAGAAAATTACAGACCAATATTCCTGATGAGCACAGGTGCAAAAATCCTCAACAAAATACTAGCAAACAAAATTCAACAGCACATCAAAAAGATCATTCACCATAATCCAGTGGGATTTATTTCAAGGATGCAAGGATGGTTCAATATACACAAATCTATAAATGTGATATACCACATTAGCAAAATGAAGGATAAAAACTGTATGATCATCTCAATAGATGCAGAAAAAACATTTGACAAAATTAAACACCCATTCATAATAAAAAAAAAAACTCAATAAATTAGGTATATAAGGAATGTACCTCAACACAATAAAAAGCCATATATGACAAACCCATAGCTAAAATGATACTTAATAATGAAAAGTTGAAATCTTTTATTCTAAGATTAGGAACCAGACATGGAGGCCCACTCTTGTCACTTCTATTCAACATAATGTTAAAAGTCCCAGCCAGAGCAATTTAGGCAAGAAAAAGAAAGGCATACAAATTGGAAAGGAAAAAATTAAATTGTCCCTGTTTTCAGAAGGCATGATCTTATATATACAAAACCCTAAAGACTCTGCAAAAACCCTGTTAGAAATGAATTCAAAGTTGCAGGATACAAGATCAACATAAAATCAGTAGTATTTTATACACTAACAACAAATTATCCAAAAGAGAAATCAAGAAAATAATCCCATTTACAATGGCTACAAAAAACAAATGTAGAAATAAACTTGACCAAGGAAGTAAAAGACCTGTACACTAAAGACTAGAAAATTGATGAAAGAAATTAAAGAGGACACAAATAAATGGCAAGATATCCTATGTTCATCAATTGGAATAATTAATATTGTTAAAATGTCCATACTACCCAAAGTGATCTACAAATTCAATGTAATCCCTATCAAAATTCCAATGACTTTTTTTACAGAAATGAGTAAAAATTCTAAAGTCCTATGACCCCCAAATAGCCAAAGCAATCTTGAGCAAAAAGAACAAAGCTGGAAATAACACACTACCTGACTTCAAAATATATTACAAAGCTATAGTAACCAAAACTGTTTGGTACTAGCAAAAAACAGACACATAGAGCAATCGAACGGAATAGAGAGCCTAGAAATAAATCTACACATTTGCAGTCAATTGATTTTCAACAAAAGTACCAAGAATACACAATAGGGTAAGGATAGTCTCTTCGAAAAATAGTGTTCGGACAATTGGATATTCTCATGCAGAGGAATAAGATTAGACTTTTATTCACACCATATACAAAAACCAACTCAAAATGTATTAAAGGCTTAAATATATGACCTGAAACTATAAAATCTTAGGAAAAAAATATAGGATAAAAGCTTCATGACATAAATATTATCCCAAAAGCACAGGCAACAAAACTGAAAATAGACAAATAAGATTACATCAAACTAAAAAGCTTCTGTACAGCCAAGTAAACAATCAACAGAGTGAAGAGACAATCTATGGATTGGGAGAAAATATTTACAAATCATACACCTGATAATGAGTTAATATCCAAAATATACAAAGAACTAAAATAATTCAATAACAAGAAAGCAAATAACTTGATTTTTTAAAAATGGACTTGCACAGACATTTCTCAGAAGAATAGATACAAATGGCCAACAGGTATATGAAAAAATGCTCAACATTACTAATCATCAGGTAAATGCAAATTAAAACCACAATGAGATACCACTTCACACCTGTTAAAATGGCCATTATCAAAAACACAAAAGATGGCCAGGCACAGTGGCTCATGCCTGTAATCCCAGCACTTTGGGAGGACGAGACAGATGGATCACCTGAGGCCAGGAGTTCAAGACCAGCCTGGCCAACATGGTAAAACCCTGTCTCTACGAAAAATACAAAAACTAGTCGGATGTGGTGGTGGGTGCCTGTAATCCCAGCTGCTCAGGAGGCTGAGGCAGGAGAATCACCTGAATCTGGGAGATGGAGTTTGCAGTGAGCCGAGGTTGTGCCACGCACTCCAGCCTGGGTGACAGGGTGAGACTCCATCTCAAAACAAACAAACAAACAAAACAAACAAACAAAAACCCACAAAAGGTAAGTGCTGGCAAGGGTGTGGAGAAAAAAGGATCCCTTGCACACTGTTGGTGGGAATGTAAATTAGTACAACCACTACAGAAAACAGTATGGAGGTTCTTCAAAACATTAAAAATAGAACTACCATATGATCCAACAATCTCACTACTGGGTATAAATCCAAAGGAAATTAAATGAGTACGTCAAAGAGATATCTACACTCCCATATACATTGCAGCATTATTCACAATAGCCAAAGGAGTTCAAGACCAGCCTGGCCAAGCCAAAATCCGGAATCAACCTGAAATACTATACAGCCTTAAAGAAGGAGGAAATCCTGTCATTTGCAACAACATGGGTAAACCTGGAGGACATTATGTTAAGTGAAATAAGTCAGATACAGGAAAACAAATACTGCATGATCTCACATGTGGAACCTAAAAACGTTGAACTGGTAGAAGTAAAGAGTGGAATGTTGGTTACCAGGGGCTGGGGAGGTGGGGATAGGGGTTGGTGGGGAGATATTATTGAAAGGATACAAAATATCAATTAGATAGGAGGAATAAGTAAAAGAGATTCATTGTACAACATGGTGACTATAGTTAGTAACAGTGTGTTGTATTCTTGAAAATCCCTAAGAGAATACATTTTAAATGTTCTCACCACAAGAAATAAGTATGTGAGGTAATGCATACATTAATTAACTGGATTTAGCCATTCCACAATGTATACCTATTTCAAAACATATTATACACAATAAATACATATATTTTTACTTGTCGATTAAAAAATTAATTAATTAGTAAGGTGAAAAAGACAACTACATAAAAAACATGTATATAATATTGTCTTATTTCCAATCGCAAGGCAAGTGAAAATTTTCAACAGAGGAAAAATGACCAGCTAGAGTTTTCATATCTGAAATTGGTGATAATAATCATTTAGGTTTGTTGTGAGAAATAAACTAGTTTATGTAAGTAAAACACATAAAACCGTCCCTGGCGCACAGAAATAAATGTTATCTATTAAGTTTATTATGACTAACAGCAAGACACATCAGACCAAAAGATATTTCTATAATGTGTGCCCTGTTTTCCCCAAATTTCATTAGGATTTTAAAAAGCCTCACACACTACATTTTCATCTGTTTTGTTTCTTGGAGACTTGATGTGTGATTATCTGATTTTGTCTTTTCTACATTTTCTGACTATACTGTTTATATTCCTGTTTCATTTCAGTTTTATGTTGCTGATGTTTTAGTTTATATCTGCCTGTTAGTGCAGGCAAATTTTTAGGTATCATGTTCTGCTCTTAGAGGTAAAAATAAAAAAGTGTGCTATCCACCAGAAAAAAATCAAAATAATTAGTAATTTTTCTTATTGCAATTAACAGGTTTATAGTTATTTGCCTTAGCATTTATGCCTAAGAGAAGGACCATTTATGATATTTTAACACTCATCTGGTACAGCATCACCAACCAACCAGAGCAGACAGAACTGCACAGAATGGGCACTGGCCTTAAATCCCAGTAAGCCTCTCTCTGTCTTGTTTCCCAGCTGAAGATCAGTCCTGACAAAAAGAATTTGAGAAGAGAAAAATGGACTTTTCTTTCTTCTTAGGGGTTTTAGATAGACTTTCTTTTCCCCTACCCAGAATAACTCCATTGTCAATTATTTCTTCCGAAATAGTCACAGGAATTGGAAATCACTAATAATGAAGTAGTGATTGCCATTTCTAAATTTTCAGATATTCTACCTTCTGGTATTATTTAGTTCCCTGCCACATTTCCATGGAAGTGAGAGATAATCAAGCCAGTGGCACGCATATTGGCTCAGAGAGGGACAGAAAAAATAAAATAAAATAAAATAATCAGAAAGCAGGATTCTCAGAAATTAAAAAAATATGATTGCAAAGTTTATATAAATAATGGAATAAAAAGCTGAGGAAAATCTTCCAGAACATAGAGGAAAAAGAGAAAAAATGTCAAAATTATTAAGAAAACAGGCACAAAAGACCAATCTTGGCACTGACTTTGAGGAACTGGCATCTGACTTTTGGGAGTACAAAACAGAGAACAATGAAAACCAAAGGGAATGTAATCAAGGAAATAATAGAAGAAAAGTCTCAGAACTTTCAAAATACAAGGGCTGCCAAATTCCCAGCAAGAAAAAAAAAAGAAACAGTTCTTCTGCTAAGACACCCTCACTGTGGAATTTCAGAACACCAGGAATCAGAAGATTCTAAGAGGTTCTAAAGAGAAAAAAGTAAGTCCCCTGCAAAGGAAAGAGAATCGAAGTGGTATCAGATTTCTAATTCACAATGCACAGGTGCCAAAATGCAGTACAATGAAGTCTTTAAAAAAAAATTTTTAAAGCAAATTATTTTAAACTAGAATTCTATATCAAACTAAACAACAATTTAAGTGTGAGTGCACAATAAAGACAGTTTCAGATAGTCAAGAATGAAGTTTGCCCCTATATACCCTTTCTAAGGAAGTTACTCGAATGGATCAACCCCAGAAAAACTAAGGCAAAATCCCAGACAATGGAAGATTTAAAAATAAAAATAAAAGAAATAATATAATTCATCCCGGAAATTCCTGGTTGCCTGTTGTCAGTTGACCTAGCAAGCAATTAGTCTGAATTAAAACAGAATGTCAGTGGAATCCAAGAAGAATGAAATGAATTCCCAGGGCTACAAAGAATGAGTCAAAGCTGAATGTGATAATGAAATAGATGTCTCTTCTATCAATAAAAACAACAACAAAACAATCAGAAATTTCAGGAAAAACAAAAAAGTGTACAAATAAGTCAGTCCAAATAGAAACTAAACTAAAATGTGGCATTTTTCTGAGCAATGGATGAGTAGGGGAAAGAAGACTATTTGTTCCTGATGCTAGAAACATTTTGCACTGGGGTCATAACATTGGAACTATGGAGAAGAAATGTAATCACGGCACATTGCTTAGCTCTGTAATTAACAATATTTACAAAGTCATAACGTAACCACTGTTTTCTGGTTTTCAATTTTTAGAATCAACCTATAAACAAAGCAGGGGAAACTTAATTGTGGTTACAGAGTATCTAGAATTTGGGAGGTAGGAGAGTAGAGAGGTAGAGGAAAAACACATTATGCTTCTATCTTCATCTTACAAAATGAGGAACCAAAGGTATCAGTGACTGTTGATGAAACAACAATTAGAGGTTTGTCTACAGTTACAACTGTAACTCAGAAACTAAAATAGTTAGAATTTTCAAAACTTGCAAGGGAGTGGGGGACATGAATTAAAACTTTATCTACCCTAGAAGGAAGTGGGTAGATAATGTCTACAGAGGTTGTTGATCAAGACATAGCCAATATAAACATACCATTTGGAGATGGAGTAAGAAACCACAAGTGCTAAAAACAGAAACGGTTTAAAGGCTGCCTTCTGTGGGAAGCAAAATAAGGATGGGGAGACGAGGAGCAAGGAGACTGTTTCTTTACATTATGAAACTTCTGGATGATTTGACATTTTAATCAGGTGCATGAAGCATTCTGATAAAATTTAAATTTAAGTCTTAGAAACCCATTTCACAGCCATGTAAATAGAAAAGTTGGTCACAAAATAAATGACATATTCATAATAAAGTGAGAGAAAGTAGGGGCTCAGATAGGTGAGGTGAATCATCCCAGCTCACACTGGCCTGAGGCTGGTAAGGGGCAGACTTGGAATTTGAACCCAGTTCTTCCAAGACTGAGTGCAGTGCCTGATTCACAGAGCCTTGGAAAGGGTCAAGGAGACCCAAGTGAGAAAGTGTGTTGTGAGCTGTGGAGCACAGTGCAAAGGTTGAGCACTATTTCAATTATTCCATCTGCCTGTACTCACCAGTTACCTACAAGTACTTAGTCTCTTCACTCCGGTTTGAGATTTTGTTGGGGTCCAACTGTTGTCAGTTGACCTAGCAAGCAGTTAGTCTGAATTAAAACAGAATATCAATGGAATCCAAGAAGAATGGAATGAATTCCCAGGAGTATGAAAAATGAGTAAAAGCTGAATGTAATAATGAAGGTATTTGTCTCTTCCATCAACAAAAACAACAATGAAGTAATCAGAAACTCCAGGAAAAACAAAAAAAATATATACAAATAAGTCATACCCTAAATAGAAACTAAACTAAAATGTGGCATTTTTCTGAGCAAACATAAATAGCCCACGTGACTGGCAAATGTGCCCTTTACATGTTTGAAATGTCCTAGGGGGTGGTCTGTAAAAAATGCATTGTAGCCGGGTGCGGTGGCTCACGCCTGTAATCCCAACACAGGGAGGCCGAGGCAGGTGGGTCACGAGGTTAGAAGATCGAGACCATCCTGGCTAACATGGTGAAGCCCCATCTCTACTAAAAATAAAAAAATGAGCTGGGCGTTGTGGCAGGCGCCTGTAGTCCCAGCTACTCAGGAGTCTGAGGCAGGAGAATAGCCTGAACCCCGGAGGTGGAGCTTGCAGTGAGCTGAGATCGCACCACTGCACGCCAGCCTGGGCGACAACGCGAGACTCCGTCTCAAAAAGAGAAAAAAAAATTCATTGTAAATGCAACAGCATTTATAATTAGTATGAGGCATCTCCTGTGAAAAGGAAAGAAGTCAAACCTTCTGCAAAGTGAACAGTCTTTTTGCAATAGAAGCACTCAGCTCCAGTGTATCCAGGTGCACACGTGCTTCCACCATGTTTTCTGAAGCATCTCGTTCACCCTCCGATGGGCAAATGAAATGGACCAGTGCTGTCTCAAAGCCTCCCTCCTGCCTTCTCCTTGACTTGTCTGGCTTACCCTCCTTTGCTTGGCTACCTTAAGACTTCAGCTGCTGGTATTTTGGGGGCTGATTTCTGTCCACTTGCCTAGGTTAGTGATCTAGTCCCAGTACCTTTCCAGAACTATTCACTCCTTAACAGTGATGTGTGCCCACTGAGCTAACCACTGCAGCTCTATGACAAAGACACCATCTCTCTGCCCTCCAGGGATTTAGAGTGGAAGGGAGGTATTGCCAACAGTGCAAGGACCTTCCTTTTCTACACATCTGCTCCAGGTAGGGGACTGAACTGCCCCAACTTCAGTCCTGGGCCTCACAGACTCAACCTCCTTTTTCCCTCCTCCTCCTGGAAGGAACTGGCAGAGGAAAGCCGACTTTGAGTTTCTCATCTGCCCTTAGATGTTTTGCCTATTAAAGGTGATGGTTCTCATTGTGGACCCAGCTTCTTATCGGAATTCATGGATCCCTGGTTATGCACGAAGGATTAGAATATTGCAAACTTCTACTTCCAAGGAGGGGCTTGACAGAAAGCCTCAAATACTATAATCTGGAAACATAAATCAAATACGTACAGCCATTTACATAGCTAGGAGGCCATTAGGGAAGAAACACATATTTTCCTCTGGGATGTAACATGCAATCACCTAGGTGAGCACTGAGAGATAAAATACAGACTGACAATGTTTAAGTTCAGAGGTACAGGGTACAGAGGCAAAGAGGCCCTTGCTGCCTCCTCTTCCCAACTATTGACAGAGCTTGATGTAGTTTTGAATGTTGGGCTTGATTTAGATCAAATCAGCCTGGAGGTAAGCAAACTTTGCCCACTGGTGGGGAGATAGACTGAACTGGTCAGACCACTTATCTGCGGTCATAAGTGGTTGGGTATGTTGGCGACTGTGGTGGAAAAGGCTGTCCCAGCCTTCACTTGGTGTTGATGTGAGTCCTGAGCAGGGAATCAGTTTTCTTTAAGATCTCCCTTGAGAAGCCCTGCAAGTTGCCACGAGAGCCAGTGGAAAATGAGGAATATTCTGGTTAAGGGTCACCAGTCCTCCAGGAGGCTATAGAGTTTGCAGGATACTGGGTGCCCATATGTGCAAAGCATCTACAATTCTAGACTGAATAATGAACTCATGCATATACAAACTATCATTTTCCACATGTATATATAGATGCTGTTATGATTACTAATATACAAATAATGTTAAAGCATTACTCAATTGACAGTAACACTTTATGTGGTTTCTAAAAGAACATTAAAAATACAGCCATATGTATGCCTGCAGTCCCACCTACTTGGGAGGCTGAGGCAGAAGAATCACTTCAGCCCAGGATTTCAAGGCTGCAATGAGTTACATTCGTGCCACTGCACTCCAGTCTGGGTGACAGAGTGAGACCCTATCATTTAAAAAAGAAAAAGAAAGAAAGAAAATCAAACAAACAAACATAAAAGAGCCCTAAGTCTTTTCTCTGCTCCCTCAGCTCCTAATCAGGCTTCCATAGATCCCTGCTTCCCTTCAGAGTACTTAACGCAATTTATGATTGTATTTCTGTGTGCATGACTGTTTGTTTCATGTTTGTCTCTCCCACTAGACTATAACCTTCATGAGGGCAAGAACTGCTTCTGTTTTTCTCATAAATTATATACCCAACCTTTAGACACATGACTCATACATAGTAAGTGCTCAGTAAATATTTGTTAAGCAAATGAATGAGGTGGTGAGATTGAGGGAGGGTGTCCAAGAAGTTTTTTGATAGTTAAAAAGTTTGAGGCAATATTATTTTATAAATATAACTGAGATCCAGAAAAGCCAAGAGACTAATCAAAGAGACATGTTGGTTCATTACAAATATGGGAGCAATCCCAGCTCAGTGTTCTTTTCAACATTATTGTCAATGTCTAATAACATTTTTTTTGAGCCTATACATATGTAACGTGGTGCTAGGGTAAGATGGTGAAACCCTGTCTCTACTAAAAATACAAAAAAATTAGCCAGGCATGGTGATGCGCGCCTGTAGTCCCAGCTACTCTGGAGGCTGAGGCAGGAGAATCACTTGAAGCCGGGAGGTGGAGGTTGCAGGGAGCCAAGATCGCGCCACTGCACTCCAGCCTGGGTGATAGAGTGAGACTCTATCTCAAAAAAAAAAAAAAAAACAGTGAGTGTCTGGTGGCTATATTATGCAGCATCTTGTATATTGATTGACACTTTCTTTGAATGATTTACTATAAACTATATACTTAGCTCTCTGGGGTGTATAATGGTGTCAATTGCAAACAACAGGTTACTAAAAAGAGGAAAATCTATTTTCTGCAGCCCTCTCCCCACTCCATATGCCTCTAGTCCCTTCCTGAACCTTAAGTTAGACAGTGCTATGTATGAAATGCCAGTGACTGGGGAGAACAGTTCTAGGTGCTGTGGGGGAAATACACAGGACTTAACAGGCACAGTATCCACTTTAGAGGCAAAACCAAGAAAGTCTACATTTATTTTCCTCTGTAGCTAGAATTCTTTCTCTCCAATGATCTGTTTTAGGCATTTGGCAGCTGCAGAGTTGACCTGCAAATAAATTCAACTACATTCACAGTTCCTAAAAATGACTGTGACCAGTTTACTCACATAGGTGAGAAGAAAATATTTTCAGAGAGAGCAAAGGTACATAGCAAAAAGCTGCATAAAATAAGGAGAAAAGGCTTGAGATTGTATAAATCCAACCCCAATTCTTGGCTATTACAAAGCTACAGTCACTGGGTTAGGAAGGAAAATCTCAACACGCAGCCTCCATGGGACACTGCCAGCAGCCTGTGGGGCACAGCCCTGCCCTTCTCTAGTGATTGCCCATTGCCATTGCTTGACAAGTAATATTTAAAAACTCTAATGCTACTCTCAATCAACTGGGACTTTCGGTGCTGGAGGTCCCAGCTGGAAAATAGGGTGACCATATTTCAACCAGAAAAAAACATGTTTTAAATAAAATTTCCTCTTCCTTTGTTTGTTAACAGCAACAGGACCCCTAAAAGGGCTTTTCTCAGGTCACTTAGTTTAGCGTACTTGGAGAAAGCCTCGGGAAAGGGAGTGGTATCAGTAATTGGGCTGCTTGTGAGGGTGAATGTCTTGCTTACCTGGCTATGGGCTGCAATAATTCGTCTTTCTGAAAGGGCATTCAGCCTTATCTCCCTCTGCTCTGTGCCAGAAGCTGTACTGGTCATTTTACCTGTGACAATCCATTTATTCTACCCAGCCATCCAGTGAGAGACTTACCATTCTTTTCGTCTTGCAGATTTAAGAATAAACAGTTTCAAAAATGCTAAAGTTCCTCACCCAAGGTCACACAGCTAGTACAGAGTGGAGGCAAGACTTGAAGCCATAATCTTATCCAGTATTACAAAGCTAAGGTCTACTCACAGGCAAGAATTGTGTGTACATCTAGAGAGAAGCCCTCCTATCCACCATGACAAGGTAGCACTGTAACAGATGTTGGGGGGCACATGAGCTTCTCACTGAGGAGCCCAGGGGGTGCTCTTCCAGGCAGAGCCCTGCCTTGGTTCTTCTGCAGGAGAAAGCAGATCCGTGACAGACACACAAGGTCCACTCTTCAGACCTTTCTGTGGAGCTGCAATATGTTCTGTTGCATGTTTCCCGAATTATTTGTAACAGGCAGCTGCAGTAGGTCAGAATCTCAGAGGTGTTTCTGAGATTCCAGACAGGGTGGGGGCTGCCACCCTGCTCTCTGGATGGGAATAATACAATTTACAAATGTGGAGCATCTGGGGAATTTAGGAGCTAAAAAGAGGAGCTTCTGGAGGGAAGTGGCTAAGATTCTTGGGCCTTCATGGTGTCAGGGAACAGTTTCAAGGATGTTTTACTTTTGCCATTGAGCTAATCATAAAGCAGCCATCTATTGACAGTTATTGTAGGCTCCAGGTACTGTGCGAAGGACCCTTGACGGGTATTAAACTCATACATTCCATCAGTTCCAGTGGCATTCAATCATGAGCCATTTAATCATGGCTCAACCATGCTGAGAGCTAGGGATCAGCAGCCACATTTTACAGATGAGGAAATGGAGGCTCCAGGATAATAACTTGCCCAAGTTTTCATAGCTTTAAGACCAAGTGAGGATTCAGACCCAGGCTATTTGAAGCAAACTTCATGTTTTTAACAACAACAATATGCTGCCTCTAATGAATTTATTCAGACGCTAATAAATATAGTAGACAGGCTTTTCTCCACCCTATACCCTACCCACCAAATGTTTGGCCAATTAAAATAGTTGAGTTCACTTATAAGGGGAACGGGAAAACAGCATTTGGGCTTGTCCCAGTTACATGAATTAATTCTGTCTTGGGGTTCTGATGGCAGCATAAACCAAAGAGCCCAGAATCCCATGATGAAATTATATCGTTAAAGCCCTTGGCGGCTTAGCTATTATTTTATGTAAAATATATGCATAGCTTCTGAGAATCCCTTTCCACCAGCAAACAGAATGAAAAATATATATATATATATATATACATTACTAATGACAGGATTCTCGGCTATCATGCCGTTATTTACGTGACATTATTGATAGGAATGTTGCTTGTTTGGAATCTGGAAGGTAAACAGAGTTTCAAATTTCAATCCTCTGTTGTGGAAAATAATAACCTTGGTGCATGGCCATGCAAATTAAGGAACTCTGAAACCTCAAGCCTCCAATCACAGCACTCCAGACACCAACATTCCAAACACGTCTGTCTCTCCAAAGAGAGCCAGGTTCATGCCACAGAATCTTTCCAGAGCCAGCATCAAAGGCTGTGTCAGGCTCAGTATTTGGGACCTCTCCTTGCAGCCGCAGTCCCAACGTGGGGTGGGGTCAGCGAGGGCAAATAACTAAATAGTTTTCTCCAAAACGCCATAGTTGGAATTCCCTCTCCTGGCCCGGGCTCCTTGCGTCCCCTCCCCGGCTGCCACACATTTCCTAGCGTCGCGGAGTCCTCTGGGCCCAGCGCCTGGCGGGCCTCACCCGACCCACCTGCTGCGCACGGCGTTGCCCAGCCCAGGCATTAAAGAACTTTCCTGCCGCAGAGAACCGAGCCCGAGACACGCCCTGGCTATCTATAGAAAATCCCTTTGGGGGTTCTGCTGACAAGTCACTCGAGATCCCTCCTTGGGCCTCATTATGTCACAGGAACCCTGGCTGGAATGCGGAGGATTAAATTCCTAACCCCTCCCTGTCGGCTGGGCCCGGAGGGAGGGAAGCCAGGAGCTCAGCGCCCACCTGGGCTCTCAGGCGCCCCCTATTGAACGTTCCTGTCCCTCTGGCCCCGACGGCTGCAGCGGCTCCGCGCGGGAGTCCAAGCCTGCTAAAGCCCTGGGGCTGCAGGCAGCAGGGAGGACCGAGGTCCCAAGGCCCTGTGCATTCTTACAGCATCCCGGGGACACGGAAGGGAGAGTGAGAACACAGACTTGATCCTCAGGCCGGCTCTAAATCCAGCTCCCCACGTGGATTTGGGCAAGTCGCTAATCCCTCTGGGCCGTGGTTTCCTCTCCCTAAGAGCACCTGATACATAAAATCATGAACTTTACTGCTAGAGGGGGAAGCCAGGGAGCGGAAGCTACGGAGGTTGTTGAGTTCTCAGCAGGTGCTGATGCATGGGGGGGTCACGGTCCCATGCTCCCTGAATGAGGACAGTAAAGAGCAGAGAAACACTTCAGATGCGGGCTAATTCTTTGTAAAAGGCCAGGTTACTTAAACCTAACTACCCTCTGTGTCCTTCATCCCTAATATAGGAGTACTAATGCTACCTACCACATAGGTTTGTTGTGACAAAAATGCATAAAGGACTTAATGACACATGAAAGGGTTAATGCACATAGGGGAATTCAAATGGTGCCTGTAAGCCACCTATTATTTTATTATTATCATTATTATTATTATATTACAAAAGAGTCACCTACTACCGTTCTTATTATAAGCCCTAAAGCTTTTGTAAACACAATGCTTTGAAAAGACCATTAATGTTGGTAGCATTTATTGCACGTTTATTACATGCTAGTCATTTTGCTGAGCACTTTTAGAAATCTATTTTATTTCTAAAACAGCCCTGTGCAGTAAGCACTATCACTGCCATCTTTTAGCAGGTGAAGAACCTGAGCTTTTCGTGAGCTGCCCCTGGTCAAAGAGCTGTAAGTGACTGGGCCAGCCACGGTCATTCCCCTTCCATCATGGGGTGCTGGTTCGGGCTGGATTCCACTCTTGCTCTTTGAACTTGCACACGTCCTTGACCTGTCTGTGTCTCATGTGGAGATAAAGGGCAGGTATTATTTTCTTCATGCTATTGTCGTGAAGAAAGTGCTGTGTAAACTGTGACGTTCCCCCCAGAAATGGGAGGACTTTGATCACTACACAGGAAGACAAGTCAAAGGAGAGAATAGAAAGTCACAGTCCCGGGGAGCCTGTGTCTTCCTGGAATTGTCTTGGTCCTCAGAGAAGTAGAAGGAACTAACTACAGGGACATAGGACACATTTGATCTGAGCCAAGAGCCCAGGGAGGCTCTTGTAGACCTGGGGGGGCCACTTGTGCTCTGAAAACTTGCAGGTTCAGAACCCGTCAGATCTCCTTGAGTCTTTCAATGACACACAAATAGACACACACAGACACACACACACACACACTGATGCTGTCAGTAATAATGCATCACCGGACTTCCACCTTAGCAGAGTAAGTGAAACATGTAAACAAATAATAAATTATGTCTGAGCCAATGGGGCGTAGAAGCAGTAACTATAAAATACTGCCCAGGGGGGAGAAAGTGTACTGAGACTGTGACAGAACACCCCAAAGTCATTGCCAACAGCATTATTTCATGACCTGAGTAAGCTGGCAGAGTTGTTACTTCTTGAAAGGAGACTTTGTCTTTTTCCTTTTTCTTAGACATCTGATTTTTATTCTCCTTTAAACAATGCAAATCTTTCCTTCTGAAGGGATCTTGGAAAGCAGATTCCTTCCATTGCTTTAAAGGGAATTCAAGTTGGACAGAGTGAAGGCATTCTGGTGGCAGGGCTGTAAGCAGTGCTGATTTGTCAAGGCGGGCTGTCACACATCATTTCTCTGCAGGCTTGGAGATGCAGTGCAGACCTTGGTTCCTGGATGGAAGAGACACTTCTCATGGTCAAGCCTCCCCGGGCCCCAGGTTGAGAGGTGATGCTGCATAGGGGACGAGAGCAAAGGTCCCCAAAGTGGGGCATCCTCAAGGGCACCACCTCCGAACAACCCACGGGAAGAAAGAAGAGGAAAGAAGGAATTGGAAGGGGAGGGGAGGGGAAGGAAAGGGTGAGGAAGAAAGGAAAGGAAGAAGGAGGAAGGGAAGGAGGAAGAAACGAAAGATTAAAACTCTTTATATTTACTGTAATATCATCATTACAAAACCATTTTTTTGTTAAAAGTTTAAATGTATATAAAAGTAGAACCATATAATGAACCTCCCATATACCCATGTTCCCACCATTCAACTTCAAAAATTACCAACTCCAAGGCCAGTCTTATTTCCCCTATTTACCCACCTACTTGTCCCCCCTGCTCCTTTATTTTGTTATCTAAGACAGCAAACACTAACTCATTACATCTGTAAATATTTCAATATATGGGCCTAAAAAACATGCCCTCTCTTTCTAAAACTTGAACCACAACATCATTATAGTCCAAAAACATCAATAATTAGCCCACAATATAACTGAATATCCAATCAGTGCTCATATTTCCTTGATTTTCCTAAAAATTTTTTTTACAGTTTGAGTTGGGATCCAAACAAAGTCCACACATTGTGATACATAAATATGTCCCTCAGGTCTCTTTTAATCTATTGCTCCCTCTCTCAATCTCTCATTCTCTATTTTTGCAAATTTTTTTTTTTTGGTTGAAAAACTTGGGTTGCTTTTCTTGGTTAATCTACAGGCTAGATTCTGCTGATTATGTTCCCATGGTATCATTTATCATGTGCCTCCATCCCCTGTACTTTCTGTAAATGGGAAATCAAGAGGCTCCATCAGGTTCATATTAAATCTTTCTGACAAGAACATTTTGCAATTGGTGTTATGGACATCTGTTGGGGGAACGTAATGTCTGCTTGTCTCTTTTTTTGTGATAGCAATCATTATCAAATACCTTGTTCACTACCACTTACAAAGTGTGGTGTCCTATGGTATCCTCATTCTATCTATGTGTCTTCACTTATTAGTTGGAATACTTCTTTAAGAGAATCTTCTCATCGTCTATTTGCTAATCCAGGGACACAATTCTTACAGGAAGGGCAGAACAAATGCTTCTTTTTCTTTACCAGTTTTCAAAGTAATTAGTTGGTCATCTAGTATTCTCTAAAAGTGATCACCAAGGTATCTTTTTAGTATCATAATAAGCATATAAATTTGAAAAAAATACACACACACACACACACACACCCCTAAAATGTGGTTTAATCAATCGCAGTTTGCTCAAAATGTCCCATGTTTAGCCAATGGAAACCTCTTCAGGTTGGTTCCCACATCCTTTTGACAGGACCCAATAATAATTGATAGATTCCTGGCTTTCTGTATGACAAAATGTTCCAGGTGCACTTCCCAGACTAAAAATTAGACACTTCTCCCAAGACCTAGTTTCTTTTAGTGAGAGACCACAATCTATATTTAGGGTATTATCCTTTAATTTCTATTTTTTGTAGTTTATGTTTTATAATGCACTTAATATATTAATAATATGGTAAATACATATAAGTTAGAAATGGCAAACAAAGACATATATTTTCTGAAAGGGATGCCCGATACAGAAAGTTTAGAGGCTACTTATTTAGTGCATAGGGCTTGGAAGCATGCTAAAATTATGATCCTGGGCCCTCTTTCTTTCTAGCTGTTTGGTCTTGCTCAGGTTCTTTTTTTTCTCTCTGACCTTCAGTTTCTTCAAGTATACAATTAACGTAGTAATAGCTACTTCATGGAATGTTGTGATGACCAGATAAGATAGATGGATGATTGATAGATAATTGTAACTAGATAAATAGATGACAGATAGATATATACATAGATACATAGATATATACACAGACAGATAGACATATAGATACATACACATCCCAGCCTCACTCAGTAAATGGGAGCGACTCGTAATATATCAACAATGTTGACAGAGCCCTTCTCATACAGAAAGTTCTGTGCCTGCCCTCGAGGAGCTTGCAAACCTCGAGGAATAGAGAAGCATCATGCACAGAAAACACAGGTAGCCTCTGTCTTTCCAAGGTCGTAATGAGCAATATGCCAGGCCAGTCTTTTGAAATTCAGAGGAGAGTGCTCTCTGGAACCTCGAGAGTTCTGGAAGTCTTTGTGAGGATGATGGGACTTTAGCTTGCCCTGAAGTCTGGCCTGGGGAGGTAGGAGTGGGATAGGGCATGCAGGGAGGGGATTTTAGGGTGGGGGAGACGGCCAGATCCTGGAAAAAGAGGAGGCAACAAAGTAGCAGTAAAAAGAGAAGCTACTGCCGAAAACAGTTCCAGGAAAGGAAAGAAGGATTGCTCCGCAGTGTCCAGCCCTCCACAGAGGCAAACAGAGGAAGACAGAGAACAGGCCCCTGATGATTTTAAGAGGACCAATTTTGTCTCAGTAGTAAAGGTAAGATGGACTGTAGCTGGTGGGTGGGGGCGGTGGGGAAGTGAAAGGGCTCTTGGTGGTTGGTTTGTAAAAGAGCAAAGCAACCAAGGCACTGGAAACCTGCAGTGTGACCCAAAAACACACAGGCTACCCGAGCAGGTGGCAGGCATCTCTCCACCAGGAGGGAGACGCTGGAGGAAAATAGAGACTTTTAAAATGGCTTTGATGACCCAAACCCCAGGAACTGTGAAGACTAGGTTGGCAGCAATAAAGCAAACACTAGGAATAAATGAAACAGTGCTTGCCTCTAAAAACCCTGGGGAGACCCTGGCTCCTGTTTTGAGCTGGGCTGTGTCAGGAGCTCACATGTTCAGAAGCTGATTATGTGCTAGGCACTGTGTTGAGCCTTTAAAATACATACTTCCATTTAGTCCTCACAGTCAGCCTCGAAGGTAGAGAAAGTGTTCCCATTTAACAGATGAGGACACTGAGGGTATGGGAAGTCTAGAATTTATTTAAAGTTAAACACAAACTGGAGGTGATATGCAAACTCAGGTCTTTCCTTAAAACCCACACTCTTCCTACTACTACTGACTGCCCCTTACAGAAAGGATGGGATTCACTCATTGAGCACATAGTCCTCAATCACTCATGGTGTGAGCTCCTGTTTACCACACCTTTGGGATATGCCAGGCATGTTTTATGTTTTTTTACATGTGCTAACTCATGTAATCCTCACATGCCTTATGAAAAGCTCTTCTATTAATATTATTCTCATTTTGGAAATGGAGGCACAGAGAGGTTAAATAACCTACCTAAGGTCACGCAGAATAAACAGTGCAAGGATTCAAATCTAGGCAGCCTGGATCCAGAGCCCACATACTTAACCTTAATACTCATGCTGGACTGGGTGCGGTGGCTCATGCCTGTAATCCCATCACTTTGGGAGGCAGATCACTTGAGGCCAGAGGTTTGAAACCAGCCTGGCCAACATGGAGAAACCCTGTCTCTACTAAAAATTCAAAAATTAGCCAAGTGTGGTGGTGGGCACCTGTAATCCCAGTTACTCAGGAGGCTGAGGCAAAAGAATCGCTTGAGCCCCGGAGGCAAAGGCTGCAGCTGCAGTGAGCCGAGATCACACCACTACACTCCGGCCTGGGCAACAGAACGAGACTCCATTTGGAAAAAAAAAAAAAAAAAAAGCCGAAAACACCAAAGAAACAAAAACTCACGCTGTATTCTGCATCCCAGTGGATGTCCCTGTGTGCCAGGCTTCTTCTCCATCCTAATGTTTCCTGTCTAATGTGCCCACTGGAGAGGCTCTCTGGATGGGAAAGCTGACGCCACTGAAATTTTCTGGGAACAGAAGGCCAGAGGTGGTGGGTGGGAAGCTTTTGTGGCTGTCAGTTCTATGCTAATGACATCTGCTTCTTGGCAGGGGCACCTCTGATCCTAAGGTGAGATTAGTTCAGTCCCTTTCAGCACCTGGTTTTGGGATCTGAGAAGTCTGAATGTTAGGGGTAACAGTGCATGGACCAGGGAGGCAACTCACCCAACTACTCTGCTGTCCAAATAATTTTTTTTTAATTAAAAACTCCTCTTGGGAGATTATAGGGAGAGCACAAGCAGGTGGTGCTAAGAGTGAGAAAAATCTTCTCTGTCCCTTGGGGAATGACTAAGAGCAATGCCTATTCTACTGAGATTTGCAGTTCAATTTATCTTCCTTAAATGACCACATAGGAAAATGATCACAGCAGCGAAGCGACATTAGAAATGTGGAATGGATAAATAAAACTTTGGATGAGCGCACCGGCTGCTGAACCCATTTGAAAAATGGAGATCTGAGAAGCACACAGACTGAACTGTGAGAAGCCCTTGGAAGGAAGGTGTCGGAACAAATGTCAAATGTTTATCTGGACTAAAAGATAAACTGATGTGCACAAGCCCTCAGGCCCTTGCAGGTTTCCTTCTTCATGGGCAAGGCTGTGGTTTCCATAGGTCATTTCCCTGCAGTGGTTATAGCTGCTTTTAGCATAAGCCAAGAATCACCGTCGTTGGAGGTGGAAGGGGGCCTTTGGGGTCACACTGTATAGTCTGACCATCTCACTTTGCAAATGAGGATCTCAAAAGATAAAGTGACATGAGAGATGAAATGACATGGCCTGGTATTCCACGTGCATTTTCTTGGAGGATGTTTATAAAAATCAAACCAGTCGTCAGATTGGAATGTAGGCTACGTAGCAGCAGCCACTAACATCAGCAAACTCGACGACGTTCCAGATACTCGTGAGCTTTCTACGTACATGATCTCATGTAGTCTTCACAATGACCTGACGAGATTGGAACTAATATAGCCTGTATTTTCCTAGATGAGGACATCTAGGCCTGGAGAGATTCAGTGGCCTAACCGAGGTCACACTGCTAGGAAATGAGAGAGCCACGTCTCAACCCAGCCCTGGTACCACATCCCATGGAAACCCTGCTCTGCTGCCTTCTAACAAGACAAGAGTAGGAAAATGGTCAAAGGAACCAGATGTCCCTCATGGGAATATTATTCTACAATTCAAAATCATTATAAAATCCATGTACGAATATGGTAAATGTTTATTACTTAGTGTTTAGTGAAAATGCAATACTCGATGCAAAAATATTCAGAAGAAAAATGAAAGAACACTTAAACACCAACAGTTGCTGACTAGTGTGGAAAGCTCTTTTTTCTTCTGATTTTTCCCTTTTTGAATTTTCTATAATGTGGTATAGGTCTTTTGTAGTGAACAAATAAATGTAATCATTTTTCTTTAAACAACTATCACTGTGCTCACAGAATCGATAAGAAAAAGACTAAAATGAATGGTAATATATTTTCCTTTCCTTGGCAATAAAAACTAATAAGTAATTGATTTGCACCAAGAGATAGAAGATCATT
The DNA here is from genome assembly GCF_000001405.40 of Homo sapiens. Classification (NCBI taxonomy): domain Eukaryota; kingdom Metazoa; phylum Chordata; class Mammalia; order Primates; family Hominidae; genus Homo; species Homo sapiens. The sequence goes on along the minus strand of NC_000004.12, from coordinate 152,038,662 downwards.
TTACAAAGTCCATACACAACACAAGTCCCTTTTCACGTTTCATCAGATGCAACAGAAACTAAAATTCCAAGAATTTAAGTTTTGAAGCTACCCTATTTTTGTGACTTGCGTAGCCTAGTCTATTAATAAAAGGAGATAACCTTGCTATGTTTACCAGCATAGTGACTAATCATTCTTTCCTTCTGTCTGTAGCTGAGTTCCAGCCAACATTAAGACTCATGGACACATTGGGTTGGAAGGTTGCTTACTGTTCACCTTCCACACACTCAGGCACAGAGAGGTGAAATCACTTGCTCAACGTCTTGTGAGTCTAAATATTTAAATGCTGAAAATAAACTCTCAGCTCCTCAAGGGCAAGACCCATTCTTTATGGTGCCAATCCCAGCACCCAGGGCAGAAGGCTTCCTTTACTAGATGAGTTAAAATCTTAGTGAGGGGCCAGGATGAAAAGTCCAGTTCAATACACAGAGGCGATGGAAGAAGTGGCTCACAGTCACTAAGCACTTCTTAAGTGCCAAGGACTATGCTGAATACCTTACAGGATTCACTTACAGGGGCTATTCACTAAATAATCCTGTGGTAGTGGTAATATTATTTCTGTGCTGAGAAAAATGTGCCAACCTGAGCCCCTTGCCCAAAGCCATAGAGCTAGCTGGTGATGGGGTCAAGATTTTAACCTAAATTTCAGAGCCAGTCCTTTTAGCCCGACTGGGACTCACAGCACCAACTCAAGCCCTTAGGCAGGTTTTCATTCCCAAAGAGTTCAGAAACTTGCCCGAAGGAAGAAGGGGAACTAGACTGAGTGCCAAATGTCTGTAGGCCTGAAACATGACCAACATATTTGTTGCAATTCAGTAAACCTTAAAATGACCACCTCATAAAAACCAATCCGTGCCTCTTCCACTCTTCTCCATACTCAAGCTTGCCTCCAAGTAAAATAAGTTGTATTAGCCTGTGGTCAACTTGCTCTTAGTTACTTAGGGTGGGCACTCATTTTTAATAGAACTTGTGTTCAAATGTAAACATGCTAACTCAGCATTCATTCAATGTACATATCTCAAGTTTCAGGCCTGTGCAAGGCATGAGGTAAGGATGTGGTAGCAAAGTTCTTTTTTAATATAGCATCTGACCTCAAGATTTTTTTTTTTTTTTTTGAAATGGAGTCTCACTCTGTTGTCTAGGCTGGAATGCAGTGGCACAATCTCAGCCTACTACAAACTCCACCTCCCAAGTTCAAGCGATTCTCCTGCCTCAGCCTCCCAAGTAGCTGGGATTACAGGCGTCCACCACCACACCCAGCTAATTTTTGTATTTTTAGTAGAGATGGGGTTTCACCATGTTGGTCAGGCTGGTCTTGAACTCCTGACCTCAGGTGATCCACCTGCCTCAGCCTCCCAAAGTGCTGAGATTACAGGCGTGAGCCACCACGCCTGGCTGACCTCAAGAATTTTTAAATCCATCAGCTTTCACTGTGAGCCAGATGGATTCAAAGGAGGCCAATAGGTGATGCCTTTGCTGTTGTTCATTAATAGTGAGGATTGCATGCTCATATGTTTGCCAGAGGAATTATGTAAATATTTGTATATTCTAATACCCATCAAGGTGGGCCTCAACTCCCTGCACTGAAAAGACTGAGTTCTGTTTCCTCTGTTAAAATTAAGTGGTCCTGGTTGAATTCAGGGTACACTGTCTTAACCAGTCAATGTGTAGAGCCAGTAAAATTGGCATCGAAGGAAAGAAAGAGAAAGGAACAAGCAGACATAAGATAACTGAGAAACACACATTTGGGAAACAAATGGATCAAGAACAGGCTTTGGAGCCAGTCAGGTCTGAGTCAGAATCTTGGCTCCACCAATCCCTGGCTATGTGACCTTGGTATATCCTGTAGTTATTTTCAGATTCCATTTCAAATCACTAAAATGATATACTAATGCCTCACTTGCAAGATTATTCAATTTGTGATAAAATAGATGAAAGGTCTAGCACAGTGCCTGGCATCTTGCAATGCCAATGTGTGGTAATTGTCACTTTTATTTAAAATCACTGGGGATTTCCACTAACACTTGGCATGTCTCAGTTGTAAATTAAGTAGAGGACCTCCCAAAGTGAGAAAACATAATTTCTTAAAGTGAAATCAGCAATCAGCTCAGCAGTATTTATGAAGTGTCTTTTGGTAGATATCACTGGCGTGGACTCGGGGCGGGTTGTTGGAAAGCAGGATGTACTATGGAGCGTATTTTTTTCAACAATGGTGAGAAAATAAAAATGCAAATTAAAATGAAAACAGAACTAAAAAAACTTATTTTCAAAACACTAAGCTAGGCCTCCATGGAAAAAGAAAATGAAATCACCAACTTGGTTTGGCTCCAAAGGCAAACTATAAATGAACACAGGTATCCAATCATCACCAAGGGTTGATCATCTAACGATGCACTAGAGCAAGGTGTAGTTAATGTAATGCAAGCTGCTGTAACAGACAACCCCCCAAAGTCCAAAAGGCTTAACACAGTAAATGTTCCCTTCTTGTTGCATAAAGTCTAACAAACTGAGCATGGGATGGATGGAAAGGACCTCTCTGCTCCATGTAGTCACACAGCTCCCAAAATGAGCAAGTCTCTGCCATCTACAACAAGTGGCTTCCAATGCTGCCCTGGCATTCACATCCAGCCTACAGCTGGGGAAGCAAGACAGAATTGAATGTGGTAAGTTTTCATGGGTCAGGCCTGGAGAACACACATATTACTTTTGCCTCCACATTTCTTGGCTGAAATTGAATCACACCTAACTGCAAAGGAGGCTGGGAAAACAATCTCTTTGCATTCTTAGGAAGAAATGGAAATCGGTGTTTGGAACAACAATTGATCTGCCATGCAGGGCACTTGCAAACTCCAGGAGCACTCCCCGCAGTGTTTGGGAAACCTAAGACCTGCTCTTCCTTGCCTTCATTCTTAAAACTCATCTCAAGTATCTAGTCCCCAGGTTCATGGTGCTCAGGCATATTTCACACAGCACAGTAATGAAATAGAGGAAAATAAAATATTGGGGGGGAAAGATAACAAGGACTCTAAAAGGGAAAAAAATCAAATAAAATTTACACTAAGAGGGAAAAATAGACATCCACCTTTTCTGCTCACATAAGACTGAAGATGAAGGCCGTGTAAAAGAAACTGAGTCAGGATTCACGCCACTGCACTGGCAGATTTTGTCATGTTTTGACAGAGCTAAATTTAAGCCAGACCTTGCTTCTTATGCAAAAAAAGAGTGTTTGATTGATTACTTTGGTGTTATGATTCCTGAACGTTGTGACTCGAGCCTACATTGCCAAATAATACCATTCGTAATGATCTTATCTTGTTCTGGGAGATCTTAGTTCTTAGAGTTTATTGACTTCAGAGGTATGGCATCCTTCATCAGCATCTCTGAACCAAGCACGCACTATTCTCATTGGTCTGTCATTGGGCCACTGCTTCTACTGGGCCCCATGTGACTCAGTCCAAAAGAGGCTGAGGCCCTTGTGTCCTGTCTCACCGTCCACATCCTTCTACCTTCCTGCAAAAACTGCTTTGAGGATTATGTCATCTAAGCTTCCAATTTTTTTCATAACAACCCACAATAAGAAATGCATTTTACATTTTGACCCAGTATGCACACACACATACACACACACACAATTAAAACAAAGGTTTCTCAAACATTCTTTTTGTTAAGAATGATGCATTGGGCCGGGCACCGTGGCTCATGCCTGTAATCCAAGCACTTAGGGAGGCTGAGGTGGGCAGATCACAAGGTCAGGAGTTCGAGACCAGCCTGGCCAAAATGGTGACACCCCATCTCTACTAAAAATACAAAAATTAGCCAATTAGCCGGGCATGGTGGTGCACTCCTATAGTCTCAGCTACTTGGGAGGCTGAGGCAGAAGAATTGCTTGAACCCAGGAGGCGGAGGTTGCAGTGAGCTGAGATCATGCCACTGCACTCCAGCCTGGGGGACAGAGGGAGACTCCATCACAAAAAAAAAAAAAATGCATTGATAATTTCTATTTTGTTCTATTTCCTTCCACTAAAAAACAAACAAATGCTCCTTGGGACCCACTAAATTGTTTGATTGTTTGGGCAAACCCCCTTCAGTTGGTTGCCATGGCTGTGGTCTATCACTAGCCTACCATTTTTTTTTTTCCTTTTGAGATGGAGTCTTACTCTGTCACCTAGGCTGGAGTGCAGTGGCACAATCTCAGCTCACTGCAACCTCTGCCTCCTGGGTTCAAGCAATTCTCGTGCCTCAGCCTCCCAAGTAGCTGGGATTACAGGTGCATTCCACCACGCCTTGCTAATTTTTGTATTTTTAGTAGAAACGGGGTTTTACCATATTGGTCAGGCTGGTCTTGAACTCCTGACCTCAGCTGATTCACCCACCTCAGCCTCCCAAAGTGCTGGGATTACAAGTGTGAGCCACCGTGCCCAGCCATGTCACTAGCCTACCTTAATGGAATTATTTCTTCTCTTCTTGAAGCCAGTGAACATCACCTCTGCTCCACTTTACCCATCTTCTCCTAAAACCACACCCTTGGCTTTTCTCTGCTTCACCTTTCAAATTCATAACTCCCATATTTCACCTGGACCTCAGTCTCCTTTTCTCCCAGCTGTCCCCCAACCCTCTTTCTCCACCTTGCCCATACTTCAGGCTTATCAGGAACTTCAGACCTCTACTCTTCCATTGCTCCCCTTATCAGAATCTTCCTGGTTTTGCTTCCTCATTAGTCTACACAGGCCCCATGATCGCAGCCTCCTGATCTGCCCACCAGTTTACCACTTGGCATAAGACATTTTGGTTCTGTCCTCCAGCTAACCGAGCCTGCAGCTTGGCCATCAGCCCAATGGGTCGGCCCAGAAAGTGTACACATTCGTGTCAGGACCAGGCTTATCATTTAGGGATGACGTCTACCCTGATTCACCACTAGTCATTTATTCCTTAGCCCACTGTAATCTTCCTACATCCAATCCCTCTGCACTACCTTATAGACTGTGACAAGTACGCATACTTTTTTAGTCCTTATTTTACCCTCTCTGCAGCCTCTGAAATCACTGACCTCCTTCAAAAACTCCCCCCTCTACTTTGATGCCTACCTTGTCCCTAGCTCTCCTTCTTTCTCTCTCACCACTCTTTTTCAAGCTTCTTCATAAATTCCTCCTCTTTTCTCTACCCCTTAACTGCTGGTGTCCTGGAATTTCTCCTCTTCTCATCATACTCTGCAACATCCCTGGTCAAACCCGTCCACACCCATGATTTCCACTACCATCTCTATGATGATGATTCTCATAAATGTACCCTAAGTCCTCATCGCTTTGTGGGGTTCTTATCTATTGTCTGCTGTACAACCCCCCACATCCTGGATGTCTCGTACACCCTTTCAAACTCAAATGCCCCAAACTGAAGTGAATCTTTCTCCCTACTTAATGCTTTCCCATGCTTCCTCATTGCATTTAGAAGAAAATCAATAATTATTGCTATGGTCTTCAAGGCTCTGGGGTTTAAGTGACCTAGCCTCTAGCTCCCTTCTCTGCCTCATCATCTAGATTCCTCATGACTCACTCTGCACAAGCCAAGCTGGCGTCCTTGCTATTCTTCCAGTAAGTCAAGGATGCTTTTTTCACAGTGCTTTGGCCTGGTTGTTCTCTCTGCCTGTAATGCTATTGCCTCAGATCAGACAGCCACAAACCTCTCTCCTTCACTTCACTTAGGTTTTTGCAGACATGTCAGCTGCTCACAGAAGCTTCTCTGATCAGCCTATCTAAAATACTACCCCCATCACTGTCACTCTCCATCCCCTTACCCTGCTTTATTTCTCTTCAAAGCAATTATCACCTCCTTCCATGAATGTGTTCATTGTCTGTTTACCATTCCTGGAATATGTTTCTTTATTTAGCTGAATCCTTGGCACCTAGAACAGTTCTTGAAACAGAGTGAGGGCTTAATAAATAATTGAATGAATAAATAATTTATCTCCTCCCCCTCTCCTTCCTCAGCCTCAAACTCTGCTTTCTCCAGGGTTCTAGGTAAAAGATACATTATTCTCCCAGTCATGGCTCAAACCAGAAGCCTGGCCTTTGGTCTCGTCTCCTCCCTCTCCTCTCCCCACACATCCCATCTGTCACACTCCCAGTGACTCTTTCTAAATCTCTCTCCCATTGCATTTGATTCACCATCCTCACTGCCATGGCCTTAGTTCAGTGTCATGGATCCCCCTGAATTTTGATGAAAGCTATGTATTCACTTTTCAGGAAAACACACACAAATACATTTTCACACAAAAATTTCTAGATTCTCCAAAGCCCAGTGAGACCCTGTGATGGTTAATATTGAGTGTCAACTTGATTGGATTGAAGGATGCAAAGTATTGTTTCTGGGTGTGTTTGTGAAAGTGTTGCCAAAGGAAATTAACATTTGAGTCAGTGGACTGGGAGAGGCAGACCAACCCTCAATCTGGGTGGGCACCATCTAATCAGCTGCCAGCACAGCTAAGATAAAAGGAGGCAGAGGAATTTGGAAGGACTAGACTGGCCTAATGTGGAAGGAGTAGATTGGTCTGAGTCTTTCGGCCTTCCTCTTTCTCCCATGCTGGATGCTTCCTTCCCTAGAACATCAGACTCCAAGTTCTTGAGCTTTTGGACTCTTGGACTTAACAACAGTTAAGACTGAAGGCTGCACAGTAGACTTCGCTACTTTTGGGGTTTGGGGACTGACTTCCTTGCTTCTCAACTTGCTGACAGCTTATTGTGGGACTTCACCCGTGATCATGTGAGTCAATACTCCTTAATAAACTCCCTTCATATATACATCTCTCCTATTGGTTCTGTCCCTCTAGAGAACCCTGACTAATACAGACCCCCTTCTCTGGGTGCTTCTTTGTCCAAGGATAAAAATCTCTGGCTCAAGCTTCATTATGTCTCACCTGGATACCTATAACAGGTATCCCTGCCACTCACCCTACCCCTCTTTTGATCTGTTCTCCACAGGAGCTGTCCAAGTAATATTTTAACAGAGCAGGTTTGTTCATGGTCTTTCGCGTGTCCTCTGTAACACCTGTCAGTGGTTCTCCATCACCTTAAGAATAAATGCCTGAATCATCTATGTGGTAACACAGTGCTGCTATCCCCCAGCCTCAGCCCCTTTGCACTCGTATCCACACTTGGCTGAAATCATTCTGAAAGGCCACTCTTTCAGATCTCTGTGCCTTTGAACATGGTGGTCCTTTACCCTTTCTGAGTCCTCACCTACCATCTGCTTGGCTACCTGCCACTCATCTTCCCCCAAACAGCTCAAGGGTTATCATGAAAGTACTCCCTGATCTCCTGGGGCTTAGGGGCCTCTCCTCAGATCACATCGTATTGTGATCATCATTTTGTCAGTTCCTTTGCCAGGAGGTGCATCATTGAGGCTGTCTTGTTAATATCTGTGGCACATAGTAGGTGCTCAGTAAAGGTATGTTGAATGACTGAATGGAATATTCAGGTGAAAGGACAGAGAGGTGATAGCAGCACATCTTGGATTCCTATAAATGGGGCAGTTGTAGCCAACAAGGCTTCCAAAATAGGAAAATCCATATTTACAGGGGAGATAAACTGGACAGTTCTTCCATTTACAAAAAGGATTCACCAAAAGGGACCTCTAAATAGCAGGTGCTTTAACTGTTCTGTGTAAGTGTTTGTTTACTGATCATTAATCATTTCACAAAGAGGCCAACGGCTAAAGTGTGGCCAATCAGAGCCTTTAGAACAGAATCACGAGGCTTCTGAAGCTACTCTGCAAGTTAACAGGAAGAAGCATTTGATGTTAAACTATTCAATTAACACATAATTTTTCAGGAACAAGCCAGAGAGAAAAAGAGGGAGGGAAGACAGAAGAGAAAGAAAAGGAGAACAGAAGCAAGTTTTGAGAAGTTCAGCTTCATGAGCCAGGACCTGCCTTTAAGCACGGACATCTCCACTCTTTAGCGAGAGAGCAGGGGTCCACATGATTAGAGACTTGTAATTAGGCCCTTACAGTGCTTGGTGAAGGCAAAGCTCTTGATTGATAGAGAAGACAGGGATACAAAAAGATCTCGTTTTGGCCATCATTGTGCAATAACAACTTGGATGGATTCACTCTGGCACAAACAAAACTTTAGTTCATTCATCTCTTCACCAAGTATCAATTTATCACCTGGGACACTTCAGGCCCTACGCTAGCCACCAGAGATGAAATGCTGACCAAAGCCAGGGCAATCTCTTGCTTGCAAGAATCTTGTCTTTTAGAGGCAGGAAGCAAGCAATCGATCATCACAAAAACAATTGCCGTGGAGAAAGTGGTGGTAATGGAGTAAGAAGATGCTGCGACGGTGTGGGTGGGGACACCAGAAGCTGCTGTAGAAAGGGAAGGCAGGCGAGGCCTCTCTGAAAGAGTATCATCTGAGCTAAGCCTCATGGGTGAGACTAAGCCAGGTGCAGAAAGACCTGGAAAAGGGACCATTAACATCTAAAGCATTTTGGAGGAAAAGATCTAAGCATATTCTAGAAACAAAAAGGAAGCCACGGTGCCTGGAGTTCAATGGAGAGGCAAGGGTTGAATGAGGTTCGGGGCCAGACTTTGAAGGGCTTTATAAAACCTGTAAGGACAGGGGAACTATTCTAAATGCAAGGGGAGGCCGCTGAAGGAATTTCGTCAGGAGATGATAAGATAGATTTACTCACGAGTAATTATTCTGGTGGCTGTGTGGAGAACAGGGTACAGGGGAAGAAAAAAGGAACTAGAGCATCAGTTAGGTGGCTATTGCACAAGTCCAAGCAGCAGAGCGTGGTAACTTTGACCAGGATGGCAGCAGTGAGGGCATAGAGGTGGACAGATTCTAGACCTAGAACTAACGTGGGGTGCAGAACTGTTGTGAATGGTGACACGAGAGCTCTCCCTAAGGTCCTGGCAGACATTCTGAGACTGTTACCCATGCACCATGGCTATCAGAGTGGAGCTCTCTGTGGAGGAGATCTGCTAGGCCTCAAAGTTTGGCAGAACTATGCTTGGGTCATTTTGTGGTCATCACAGGCCCAAAATTTTGGGGTGATAATTCTTGTAAACCAATCACTTGGGAAACCCAGAAGAAATCCATTCTGTATGTTCTAAAAGTTCCTGGTCTCAGGGCTGGCTCCACTGCATCCTCCCTCCTGCCCTTGGCCATGGGCACTCCCTTGGGATCCCCTGTTTCAGGAATGGCATCGCTGGTCCAGCCAGAAAAGACAAATCATCTTTGACAACTCAGCTACCAACTGACCAAAGTCAGGTTGGTTGTTCACAATTACGATCTATTTGGTAGCTAATGGGATCTTCCAACTGTTAGAGGAAGGGAAGGACTACAGGTCTGCTCCTAGCAACCTCATAATCAAAGCAAGCCTCAGACCAGATTTTGCCTCACACAGAGACATTTACTGGCAAACGAGTACAAAAGGGTCACACAAGCAGATCTGTGAGCTCAATGGAATCCCAGCTCCCTATCACGTGGGCACACAAATGCACCTCACACAAAAGGTTCACCTTGCAGGCAATGGGACCATATTCCGCGGCAGGATTCAGTTAATCTAGGCCAATGTTCTCCACTGGAACAGATTCTGTCCCCCCGGATTTTGCCCTCCAGGCAATCTCTGGTGCTATTTTTGTTTTCACAACCGGGGAAATGCTACTCCTATCTAGTGAGTAGAGGCCAGGGATGCTGTTAAAGGTCCTATGGTGCATTTGGTCTGTCCCCAGGGACTATATGCTCTTCTTCCTAAACAGGTATAGAACCAATCTCTCTCCTCTTCTCCCTTCTACTCTCCTAGTCTGGGGCTTCAGCACTTGAGACAAAGCCTTCTTCCCACCAGCCTTCCAGCCCTCTGGAATTCTCCAATCTCCAACCCCGCCATCAGACTCATCTTCCCAAACCAGGGGTGGTGCAGAATTTTTCTAAATTCTCCAGTGGCTTCTCAATGCACACAAAATGTAAATCTCTGCTTCCTCTCCCACCTCTTGCCCTTGGGCATTTTGTTTCAGCCTCTTGCAGTTGCGTTAATACACCAGGTGCTCCTAAAGCTCTGTGGCTTTGCACCTGCTGTTCCTCCTGCCCGTGTCTCATACTCTCTCCTTGGTCTCCCGCTCTTGAGCCTCAACTCAAATACTGCCTCACCCTTTGGCTCCACTGGATTGGCTTTGGAGCTCCTGATCAACCTTGCTCTGCTCTGGACACATCTCCATTGAAGCAGATGTCACAGGTGTCTTTTTGTATTGCAACCATTTATTTGCATGTCTGCCTCCCTCCTGGACTCTAATGCTTTTACAATGGGGTTTGTGTCTAGCTCACTGAGCCCAGCCTGCTCTGCTACACAGCAAGCAGCAGCTAAACATTTGTTCAATGAATGGTCACTTTCAATGCCCTGGGTTGCCTATTTTTGACTTGTTTGTTTTGTTTAGTTTTTTTTTTTTTTAACAGATTTTAGATACTTAGAATTTTCAGAGGATATGAAGTGATACAAAGGAGATAGTTATGGCTGTGGTTTTCCAATCTCAGTGTGCCTAAGAATCATCTTGGGGACTTATTTCAAATACAGATCCCCAGGTAATTTTGAAGAAAATTAATTCATTTTAAGAAACTGAGATAAATTTCACATGTCATAAAATTCACCTTTTGAAGTGTACAATCCAGTGGTTTTAGTATATTCACAAAATTATGCAACCATCACCGCTATCTAATTCCAGGACATTTTTATCACTCCAAGAAGAAACTCACATTCATTAACAGTCACTTCCCATTGCTCCTTCCCCTCAGTCCTTGGAAACTACTAAACTGCTTTCTGGTCTCTATGCATTTGTCTATTCTGAATATTTCCTAGTAATGGAATCGTATAATATATGGTCTTTTGTGACTTGCTTCTTTCATTGAGCATAATGTTTTCAAGGTTCATCCATGGTGTACCATGGATCAGTACATCATTCTTCTTTATAGACTGCATAATACTCCATTGTATGGATCTATACTGCATTTTGTTTATCCATTCATCAGGTGACAGACATTTAGATTGTTTCCACTTTTTGGATATTACAAATAATGCTGATACAAACATTTAGAGTGAGTTTTTGTGTGGACTTGTGTTTCCAGTTCAATGGTATATAGCCAAGAGAGTGGAAATTGCTAGGTTATTTGCTAACTCTATGCTTAACTTTTTGAGGAGCTGCTCAAACTGTCTTCTGCAGCAGCTGAAACATTTTGCATTCCCACCAACAATGTATGAGGGTTTCAACTTCCTTGCATCCTCATTAACACTTGTTATTGTCCATCTCTTTCATTATAGCTACCCTAGTAGGTGGGAAGGGAATATCCCTCCGTGATTTTGATATGCATTTTCCTAATGACTGGTTGTGTTGAGCATCTTTTCATGTGCTTATTGTCCATTTGTATATGTTCTTTGGAGAAACGTTTATTCAAGTGCTTTGCCCATTTTTTTTATTGGGTTGTGTGTTTTTTGTTGTTACTGAGTTTTAGGTGCTCTTTATATGTTCTGGATGTTAATCTCATACCAGATATATTATTTGCAAATATTTTATCTCATTCTGTGAGTTATCTTTTAACTCTCTTGATAGTGTCTTTTGATGGACATGAGCTTTTAATTTTGATGAAGTCCAATTTATCTATTTCTCTTTTGTTTCTTGAGCACTTCATATTATATCTAAGAAACCATTGCCTAATTCAAAGACATGAAGATTTATGTCTGTGTTTTTTCCTAAGAGTTTTATAGTTTTAGCTCTTACATTTAGGTTACTGATCCATTTTGAGTTAATTTTTCTATATGGTGTGAGGTGGGGGGGTCCAACTTCATTCTTTTGCATGTGAACAACCTATTATTCTAGCACCACTTGTTGAAAAGAATGATCACTTTAGATAGTCCTGACTCCCTTGTAGAAAATCAATTCACTGTAAATATCAAGGCTGATTTCTGGACTCTCACTTCTATTCTACTTATCTATATATCTATCCTTATGCCAGTATGACACACTCAGGTGCCAAGGAACCACTCTTAGGAAAAAAAAAACCCTGTCCTAAATTATAATTGCTGTAAAAAGGAGCTAACCCAGACCAATGGTTCCCAGCCAGACTGAACATCAGAATCATCACAGGGTCTTGAAAAAAACCCTGACCCCCTAGATCTCCTTCTCCCCAGCTCCCCCCTCCCCCCGGGGTTTGATTCGGTAGAATGGTAACAAGGCTCAGGACTTACTGTTTTTAAAGAACCCTCTGGTGACCATCCAGAATTGGCAATTACTGGTCCAAGTGATCATATAAAGTCTTCTCCAACATAAGAGACCTATCATGTTGGGAAAAGAGAAAATATAAGGTGAAAGTTTGACCCAAAAACATCTTAAATGAGCATTCTATGAGCATTTGGTTGACAGAAGGCCATCTCTTTGATGAAAAAATGTGAAGATGATCTGTGAAAAACAATAAAAGTAGAAGGACCAGTGTAGCTCCAAGATGTCTAGATTGGGGAGGAGATAAACCACATTTCAGTGTTCATCTGTGGGACCCACCCCAAGGCCGGCACAGCATCCTCCACACTGCTCCCATAAACCCTGTGCTCTGTTGGTGGCGTGTCTGTCTCCCTACTGGATTCTGAGTCTTTTTTAGCAGACATGGGATCTTTTCCTCTTTGGATCCTCAATCCCCATCACTGTGCCTGGCCCATCACAGGTGTTCAACAAAATGTCAAATTAAATGAAACATTTTCTATGTTTAGTCAAATGCATAGCAAATGCATAGGTCAAATAGCAGGCTTTATGTAAAAATGCTAGGTATGTGGTGCTTTAAAAACAGAAGTGGAAGAGAATTAAGCAATGGGATTTAGAAGATCATTTTTTAAAATGTGATTATTTTTGAACCTCTGTCCCCACCCACCTGCCTACCAACTGTATTCCTCAGGGTCCCAGCAGGAAACAGATGGCTCACCAGCATTGAATGAAGAAACTGTTTGCAGAGGAGTGGGCAGAAATAAGAGGACACCAAGGAGTGAAGCCCCTGGGACTAGCAACAGTGAGGTGTCCTAGCCATCCTTAGGCCTGAAGGGACAAAGGGACAGAGCAGGGTGACCAGAACCTACCAAGATTTGGAACCTTACAAAATGGCTTCCCAGAAGACAATAGCCATAGCCAGAAAATAAGCAGAAAATTCCTCTGGAAGGACAAGCGGAGAATAACCAGCACACTCACCCATAAAGGACAGGAAGATATGGACAGATTCAACAAAGAAAGTAGGGTGCTGAGGTACAGCAAATCAGTTACACTTCTTAGTCTGTGGTTTGTCTGACTTTCTGGGGATGTTGTGCTTTCATTAATTCATTCATCAAACACTTATTGAGTTTTTTCATGCTTTGCACATTATTTTGGGCACTAGAGCTACAAGGATAAATAAGACACCTTTTCTGCCTTTAGGAAGTTCACACTGGGGAGTGGTGAACATGGACAGGCAGGTCATTACAATAAAACACAAACCACAATGATGGGTGTGTCTGTTTCCTAGGGCTGCTGTCACAGAGTACCACATGCTGGTGGCTTCACAATAGAAGTGTATTGTCTCCCATTTCTGGAGGCCAGAGCTTCCTTTTAAGAGCTGCCAGGGAAGGCTCTGTTCCAGGCCCCCCACAACTTCTGGAGGTTTGTGGGTCATCTCTGGTGTTCCTTGGCTTGTGGAAGCATTATCCCTCCTCTGGCTTTATCTTCCCATGGTGCTTTTGTAGGTCTGTGTGGGTCTGTGTCCTAATTTCTCCTTTTTATAAGAACACTAGTCATATTGGATTAGGGCCCACTCTACTGCAATAGGACCTCATCTTAACTAATTGCATCTGCAATGATTCTATTTCCAAATAAGGTCAGTCTGAGGTTCTGAGGTTAGGACTTCAATACACTAATTTTGGAAACAGAATTCAATCCATAACATAGGGGATAGGCTCAGGGCATTATAGGAGCATTTACAAGATGGTCAGGGAGGAGTGATGAAGAGGGTACAACTTACCTGGTGTTAAGGATGAATAAGGTTCCACCAAGTGAAGAGATGAGTGGGCAGGGAGGAGGAGGACAAGCCACTTTGCGCTGAGGGGAAAACCAGAGCCAGCACCGGTGATTTGGCACTGCAGGTGCAGAAAGCACAAGGCTGCGGAGAAGGAGCAGCAGCTCTGGCCCCAGAAGACCTCCCACGATCTGCATAGAGTCCAGACTTAAGGAGGTGGTAGAGGGACGATGAAAAGGTTTGAAGCAGGGACTTGGCAAGACCAGTTTCATTGTTCAGAGGGGTCACTCCAGCAGCTAGGAAGAAGATGGTAAGGCCTGCAAACAAGGCAAACATCCAGGCAGCTGTGGATGGAGGTAAGATAACAGGGAGAGAGGGAGACCTTTAGGAGATACTTAGGAGAGAGATTTGGGAGGACATGGCAATTGAGTGGATGCGTGTAGCGAGCGGGTAGTGCGGTAGCAGCACCCCCACCCCTGCAGGGGGCCACAGTGCCGTTTAGCAAGGTGGGGAGAGTGGGCAGTTTAACAGGAAAATGACTGTGCTCCCACTGCCATTTTGGGAGTGCTGGCTTTGTGTTGCCTATGGGAAAAGCTAGGGCAAAGAGTTCCATTGGAGACAGGGATTTGAGAGTAATTTGCATGTCCCACGAGAGAGGATGAGCTTCTCCAGGGAGTGTGTGTGGCAGCACAAGAGGAACAGTGAGTTAGAAGAGAATCCTGGGGAACACCAATAGGCACGCAGCAGGCGCGGGCCGGGAAGACGGGCCCCTGCAGACAGGCAGTGCAGAATCGAGAACATAGCATATGGAAGTTCAGGGCTCAGGAAGCTTCAAAGAAGGAAAACCATGTTTTCAAATGCCACAGAAAGTCTTAGTCAGGAAAGGATTGAAACGAGTCTATTCAATTTGTTATCAGGGAAGTTGGCGGTCACCTCAGTGACAGCAGTTTTAGGAGTATGGTGGGTGGGAACAGAAGCCAGATTCCAGAGAGCTGAAGGGCGAACGGACGTGTAGGCAGCAGGAAGTTTGGAAGAGAATGGGAGGAGGGAAGCTGAGCAACAGCGAAAGGGAGATACGGGGCACAAAACTCAAGTATAGTCAAGGGAGATTAAAGCAATTTTAAAAAATGACTATCAAAGTCTGGAGTAGACATCAAAGGATAGAGCAAAGGACACGAAAGAAAGAGGAACACACCTCAGAGACTGAAGGTGAGGATGGGGTAGGTGCAGAGGTGTTTGTAGGAAGGAGGTAGAAAGTTGAGGGACATTGGGCCTGATGGCCTTGATGTTGGAGACAGGTTTATGTGCTAAGTATGAGACAGAAGGTTGAGTAGGAGCTTTGGGGAGAGTGCTAGAATGCTTGGAATGGTCACCTAGGGGCAGAGGAGAGGAAGCTCTTCCAGGACAGCTGGGGAGATGGGCAGCCCTGAAGCCCAGCAGAGGTCAGGGGCCATGAACTTGTAGTGGCCTGGCCTATGCAGTAGAGTCCATTTCCCCGGGAGTACTCAGTCTCAGAGACGGAGCAAGACAAAGGTTGACAGGTTGGAATTTTGCTTTGTGAGTGTCTGGTGAGACTGGATGAGCCACTGAGTCCAGAATAAAGAGAGAGAGGGCAGGCAGAGCCTGATGAATGGGGAGAAGAGGGAGAGGTCACTGGATATGAGCACCGAGAGAGCATGAAGGATGCACGGATGTCGTAGAAAAGCAACACACTTGTCCTGCTTTCGATTTTGCTGTGTGTGAGATACAAGTAAACAGCCAATTTTCACACTAAAGAGTATGTAACTTTGCAAATAGCTTGTACAAAAGCATTAAAGCTGAGTTAAAAGGGCAAGTATGCATTTCAGCTACACTGGTCCCACAGTGACATCACTAGTTATGATTGTAGGGGTGGTAACTGTTTAGAAAATAAAGGGAGGGGCCATTCAATATTTCTTATCTTTATCCAAATCTGAAGTATTTCAGCCCTATTGCAAGACAGTACCCTGTAACAGATAGCTGCCTCTCTCCAAGAATAATAAAGCCCCGCTTTGCAGGGAGAGGCTGTGGATGAAGAGCAGTAGGCGGAGGGCTCCAAGGAGTTTCCAGCTGTATTTTCTGAGCTTGCTAAGCATTTAATCAATGGCAAGGAACATCTCAGTTGTCCAGATACAGTCATCCCACGCGAGGTGCACGGAGACCAGTGTTCTGATATGCAAAGAGAGCCTGGGACTCTCATCAAATCACCAAACAGGATGCTGGCCATGCAGCAAACAGGCCTGCAAGCTGTTGGCAGCTGAATGTCGGGCTGCCAGAGCCAGGCCCAGCCACATGATGGGCATGGCCCCAAAGGCTTGGTGGCAATCTGTATTCCAATGCATGCCCTCCACCATGCTGCTGACCCTCTGCCAAGCGGGGCCCACGCTCAGGATCTAGAGACGCTGTTGTTGCAATGCATACAGGCCTCTTTGTTCAAAAATACTGTATGCATGAGAGAAAGCAGCTTCCTTTGGTTCTTTCCCCATGGCCTGGAAAGAAAGGCTTCACAGTCAAGCTGCCCAGCTGACCAGCATTGGGCAAAGGGGCGGGAGGGGAACTTGCTGAAAGCTAGCTGGTTGTAGTACATCTAAAAATGGAGCTTGAAGGGGTTTGGCTGGGACTGTGGCAACCTCACTCAGGTGTCATCCAGGCCTGTGTTGGGCTGGCAGGGGGCCCTTGGAAGCCCTTGCTAATTAAATGTATTGAGAAAGTGGCTTTGACAGGGAAGGCTCTGTCAACACTGCCACTTTGGTGCAATCTTTTCAAATGACAAGGAGCCTCTTCCTTTATGTGCAGAAAGAGCTGAAGAGCAGGATAGATTCAAAATGAGGTGCACGAGCAGTTGAGTAATTACCATTTTCTTCTGTGGCTGCTCCACCTGCCCTGAAGTGATCTTCTATCAGCTGAAGGACACTCTACTGTCCAATTCAGGGGCATGCTCTCTCTGCCTCCAACTTTACCACCAGAAAACTTGGAAGTCACATGAGTAAGAGGGACCCAGTGGCGAAGATGTCCTCAGATCATTCTTCACTTGAGAAAAATACCTAGATGGTCACTTCGCAGGCCTCAAGCAGTGCTGACAAATGGGCTCCACTTAAACCAAGGGGAGAACAGTTTCCATTCGCAATGGAGTGCCATTACCCTTTACTAAAACAAAACATTTTTTTATCCTAAAGAAATTATTTCCTTATTTGTTGACTCCAGAAAGCTATTGAGTAGTTCCAAATGTTGGCTGCACAGCTAAGCTCCTGTTGGGTGATTTGCAGTTTCCCAGCAAGGTCAAAAGGAATTCCCTGGGTTCCTGGAAATAGGTACCCGTGGTACCCACAAGCTAGGGCGAAGCTAGAATGATGGAGAGAGATGGCAGGGACAAGCTTGATGGGTCTTGGGGGCATATGCTTTCCCCAGGCCTGGACCTGCATCAGTGCTGGCTCCCATGAGCTTCTTCCAAGTGGAAAAGAAGTCTTGTGATCAGCCTCGAGTGTGATTCCTTTTATGGCACTCCAGCACCTAGTACAGCACACAGCAGGGACCTAGCAAATTTTTAATAGATGGATAGATGTTTCACTTTTTTTCAGGGACTAGGAAGAACTGTTTCTTTGAATTTTGGCTCTATCAGCTTTGTTTGGGTGTAAGACAAGGACATGCATCTTTTGAAAGGTTCCCAAATCTAGATATTCCTAATATATCACTGCTCCCTGCAGCTCAGCAGGGCACCCCTTCCCTGCCACTAAGGAAAGACCACCAAAGCTGAATTCAGCCTTGCTAAATTAAGCATCCCTGAAGCTCACTCTACTCCAAGTGAATTCTGGTTGTTGACATTTGAGCCAAAAGACTTAAGGAGGTGCACTCCAGTTAATCCAGTGCCTCTAATTGTTCTTCCTGATTTCCAAGAGCATGTAAAATTTTCTAGAGATCTAGCCCACTCTTACCTTTTCACCTTTTCCTTCAGACTGACCTCCTCCATGCTTCCCACCTTACATTTATTCACTCAATGTTTATTCAAGGCATATTGAGCATCTGACACTACAGGTTACTAGGGACATCAAATGGCTAAGACCCGTCCTATGAGTTTACAGACCACTGGAACTGGGAGAAATGCAGATACTCAGTGTTGGTCTTGACACACGATCATGTCCATGGAGTTACAGTGGTGGGGGCAGGGCATGGTGAAGGAAAGTCAGACTTAATTTTTGTATTTGGGAAGATTGGTTTAGTGGCGTAATCATACCACCTTTAATTTATATTTGCAGTTTATGAAGGCTTTCCTTTCCTTTCCTTTCCTTTCCTTTCCTTTCCTTTCCTTTCCTTTCCTTTCCTTTCCTTTCCTTTTTCCTTTCCTTTCTTCCCTCTCTCTCTCTGTCTCTCTTTTTTTTAGACAGAATCCTACTCTGTCACCCAGGCTGGAATGCAGTGCCACAATCTTATTGCAGCCTCGACCTCCCAGGCTCAGGTGGTACTCCCACCTCAGCCTCCTGAGTAGCTGGGACTACAGATGCGTGTCACCGTGACTGGCTAATTTTTGTATTTTTTGTAGAGACAGGGTTTCACCATGTTGCCCAGGCTGGTCAGGAACTCCTGGGATCAAGCTATCTGCCTACCTCAGCCTCTCAAAGTGCTGGGATTATGGGGATGAGTCACTGCATCTGGCCAAGAGTTTTCTGATACATTATCTCTTTAATCTTCACAATAATCCTGTGAGATCAGGGATTACAGCTTTGTTTTACGAATAAGGAAACTGAGGCAGAAATTAGTGACTACTCAAAATCCCAGGGTCAATAGCGGGTTTGAACTCAGGATGTCTGCCAGTAGCCCTGGCCCCTCCTACTCCACCAAGCAGCCTTCCCAGCAGGCTGGCAGCTCCTCCTCCCCTGCAGGTGGGAATGGAGGTGAGGAGAGCACTCCTAAGGGGGCTAGGCAACTTATCCAAAGCCCGTGCCTACCACCCCACCTACTTCCTTTGCCCACAGCTGCTTGTCTCTTCGTTTTTCAGTTTCCAAACTGTAAAAAAAGAAATAAAATAGTTATGAAAGTGTTCTGTTCCTTCCTTAATGAACCCACCTGCTGGCTATTGCCTGAAATTCCTTTAAAGAGGCACAAATCCCTTCATTCTGCAGGTATAAATAAAAAGTTTAAGATGCAAATACCTGGAAGCCTCAACACACAGATATAAATAAGTTCCACTCAAGTTTAAATGATAATAGAATATCTATCCTGCCTTTTCTGAGGTGGAAGGCAGAAATAGAAATTACCGGTATTGTATAGCCTTTATAATTCCAAAGCAGTTTTACCATAATCTCATTAATTCTATAAATATTCTATGTATAATCTACATATAATCTATATCTATATCTATAGAGACAGCATCTAATAGGTGCTAGGCATTGTGTTGCCTGCTAGGGATGGAGTGGGAACCAAAACAGACATAGTGCCTTCCCCCATGGAGCTGAGTCAAGTGAGAAACACAAAAACATAGGTAAATAAATGACACCAGGCTTGGTGCTATGGAAGAGAACAGAGCAAAGAAGGGCCGTTCCAGGGTAGGGGGGAAAAAGTCATACCTTTTCTTCATCCATCAGTCATACAATCATGACTGACAATTCTGATAATGAAAGAGTGTAACACAAGGAAAGCACAACAAACTTACTTAACAAAGTTTTATGTGACATGAAGTCTTCAGAAATGAAGACCCAAAAACCGAAAGAAAGTTACATTTTTATGTAAGGTCTGAAGAAAAAAGTGCATGGTTATGAAGAAATACGATTGGACAAAAAAGGGTCTGATCTAATGGGAATGAACTGAGGGGCAGTGGAGGTCTGCAGGGCCTGTTTGTCCAGAGTCTTTTCTGTGTCTCTGTAAGACATGCCTCCCCGCAAGGTATGGGGCAGGACACCTGTCACAGGAGGGCTTTCAGCAGGGAAGGGAGAAGGTCAAAGACCTTCCTAGGTTTATGACTTGCTTTGAGATGAAGAATTCTAGTTTCTGTGCCTTGTTTGAGGGAGAAAGCAGGATAGGAGAAGGTCAGAGTGACCTTGTTTCCGAGGCCCTTGTAATCTCTGTCAGTTCAAAGTACCCAGCATACCAAGGAGCCATACTCTGGGGTATCATGTTCTGAACCCTGATATCAGGCAGAGGGAACCACATAGTCAGAGGCTCTGAGATGAGTGTGAGCACGTGAAAGGCCTGAAGGCACCCAGGAGCAGGGAGGCAGTGGAGGAGAGCAGGGATGGGTGGGTAAGGGCAGGACTGCACTGAGGAAGTCCTAGGAAATCATGGTTAAGGACTTTGAGACTTGAGCCCAAACTTAAAGGGCAGTGGAAAACATGCAAGAGCTTTAGAGCAAGAGGGATAACAATATGATCTTTAGCCTTAAAAAAATGTGAACTTTCCTGCAGGCTGAGGAATGGATTGGGAGACAACAAGAATGCGGCCATTGCAGTCATCCAGGCCAGAAGGGACAAGTGCTTGGACTAAGATGGAGAAGTGGAGGTGGGAGGATAGATGATTCCAGAGATACTATAATCTTATAAAACTCGTAAGATGTATTAATGAGATAAGGAAGAGGGAGAGTCAAGATGACTTTAGTTCCTTACACTCATTGGAGCAATTGGGAGACAGAAGGGCCAGCAGAAAAGAACAGGCTTTGGAGGGAAGAAGATGAATTCAGTTTGGGGCATGTGGGGTTTCAGTCTGCATAAATGTGGAAGTGGATAGAGATCCTGTGACATTTTCGCTCTTTAGTGGCTGAAATTGCCTTCTCTGACCCATGGGACTCGGCCAAGTCAACCTCCAGCCCATTCCTTCTAGTCCGGCCCCCTCTGCTGTCTCCCCTGAACCCACCAAACACAACACCGTAATACAGTAACATGAAAATGAATGTTCCCCAGGTCTTCAGTGTTCCTCCTCTGTGCGTTCCTCATTTCCTGGCAAAAGAGGAGTGGGAGAAGCCAATTTCTGCAATTTGCACATTGGAGACATTCTTATTTACCAGATACCACCAGAAAGCTGATCACTGATTCCCAGCAGCCTGTTGCAAACGCATATACCACATGTGGAACTCCAGCTCCTTCAGTAGGAGAGGCGAAAGGACAGCCCACCTCCGTGCTCATCAGCCTGGCTGATGGGATGAAAGCTGCTATTGAAACAGCCCCAGCTTTCGAAAGGCAAATAAAAGTAAACCTCTGCAAGAGAAGCGATGCAGATGAAAACCCACTTCAAGACTCCTTATGCTCTCTATAGTTCATTTTTTCCAAATCCTTTCATTGATTATGTTGTCTTAAAAGAGAGAGAGAACAGAAGTCCTTCGAAGTACCTGAGCTATGCCTGCTATGATTTTTCCTTTCTGGGCAAGTTTTTAGTCGATAGACAGAAAAGGGCCTTTTTCAAGCTATGCTCAGCCTGGAAAATGCTTGCCAAACTATTCTCCGGAAATCCCACCTCACTGACATTTTTCTGCATTCTAACCTGTCTGCTTCTAAAATGCTTGGAACTCTGTAGATAGAAGCATGGCAGATTTTCCCTTCAGGGTAAATGAAGGCCAATGGAGTGAGCTTTTAGGAGCAAGAGAGGAAACTCCTGTCTCTCCTCCTCCCCTAACCCATGCCTCCTCTTCCTCCTTCGCTTCCTTTAATGATTAACAAATATAAAGGCCACAATTAGAGATGTGTTAAATACCTTGGAGGAGAAGTAAGAGAGTGGGTGGGGCTTGATCTCTCAATAAAATTAAACAGGTGTCTTGGCCATTGTCCTCTAGAAAAGCAGGGACTGGGCAAGGAGACAGGTGGTAAAGGTCAAAGGGAAGTGAGGAAGGTCAAGGTGAGAAGTGATTCCACAGGAGGCGCTTTCACTCTGGGCCATACTAGCCAGGAGGACAGCTAGGGGCTTAGCAGATATCTTTACTTGGTACGAGGGACTTCTTCAGAATAACTGCAAGGAGAAGCACACCTCATCTCCCAGAATAGTGCACAGGAGGGAGAAAGGAGAGGAATCTGTCAGGCTCCCTCCTGTCTCTCCTCTCTCATTTGTCAAGTTTCCTCCCAAAGGGAGCTACTCCCCCATACTTCCAGATTATGTAATTCAGTCCCTCGTCTCAGGCAGCCAGATCCCACACCTTACATGGTGGTGTTTTATTCAGCTCCGAAAGTGGCGGGGCAGGAAGCCCAATCTCTCTCTCCGACTGCAAAACCTCATCGAAGTAGTCCTTGTACCTACCATGATCATCCTGAATAAAGTCTGCCTTACCATCTGTCTGAGTCCATTTTCTGCTGCTATAACAGAATACCACAGATGGGGTAACTTATAAAGAATAGAAGTTTATTTGGCTCACGGCTCTGGAGGCTGAGGAGACCAAGAGCACAGCGTCGGCATCTGATGAGGGTGGAAGGCATCACATGGTGAGCAAGCGCGCGAGACAGAGAGAAAATAGGGGCTGAAGTTACCATGTAACCAGGAGCCCACGCCCACAATGACTAATCCACCCCCACGATAAAGGCATCCCTCTAAGCCATTCAGGAGGGCAGAGCCCTCATGGTGGCCTAATCACCTCTTGAAAGTCCTATCTCTTAATTCTGTTATAATGGCAATTAAATTTCAACATGATTTTTAGAGGGGACATGCAAACCATAGCACTATCTTTTTCTGAAAAAAAAAAAAGTGGAGAGGGAAAGCAGAACAGGTGGGGACACTAACAAAAAGAGAAAGAGACGGAGGAGGAAGAGGAGTAGGAGGCTGCAGCCAAGGAAATCTGAAAAGGAACATAAGATCTATGTCTCAGTATAATCAATGACATCATCTTCTTTCCATATACTAGGTTTTAGTAGGAGAGGAAGGAAAAACACAAAGGAGCAGCTGGGTGGGGTATGGCCAACAAGGAGGTGTAGGGAGCACAGTGAGTGTGCCCAGAAGGAAAGGACCAAGGGCACAGGGTTGGCTGTGCATGGGCATTTTGCATCTCAGGAACCCGGGGCCACTGAAGAAGGCTGAGGGCGGGAGCACAGGGCGTCAGGATCCCCACTGCTGGGAGTTAAGCTCTCAGAGAAGCACACAGGCACTTTCACACAGAGGAGAGTGCATGTGAAGCCGGTTGCCATGACTGGTGATGAGGAATGCTGGTCTGTGCCCTAACCTACCTGCCGAGGCCAGCAGAGATGTCAAGATGGTGCCTGATGATGTCCTGTCTCTCTAGTTGGTCCTAGAGTGAGGAAAGTGGTAGGTATAAAACTGAACAGCCCCATTTCCTAAAACAAGTGCAGGGCCAGGCCCTCTCCTTGGCAGAGAAGAACTCAGGGCCTCCTTGAATGATGTTGCATGTTCCGCTCTGCCTTGCCTGGCTGCAGGAACACCACCACTTCCCTCCCGGGCCTCATGCCTGAGAGGGCCTTGTTAGCAGAGCACCCGCATAGGGGGCAGCACTTTCAAGGTCCCCCTGTTAGCTACCTGTTGGCCTCTTGGGAGTAAGTTCATTGGCTTTTCCCTAGCAGAGCCCCGTGAATGCTACAGAGGACATCCAAGGCCTCCTGGACTTTGCACTGGACCCCAAGAGTTAGTTACAAGGAAGCCAGAGGGCTTGGGCAAGATCTTGCTATCCAGTTAAACTGGGCTGTGGTGTTTTAGACCTCCCAAGGCTAGACCTTGGTTGTAACAAATAAACACTATTCATGTGACATTCTACAGTGTGCAAAATGCTTTCAGCTTCACTGGTGCTTGTTTTTTAGTAATGGCCCTGTGAAGTTGCTGATGAGCAATCTAGACTAAAGAGGTTGTTAAGAGGAGTTCCTAAGGTCATATAGCTGATAAAGACTTGAGCTCACATCTTTTATTCCTGAATTCTCTTCCAGTGCTGTGTTAGAAACCTAAAGAGGAGCCTGAGGGAGGAGACTGCATTAATGCAATTATTCTAATTTAGAGACATAGGTCTGAATTCTTGCATCTAAGGTAGCAACCAAGAGCGTTTTAGGCCCTGGTCTTCAGGTGGCACCCACCCTGCACTATCTTGGGCAACAGCCATGAAATCCTCCAAATCATGCATTTGCATTTCTCAGTTATCACCCCTCCCACCTGGACTATTTTGAGAAGGAAAGCAGCAAGCACTTCCCAGTCTGCTTCTCTCTGTTTCTCTTTCTCTTTCTTTCTCTCTCCAACCCCCAGCCCCGCCCCTGCCACCACAAATGCCACTTACAGAGGCTCCGTTTAATAGTATCCATCAGCCTCCCAGCTGGGGGCAGAGATAAGGGTGCAGTAGTTACTCCCCTATGCTCTTCTTCAGGGTTTGAGGGTGTCACTATCACTTCAATTTGGGAGCCCTTCACACAAAGACATGTGTGCTCAATTACCAGTTCCTAGTGTGGAGAGAGGAGGGGAAATCAACTCTGGCACCCAGCCCAACCATGCGTCTCTTTTACCTGTAAGGATCTCTTCTCCCTCCACCTGGATGCCTCCTCTCTGTCCTTTCCAGGCACTCCAGCCTGCCTTCTTCCCCGCTTTGCCTGATGAGCTGAAGGTGAGGAAACTGGCCAGTGGGCAACTCTTCCTGGGACACAGGAAAACTCTGTTTGAGGATCTGGGTCATTTCTAGACTTATGGCTGTGGCAGGACCCTGGAGCAGTGAACTGGGTCTGCAGCTGCTTCCCCATAGATCCTTTAGACCAACCGGAGGTGTTGCCACCTTCCTAAAAACACTTGTTTTGTCCTTTCTTGCTCCTTCTTAATTCAGTAGCCATTCCTGGATTTTCTATCTCCATCTCTCAGATTTTACTTGCCTTGAGGGAGACGATATAATTGCTGATGGGTTCTTCTTTCCCTCTGCACAGAAAAAAGCAGGTGACTGAGACCGTGGTATCACAGTACAGAAAGAGTTTTATTGACAGGAGGCCAGCCACACAGGAGATGGGGTTTTTGCTCAAATCAGTTTCCCCAGAGGCTTGGAGATTAGGGTTTTTCAAAGACAGTGTGGTGTGCAGGGGACTAGGGAGTGGGTGCTGTGGATTGGTTGGGGATGCAATCATAGGAATATGGAACGTGGTCCCCATGAGCTGAATCCACCCTTGGGTTGGGAGCAACAGGATGGGTTGAATCATGATAAGTCATGAGTCCGGGTGGGTCAGCCAGGAAAACATCTCAAAAGACCAATCTTAGGTTCTACAATAGTGATGTCATCTGTAGGAGCAATTGGAGAAGTCACAAATCTTGTGTCCCCTAGCTGCGTGACTCCTGAGCAGTAAGAGGTTATAGAAATATACCTACCTTTTAGCAGAATTTGAGCTCCTCCCATAATCCTAATCTTGTGGCCTTTCATTAGTCTTACAAAGGTGTTTCCAGCCTCTGAACAGGAAGAAGTCAGTTTTACGTGGGACTATTATCATCCTTGCTTCAAAGTTAAACAGCAAACTAAATTCCCCCTATGGTTAGCTTGGTCTATGCCTAGGAATGAGCAAAGACAGCCAGCCTGTGAGGCTAGAAGCAAGATGGAGTCAGTCATGCTAGACTTCTCTCTCTGTCATAATCTTTGCAAAGGCAATTTCAAAGACATTGGATTATTCATAATTTTATGGCCCAAAGTTTTTAATGGGCTAAGTGGTCCCAAGATGTCATATAAGAAGGTGATAGGAAAAACTGTATTGAAATACTAATTTTTGCACTTTGCTGGTGTGTGTCCTTGGGCCCATTACTTAACCCAGAAGTCCCCAACCTTTTTGCCACCAGGGACCAGTTTCATGGAAGACAATTTTTCCATAGATAGTAGGCAGGAATTGGGAGATAGTTTGGGGATGAAACTGTTCCACTTCAGATTATCAGGCATTAGATTCTCATAAGGAATGTGCAACCTAGATCCCCGCCATGCACAGTTCACAATAGGGCTTGTGCTCTTATGAGAATCTAATGCCAGCCCTGATCTGACAGAAGGTGGGGCTCAGGTGGTAATGCTGGCTTGCCACTGCTCACCTGCTTCTGTGTGGCGTGGTTCCTAACAGGGCACAGACTGCTACCAGTCTCTGGCCCTGGGGTTGGGGACCCCTGACTTAACCCCATTTCTGCCTCAGTTTCTCCACCTATAAAATCTGAACAATCCCTGTGGAAGGGTCATTGCAAGGACTCAATGAGATAATGCATATGAAAGCCAGCCACTGGCCCAATGGAGGACTCAATAAAGATTTGGCCCTTCCCTGACAGGGTCTTCCTGACTAGATACTCGGTGCCTCAATATTGAATTGAAAACTAAAGAAAAACATCACCCGTCACTTCAGAAATCACATTGTCTCTGTGGTTCTTTGCTTCTCCTCATACAAGTCTGCTTTCAGACACGCTGAAGCCCTCACACTTCTTCTTTTCACTGTTACCCCATTTCACTTAAATGTCAAGTAAAAGCTTCACCCCCATTTCTACCCCAAGTCACCAAGGCAGTTCTGTTTTCCCCATCTTCCATTACCTCCCCACCCCTAGACACACCTGTACCTACAACTAGGGGAGAAAGGCCAGGGAATTATCAGTTCATTTATTCATGTTTTGTGTCCACTTTGCCCCAGATAGGATCCCAGGCAACTCCAAATGTGTCATGACAGTAAAATTTCAATTTAGATTAAATTCAAGTTCGGTAGGTGAGGACATGGTGACATCGGGAACGTGAGCTACTGGAAGGATAAGAGGGAGCCAGGTGGGAAGTTAGCTCACAAAATGCATGTCAGTTATGTGAACAGATCCAAGAAGAGTTGGACATTGATAAAGAACCACGTACTTACTCCCTGCCCCAACTGGCATTTTTGGGGAAGGG
The DNA here is from genome assembly GCF_000001405.40 of Homo sapiens. Lineage (NCBI taxonomy): Eukaryota > Metazoa > Chordata > Mammalia > Primates > Hominidae > Homo > Homo sapiens. Next base: position 152,011,822 of record NC_000004.12, on the reverse strand, counting down.
TTAGAAGAGAAAACCACTAAAAATAACAACCATGGCCACACCCTCTGTCTCTTCCATGGGCAGAAAAGCACTGGGGCTTCTGCATTCTCAGTGTGAGAGTCAGGAGGGGCCAGGCCACGGCTGCTTTCTTCATAGTCTCCGGAAGAAGGTGGCCACGTGTTCATCATCCAGGAAGCCAGGAGTAGATACTCCTAAAACTGGTCATTTAAATTCCTAGTTTAAATGACTAAATTGAGATAACTCAGGGCTTTGCTTGGAAAATACAAGTCCACAATGAATTCCAGCAAGCTTTGACTTTATGACACGGAAACGCTGCAGGCATCGTAGTGACTCAACAAATTAAACAATTATCAAGTGACATTAAGAGTTTAAAAACTAAGATGACTAAAGATGTGTACCCCTACACACACGCACAACCACTAGGTAGGTTTACTCGGAGTTCATGGAATCACTAGAACTGGAGGGAAACTGAGAGGGCCTGCATTCGCTAGTGGATGAGGATGTGCAGGTTACTGACCAGACCCATCCTAAAGTGACTGAACGGCAGCATGACCATTGCCAGAGCTTCTGATGCTCATTCCAATGGGTGTGTCTCTTCTACTTTTTGTACCTTATTTCTCGACTCACCTACTTTTTCTTTGCCTTTGATTCTGACCATCCCACCTGCAAAGTCCCATCCTTGTCTTGCTGTCTTCCCTATTCTTCTCTCCCTGGACCTGACTCTGTGGCAAAGCTGCTACTGGTATTTTGACTGCTCACTTGCGGGGCCCATCAGAAGCCTCAGCACCAGGAGTTTTATTCTCCTGTTTCTAAGGTGATATTTGGGTTATTTGCAGTAGAGGTGTTTACACCACACACCCTGCATTCACGTTGCTTCCTTTCTGTTACACTATTGATTCTTTCTCTTGGCAGCTGAGGGGAGGCTTTGATGTGGGGATGTGTTGTAGTTTCTAAAGGAGGAAGATGTTGGTGGGAGGATTTACAGCTGTTTGAAGAATTCCTCCTCCTCCCTGGCAATTGTTCTAGAGGGAGGGGCCAGTGGTGCATTTTCCAGGCTAGGGGCTGCTTTCCTGAACTCTGTCTCTCTCTGAGAGGGAGAGAGAGGAAACTGAAGTGCTTCCAAATAAAGATCTGAGTAATGAGATTTGATCTACAGGGATTTGTTATTAAACTCCAAGAATTTTCAGATGCAATCCATAGCACCAGCAGATTTTGCTCCTTTCAGACGGGCAAAGGGGCTGCTCTAGTTGGCGATGAGGAGGTACAGGGAGGTCCTCTCCACTATCCCGTTTCCCCTTTAAATTCTTCCGCCATAAGAGACTTCTCCTGTTCTGTTGCAGCAACTCTCAGCAAGTGAATAGTGCTTTCTGGGGACCTCGCCTTTGTTAAGTAGATCTGCAGTGATACAGTAGAGATTTTAATGTGCAGTGCTGTGTTTTAATAGACTATTAAACTACAGCATTACACATTAGCTGGCTATGGCACAATTGCAGAAATATCAAAGATATGCTCTCGGGAAAGCACTATTTACTTTAATGAGGAGATGCTGAAATAGACTGAAAATCTCTGCAAAGTGAGCCAAGAGGAAGACAGGGAGAGGAAAGAACCAAGGAGCTCGTGATCCAGGCTGAAGCAAAACCCTTTTCTCATTCCCAGTTCCTGTATCTGTGAGGGCAGGTTCTCGCTGGGTTATAACCAACTTGAGTCTGGATGACTTGTTACCATGCTACAGGAAGACTTTTCCAAGCTGTGTTTCAAGGTTGGAGTGACTTTGAGGCATGTAGTCATTTGTCTTAGCTTATGGGGGACTGGAGCTTTGATTTTTATGGTTTGTTCTGCTCTCTGTGGCTAAAATGACAGGAGCACAAGGTAGATGATGTTCTTCTTTGGAAAAGTCCTTTTGCTCCGAGATTTTCTTCTCCCAAGTGCCCCCACCTCAGCACACACTCGTAAGTAAGCACAAACACACAGAGATGCATCCACACACAGACCTTTTGGTCTCAGCAATAAATAAGGAACTCGGGAATTCCAGAATCTGTTCCCCTCTCATCATTTCAGAGGCGGCTGGGCTGAGACTCTTCCCCAGAGAAAACCACCAGATTTCTGATCAGCTGTGATATAAGAGAGCAATTCAGCAGCTAAAGGACCCCATCCAGCCATTATGCAACGTAAAACTGCGGGCAGGTCGTTCTCCACCTTTATCATACTGCAGCAGAAATAAACTCTGAGAACAGAGCTATCCAAGCCTTACTCAGATGAGAGCTGCAAACAGCATTTTCCAAAAAAAAATCCATCTTATCTCACACGCTTTTTCTTAACATGCCTTCCTGCTATACAGCAACATTTAAAAACCAAATTGCAAATGCTAAAAAGAGGCCAGTGCCTTCCCAGGATATGCGCCCCCAAAAACACTCTTTATGCAAACCCAGGCCCACAGGAAGCCTGGAGGAGGCAGGAAGAAATGGAAAGACAAGGGAAATAACCCCAAAATCAGGAGTACAACAAGACTTCCCCATCTGCCTAAAGAGTTTGCTCATTCAGCCTTGGAAGTAATCGCTTTCTTACTCACCCAGTGACATTTTATTCTGGGTGAGCAGACAAGAATGTTAATTTCATTCATGCTCTCTTCTGTGTGTTATTATGAGGAAGGGGGGATTGCTTTCCTTTTCTTTTTTTAGATGGGGGCCTTGTGAGTAGGGCAGGCAAGCTGCTGTCCACAGGGTAGGATTTGAGATGGTTCTGGGCAAGGCCCCTGGCCTCCCTCCTACAGCCAATGCCTGTCATCCCACCTTCAAAGCTTCATCCCTCTAGGGTTTGAAAGCACATACAAGAAGGGAGTTTCACAGCCTGCATCTTTAAACCTTTTCAAAAATGTATTATAAAAATAACATGCATATGGTTAAACAGTTATTTCCCAACAGCCCAGGAAGTTTTCAATTATAAAGAAAATATCTTCTTCATCTACCTTATCCCTAATCTAATTCCTCAAATGAAGCCACCATTAATAATTTCAGTGTTTGGTTCTTTGGGTTGTTGTTATAATTTTAAGTGACTTATTTTCTTAATTTCATTTCAAGAAGCAATCAAATGATTCCCTGTGGTTAAAGAAGACAGAAACATATTTTCCTACCTTGGTTGTCCCTCCACTTCTTAAATGGACCCAACATCTTTAGGTAACGCCTTAGAGATTAACTGTAATTTTAGCAACAGTTAGTTAAAAGTGAGCTGAAGGTTCTAGGTGCTGGGCAGGGCTCACAGGGGAAGTCTGGAGACTCATTTATTTTTACTACATGGCTCTGTCCGATTGTAGTAACTTTTTCCCTACCCCCTCTTCCGTTGGTTAAAGGATTGCAGGCATTGGAAGACAGACAGCCTTGATGCCCAAGGTGAGAACTTGCTTTAAGAGCCTCACCTGTCTTGAATTTGTCTTCATTCATTCAGAAAACATTCATTCATTCAAAAAACATGTGTATTCTACTTGCACCTTGTGGTAGACAGCATTTATGGCCCAATTCTTCACACCCTTTGCCATGTAACTTTGCAGTATCATGCCGCTGTGTGGGCAGAATGAAATTCCCATCCCTAGCCCCAGCCACATGTCTTCCATCCTTGACTGATGGGATATTAGTAAACATAGCACAGACATGCTGGCCTTGCTTCTTCTTGCCTTTCTGCCATCACCATGACAAGGATGAGCCCCAGCTAGCCCTTAGTCTTGAGAAAAGCATGGCTTTCCTGGCTAAGTTGCTCCAGCTGAACCAGCCCAGTGGTGATGAGCCAGGCCCAGCCTAGATCAGCCAGACCCCACAGACCTGTGAGAAACAAATGTGGGTGGTGGTAGGCCCCTGCCACTCTATAATTTTCATTATGTGGCAGTTTTGATTGATACGAAATAACCGATACAATCTTACAGGCACCATCCAGAACACAGGAAAGGCGGCAGGCAGCTGAGCCACTACTCTCACGGAGCTCACATTCCATTAGCGTACTTTCTAGTTTTCACACCTATATATTACCCCTTGCTCTTCCCACCCTGTGTGGCAGTCCTACTTTTAAGATGAGAAAACTGAGGCTCAGGAAGTCTAAGTGGCTTCCTATTATAATGTTATAATAGAAGCAATCTAGAAAGTACCAGAGCTGGGACTATGAACCCAGGTCTTCTAAGTCCAAATGCTATGCTCTTTCCACTACCCCATAGCAGCCTCAACCTCTACCTTCTCCTGAAGTCTGTACCTCTCACCAGAGTTGCAGAGGGACCTGACTTTGAGTGAGAAGATAGATGGACTAAGTAAGTCTATAAGTCTGACCCAAAGTGGACTGCTCTATTATCAATAAAACAAGGAGAAACAACTCCTTTTTATCCCCTGAAATTGTTTCTTCTTGCAATTAAACCAATCTCTGTTTACAAGTATTTAGCATGATTCTAGAAATTGCATTTTAAAATTATGCGAACAGAGAGAAAAGGCAGCCCACACAGTGAGTGATTTCTCGTGGGTAATTGGCTGCTGGTTCTGGCTCCAATGACGCCTTCTTTTTTAGAACATAATTAGTGATTTCAAAGGAAACTGTTAGAAATGGCCTAGGTCTCCAAAGAGAGGCTTTTCTAGCTCTTCACATCAGGAGGTCTACTCAAACTCATGCTGACAAATTTCCCTTTTTGTTTTTCTCCCTTTCCTAATGACCTCCCAAGCTCTTTTTCAAAGGTTGGAGAGGCTGTAGATGCACAGAACTCTTCCAGATATGGGAGGAATTCCAGATTTGCATCAGAAAACTCAGAGTCTCGTTCCCCTGCCTTCCTTCGTTCCCTCCTTTTCCTTCCTTCCCTCCTTCTTTCCTTCCTTCCTTCCTCTTCCTTTATCTTTTTTTCTTTCTTTTTTTTCTGTCTCTCTTTTCTCTTTCTCCCTGTCTTCTTTCTGAGAAAGACAGAGTGTTTGGATTTTAAACAAAGTGTTCATTATTTTCATCTTTCATTAAAATTAGATTCAAAAGCTTAAACAATTTGAAAGCTTATTTCTGTCTCCTGTAAGAAAATCTGGCAATAGGCAATCCCAGGCTTCTATGATATGGTCCCATGGTCAGTAAAGACCAGGTTCCTTTATCCTTCATCCTCAAGGTCACCTCATGATTCAAGATGGCTGCTAGAGGCTCATTACATCCACATTCAAGCATCAGGAAGGAGGCACGGCTATCTACCCCAGCTGAGTCAGTTACTTTTAGGGAGACTTGCCTGAAGTTCCACAAAAGAATTCTATTTACAACTCATTGACCAGAACGAGGCACATGACCATCTCTAGTTTCAAGAGAAGCTGGGATCAGAGCAGCTAAAAATTAGAGTTCTGTTACTAAGGAGGAAGAAAAGAATGGATGTTGGGATAGGAAACTAGTTTCTGCCGCAGAAAGTGGCAGTGGAGAATTAAGGATTGTGAACCGAATGAGAATATAGCTTGGTTAGTTTGAAACTAATATTAAAACTAAAGAGGTTTGCTTAATTTGTTAGCATCATACTGGAAGCTCAGGGTGCAGAAGGGTTTTTCTCTTGCCCTGTTCTGTCGAAAATGTTACTTATGATTTAAGTGAAGACATCAAGAGCCCTTTGTCTATCTCTGCTGATGGCACAGACCTGAGAAGTTTAGTTACCATGTTGGACAATAAAATCCGGATCCAGAAGCTCAGGAAATGGTGTAAGGCTGGGAAAAAAAAAATAGCAAGAGAGAATTTAACAGGAAAAAATATAAAATTCAATCTTTACATCTAAAAAATGGACTGCACCATGATTTCACTTATATGAGGTACCCAGAGTAGTCAAAATCATAGGAACAGAAAGTAGATTATTGGTTGCCAAGGGCTGAGGGGAGGAGGGAATGCAGAGATATTATTTAATTGAGTTTCAGTTTTGCAGAATTAAGAGTTCTGGAATTGGATGTGTAATACAATGTGGAAGTGATGGTTGTACAATTATGTGAATGTGCTTAATATTACGAACCATACACTTAAAAATCGTTAAACTGGTGAAGTTCATGTCATGTGTTATTTCACCACAAGAAAAAATAATTGAAGCAGGGCATGGTGGCTCACACCTGTAATCCCAGCATTTTGGGAGGCTGAGGTGGGCAGATCACCTGAGGTCAGGAATTCGAGACTAGCCTGGCCAACATGGTGAAACCTCGTCTCTACTAAAAATACAAAAATTAGCCAGGCATGGTGGTGGGCACTTGTAATCCCAACTACTTGGGAGGCTGAGGCAGGAGAATTGCTTGAACCCGGGAGGCGGAGGTTGCAGTGAGCTGAGATTGCACCATTGCACTCCAGTCTGGGCAACAAAGAGCGAAACTCTGTCTCAAAAAAAAAAAAAAAAAAAGCAAAAAGAAAAGAAAAAAAATTGCCCAAGTGCAGGATGAGAGAGACATGGCTTAGCTACAGATTTAAACCCTGGTATTAAAAGTGAGATGTAGCTATTGAAAAGTGTATTTGAATCTGGATTTTGGAAGAAAAATGGAGGCTAATATTTATAGAACACCTACAACATGCCACATCTTTTTATGGGCCCTTAATGACAATTCTGGAAGGTAAGTGTTGCTACACCCTAAACAACAGAGAAACCAAGTAATGGCCCAGTTTCAAATAGTCAGTAAGGTCGGGGCTCTGCTGTTTTCTCTATCTACACTTTCTCTGTTCAAAGATACGGCCCCTCTGTGGTAGGCCTGGAGGAACTGCCAGGCCCTGGTATTCACTATCAGCCCTGCCTGAAAATCACATGTAGAGACTGCTCTTCACTCCTTGGGGAGCACAACCTTAGTGGCTCAAGGTAGCGTTTTACTTGCAAGGGAATGCTTCCGCCAGGTAGTGTTAACAGCAATTAGTTTATCTGATTAAGCAATTAGCAGTCTTTGTCACTTAGCAGAGATCTGGGCTCACAGGAACGAAAGCATAGCAGATAAGATATGAAGGGGAAAAGATGGGAGCAAAACACCACGAGGAGCAGTAGAGAGGCTCGGAGAGAGAACCAGATGCCTTCAAAGAGAAGAGGACAGAAGGGAGGTCCTGGAGACCCACGACATCACCTCGGCAACATCCCCCAGAACAGATGAGGAAACTGAGGGTCAAAGTCAACAACAATTTCCCAGCTAGTTGGTTGCAACTGGCCAGGTCAGTAGTTCTCAACTGTGGCTGCACATTAGAATCATCTGGGGACTTTAAAAAATACCTATGCTGGAGCCCCACCCCAGACCTTGTAAATCAGAATATTGGGGAAGGGGCCTGGGCATTGGTATTTTTAAAAAGGGTCCAGGTGATTCTAATGTGCAGCAAGGGTTGGGTGGCCTTGGAGACCCTGGTGGTGGGTTGCTCAGGCAAGAGGTATAGCTCCATGCAGGGATTTCTGGCCGGGGAGACACCGTCTGATCAGCTTGGGAACCTTACTGCTATCAATGCACATCTTCCCTCTGTCCAGTTGCATGGTTCTGAGGATGAAAGCACTTTCTCATCAAAGGTGGGGAATCCCAGAAGAGTGAAGGATCACAAAACCTGAAGCAAGCCAGCCTGGCCTCTTCATTTCTCCCAGGATATCCATATAATTCCCCTTTTTTCCATGCCTGCTTCTGAATCTCTCCCTGGCTCCATTGCTGCCTACAACGCCTGCTCCTTCATGAGCTCTCTTCATTCAGGTTGGTCTGAAATACTCATTCTTCCATAAATTGTTCCCCAATTTCCAGGAAAAGAGGATTTATCTGCTTCTTTTACTTTGCATGATTATATAATATACTTTTACTCTTTGTCACTGTAAACTCTCCCAGTTTTCATACCTGTGCCGGGCTGGCTACATACAGCAAACCACCGACGAAGTTATCTAGGCTGGGCATGAGGACTCTCAGGGCTTACCCTCAAAGCATCTAATCCAAAGTCCAGGCTGGGCTCAGGAATCTGTACCACTAAAAATACTGCCTACTTTAGCCAGGTTTGCCCCTTGGCTTATACAATATGTTATAAAATGTTAAGGAGGCTCTCTTCTTAGGTTACTGTAGTCTTATGTAAAATGTGTGTGTATGTTTTGAGGAGGTACAGGGGAGAATGTTTCATTGTGTTACACAGGAACCACCAGGCACTTATATATGGTGAATAAATTAACTCTTATTTATCCTTGAAGTTGAAAGTAACTTTTCCACCAAAAGAAATTTAAAATTCCCCTTCCATCTTCACAGCGTGGAGAATGCTGATTGTGGCAGACAATGAAGAGAGAATATAGACATGGACCAACGGACGAAGGAGGAGCAACTGGGTTGTAGGCAACCAGCATTTTGTGGTTTTAGAAAGACTAACCTTTGAAGAAATTAGTTGATAGAGAATGTAAGCCAAAAAGATTTCCTGCAAATGAAACAAGAAAAAGATACTCCAACTTAGATCTCCAAGAGATAATAGCATCATAGGACATATGCAAAGGGCAAAATCTCAACAGAGAGGACTCAACAGACAGACTCAAGAACAGAGCCTTTGTAAGACCCTGCTGCTAAATTTAATGTCCTTCATCATGGGCTCTTCAAAGGCAGGTAGATTCTAATCTTCTTGACGGTGTCTTGCCGCCCTTAGCATCCCTCCCCACAATCCCACACCCACCCTCCAGCTCTGAGCCTCAGCTGTCATCTCCCTGGGTCTGAAATCCAATGAAGTCAGAGTGACTGTAGGGAATGCATGGGTGCAGTGAAAAAGGTTGCTCTACTGGGAAGGGCTGAGAATGCTGGTCCTAAGCTAGGGTGACGCTAGTCCTTACATTCAGGGACAGGAAGAGTCATGAATTTCCAGGGTAGGCAAGTGGGTTACAGAAAGAGGCTGCCTTAGAATACCCAGCTTCCCAGGTGAAATTTTACTGGAGGAGTCAGTTGAGGGTCTATATTTGACAGCAGAAATCATTTGAAACGTTTTCCTAGATTGGATATTTTCCAATGCAATAAGGAGGGTCCTTAACCAGATGAAGATAAGCAGGGGTCTGTGATAAACTTCAAGTGGTCTGTAAAACCTCTGAAATCATAGTCAAAATTGTGTCTGGGGTCCATACCTTTTATCAGAATCTCAGATAAATATATGGCACACAAAAAGCTAAGAGTCACTTAACAGTGACTTGCAGTGGCAACACCTCCACCCAGCCCCCCCAGCAGCCTCAGCCTCATCAGTATCACATCATTGCTGGGAATATTGTCTCTTCCAGCACACTCTCCTGAAAAATTTACCCTATTGGGAAGACCTTCCTAAATTTACCCTATCAGGAAGACCTTCTCTAGGAAACCTAGAGACCATGAAAGAAAGTGCTGACAGATTTTATTATATAAAACAGAAAATTTTTTATACAGAACAAAACACTATAAACAAAGCAAAAAGCCAGGCGTGGTGGCTTACGCCTGTAATCCCAGCACTCTGGAAGGCTGAGGTGGGCGGATCACCTGAGGTCAGAAGTTCAAGACCAGCCTGGCCATGGTGAAACCCTGTCTCTACTAAAAATACAAAAAATTAGCTGGGTGTGGTGGTGCACACCTGTAATCCCAGCTACTCGGGAGGCTGAGGCAGGAGAATTGCTTGAACCCGAGAAGCAGTGAGCCAAGATCGCACCATTGCACTCCAGCCTGGGCAACAAGAGTGAAACTCCGTCTCAAAAAAGAAAAAAAAAAGCAAATGATAGGCTAATAAAAATATTTATAATTGACATGGACAAAAGTTAATATTCTTAATATACAAAGAATAAAGTTTTAAAATGGAAAAAGACCAGAAGAGTTAATTTATAGGCAAGGCTATTAAAACAGATAACATTTAAGAAGACCTACATACCTCCCTAGTGATCAGATACATACAAATTAAAACAGAGTCACATTTCCCAGCAATTAGATTGGAAAAATGAAGATCAATAATGTCTAACGTCTAGTCATAAACTGCTGTGGGAATGTAAACTGGTATAATCTTTTTAGAGAGAAATTGAATGTTACTAATACAATTTCAAATGCATACAAATTTTAATCCAGAAATTTCACTTAGAGGAACTTATTCCCTGGAAAAGTCATGCAAGTGTGTACAGTATTTACTTAGTTAATGTAATAGTAAAAATCTGAAGGCAACATAAATATTAACTAATAGTAGAATGAGACAAACTATGGAATATTATGCAGCCCTTAAGAAAGAATGATGTCAATCTGTAGGTATCGGTGTGGCAGAAGGCCCATAATATATTACTGAGTAAAGAAAAGAAATTATGCCATATATGACATGACTTTTTATCTTTATTATAAACTACAAAACAATGTGTATATGCATTAATGTTCATGAATACACATTTCCTATCAGCATAGAAAATGTTCTGAAAAAATGCATATTTATCTATGAATAGTAGTTTCCCCTGTGATGTTGGGGAATCATTTGTAAAATCAGTTTTCACGGTGTTATTGAATTTTCAACTTCTGTATACTACTTTTTGTAATTAAAAATATAACTAGGTTGGGCACGGTGGCTCATGCCTATAATCCCAGCACTTTGGGAGGCTGAGGCAGGCAGATCACCTGAGGTTAGGTGTTTGAGACCAGCCTGGTCAACATGGTGAAACCCCGTCTCTAGTAAAAATACAAAAATTAGCTGGGCGTGGTGGCAGGCACCTGTAATCCAAGCTACTTGGGAGGCTGAGGCAGGAGAATCACTTATACCCAGGAGGCAGAAGTTGCAGTGAGCTGAGATTGTGCCACTGCACTCCAATCTAGGCAACAGAGCGAGACTCCGTCTCAAAAAAAAAAAAAAAAAAAAAAAAAAAATATATATATATATATATATATATATATATAATTTAAAAATATAAAAACATATATATATATATATATATAAAACTAAAACACTCTCTTTAGGAGTCCATCACAACCCATTTGTAATATAGCTTTTATTAATGCTATCTTGACCCAGTTTTGAGGCACCCTGGCCAGAGGCTGATTAGTTCCCCTTTTTGAGTAGCCAGTTAAATCCACACCCCTACATGGCCATACTTATTGGGCTCTCACACTCCTGGGCCAATAAATACCAGTCCTAATTACCCCAAGGCCAAGGAGCAGTCAACCATGGACAATCCCACATACTGTGCTCTGTTCTTCCCAGGGAACTGTGAATAGAACCTTTTGTACCACTCTGTCTTGCTTCTCTCTCTTGATCTGCATCTGGCCTCCCAATTCCTCACCCAGGGTAACATGGTTGAAATACTAGTAAAACAAGCTCAGCCATGTTTTCACAGAATACTCCATGGTAGATGGCCAGAGCTCATGGAATGACCTCCAGAACCACCCCATTTCATCTGCCTTTGCCTAGCACGTTTCCTTGGCTCACACCCTGCTGACCTATGCATGGGTTCCTACCCCTGATGCACCTTTGGCTCTATTCCTTGGCTTCTGACTTTGCCTCTCCCATCTGGTCCAGCATCTTGGAGTGGTCATTGCCTGATTGCCTGCTGTCTGGCATAGCTCCCACCAAACAGGGCCCAGCTTCATGGGCAGTCCTCTAGCAAACATGACCATAAAGCACAGAAACAGCCAAAACCCAACATGGTCAGACCTGGACTGAAGTTGAGGTCTGAAACCAGGCAGATTGTCAGGAGTTTAGAAACAGGGAAACCAGCAACTGCCTTTCCCAAGCAGTACTGTAAGCAGAGGCAGGGGTGTGGGTGGACACTGGAGGCTGAGACAAGCAGGCTATTGGGAGCCAGATCGATACATCGAAGGGCAAAGCAAGGTAGAGGCCAAAAGGGCAAGTTGAAGGTCAGAGCTGAGCGCATCTGCAGAGGAGGTGGCAGGTAAAGAAGGACACTGAACATGACTTCAAGAGGCTAGGTCTGCATTCTGCCTCTGCTGTTTGGTAGATCACAGCCTCAGGCATTTGCATTTTTTAAGCCCCAATGTCCTCATCTGCAAAACTAGACATAATGCTATATACTAAGCCCCATGTCCCCACCACTCCCCCAACAATCTGAGATCTAGAAGGTGAGAGGGCAGCAAGTGGAAGGACAATTGAGAGTCTCCTTGTGGAAGATGCCTTGATTCAGAGGTGGAAGCTTCTTACTAATGTGTCTCTGCTCTGGCCTTCTAAAGTCTTCTGGGCAGAACTCAGGATGTGGTAGTAATTGACCAGAGATGGAAAGAACCTAACAGGAGATTCTTATACTGGGTTGACCAAATTCTGTACCTTTTATCTGCCCTCATGTTGCAATTCTAGTCTCCACAGACCCTCAAATTCTTTTTTTTTTTTTTTTAGATGAAGTCTTGTTCTGTCACCAAGGCTGGAGTGCAATGGCACAATCTCAGCTCACTGCAACCTCTGCCTCCCAGGTTCAAGCGATTCTCCTGCCTCAGCCTCCCGAGGAGCTGGGATAACAGGTGCCCGCCACCTTGCCTGGCTAATTTTTGTATTTTCAGTAGGGATGGGGTTTCACCATGTTGACCAGGCTGGTCTTGAACTCCTGACCTCAGATAATCAACCTGCCTCAGCCTCCCAAAGTGCTGGGATTACAGGCATGAGCAACCACGCCCGGCCAGAGCCTCAAATTCTATGTGCCCCCCAGTTCCCCTGTCCCATCTAAGTACAAAATTTCCTCTCATCCCTGTTTGAGGCTGCTAAGTTAAGAACAACACATCTGTGTCCAAATCTTCAGGCAAGACATGAACTCCCAAAGCTACCTCAGTGCAGCCCCCTCTTGTTCACCAATTCTTCAGAAATCTCAAACAATTTCCATTATTGGCAGACATGGGGTTTCCTTGTTGCGTTCCGCTTTCATACAACTGGAATTTGTAGACAAGAAAAATACAGCCGTTACGCAGCACTAACTGGGCTTTTATGTCACTGCACAGGCAGGAGACTGGCGTGGAATGCCACACACCTCCTTATCACGGCTTGCTTGCTGGGATCTCTATTCGTCTTATGCATTGTGTATCTCGGAATTTTCCAAGATGTGCTGGAGAGTCATTTTGCTTACTCTGAGAATTATGCAAAAGGCTATTCTTTTTCTTGAGCAAGAAATCATAAGCACTCCAGAACACTTTTGACTCAGGCAGACCCGTGGGGTGGGTTTTCCATGAAAAGCAAAAGGAATGAATTGACATCAACTATGTTAACTATCCCTCCCCGAAGGGTGGCAGCTCCCTGGTCCAACCCAAACATGAAAGCCATTCTGAAATAACAAGGCTTTAAAAACTCACAGTGGACCTCAGTTCTTTTAGCTTCACGGCTCCATTATGTATTGGCTGAGAGAGCTGTAATCATTAGTCGCCTATTTTTTTCAATTAAAATAATTAAGCCAATGTAGTGTTCATGAGAGTACTAGATTTGGCAGCCTGGGGAGCCAAGCCCTCTGTTTTTCAGCACCGGGGTTCAGGAGGAACTGGAGCTGTGTACCCACATTGGGACTAGCCTCTTGTAAGCAGAGAGCCAGAGAAGATATTTCACAGGTGGGAAGAGGAGCAAAGGCCTTTGTGTTGGAGATAGCCCTGGGCCTTTCTGCTAAGAGAGGGTGTTTTGATTCTCTAACCCTTTTGGCACCAGAGACTGGTTACATGGAAAAGAATTTTTTCCTGGACCAGGGTGGGGGATGGGGATGGTTTCAGGATAACTCAAGTGCATTACATTTATTGTGCACTTTATTGCTATTATTATTACATTGTAATATATAATGAAATAATTATACAACTCACCATACTGTAGAATCAGTGGGAGCCCTGAGCTTGTTTTCCTGCAACTAGATGGTTCCATCTGGGCGTGATGGGAGACAGTGACAGATTCTCAGGCATTAGATTCTCATAAGGAGAATGCAACCTAGATCCCTCCCATATGCAGTTCACAGTAGGGTTCATGCTCCTAAGAGAATTGAATGCCCTGCTGATCTGACAGGAGGTGGAGCTCAGGTGGTAATGCTTGCTTGCCCGCCACTCACCTCCTGCTGTGTGACCTGGTTCCTAACCAGCCACTGACCCAGTCTGTGGCCCAGGGGTTGGGGACCCCTGGTCTAGACACTTGGAGGGCACCCGAAAGGCCTGCATTGCACTGTGCTACTTTGAAGCCTCAGGTACCTATGAGTGGGTGCTCAGACTGATTTGCCTCCTAATTTATCAGGCAACCACAGTAGCTGCAAGTTCATCCTGTGGGTGTTAAGTGAGTTTGCTCATATCCTTTCTGTAAGTATGCAGGCCATACTAGGAGGAAGATGATGATGATGAGGGTGGGGGTAATGAACAGATTGGAGCACTCCAGGGGAGGGCTTCCTGGGACAAAGGCAACATTTGTCAGCTTCCGAAGGGAGGGGTCACCTCTGTTGAGTAACCTCCTACTTCCACCACTCAGGGGATTAATGTTTCTGTCCCAAAAGTGGGCTCAGGGAAGCTGGCCTCTGCCCTGTGGGTCTCCAGCAGACCTGCCCTCCCCACTACATCTTCCAAAGCTCTGCTGTGGAACTGCAGCAGGTGGGCGTTTGTCCTACAGAGATATTAACAGCATGCAATACAAGCCCAGCCTCATTCTTCACCTAGTTTGCCCCTATTTAACTGTAGATCAGACCTTCATTGTCCTTCCTGGGCCCGCTTCTAACTCTACCGAGCCTCTGTTTTCATTGGCTTAATCTAAGTCATAACCTTTTTGGATACTAAGGTTAAAAGGACCTGTCAAGGCCTCTGATTCCTCCCCTCCCAGTATTCCATTCGTGTTCCTTCCTCTTTCCATTCCCAATGCTATAGAGCAGACTGTCACGATACAGGGCAGAAAGCCAGTCTTTTTACCGTCCTTACTTCAGGCAGTCTCTCACTGGCTGTTTCTAAGGCTTCATCTTGGATTTGCTGAGGCTCTTTACCTAGATCTGCATGGTCCAAAACAGTAGTCACTAGCCACATGTGTGAATTTTTATTTTTTTATTTTTTTGAGACAGAGTCTCTGTCCCCCAGGCTGGTGTGCAGTGGCATGATCTCGACTTCACTGCAATCTCCATCCTCCAGGTTCAAGCAATTCTCCTGCCTCAGACTCCCAAGTGGCTGGGATTACAGGCATGTACCACCATGCCCAGCTAATTTTTTGTGTGTTTTTGGTAGAGACGGGGTTTCACCATGTTGGCTACTTTGGTCTCGAACTCCTGACCTCAGATGATCTGCCTGCCTCGGCCTCCCAAAGTGCTGGGATTACAGGTGTGAGCCACTGTGCCTGGCTATGTATGACTATTTAAATTGAAATGAATTACAATTAAATAAAAGTAAACGTGCTCAATAGCCACTTGTGGCTAATAGTCACCATATTGGATGCAAAGATATGAAACAGTTCTGTCATGGAATGTTCTCCTTTAGACTCTCTATCTTAACTTTTCTTCTGGCTCCAGACTTCCCTCAACACAAGTACCCATTCCTTTTCAATAAACCAAGAAATACTACCCCCAACAACCCATAATTTCTTTTTGTCTAAGTCTGTTCCCTAGATGAGATTCTACCCATCTCTGCATAAGGAAAGCTCATAAGATGGTTTTTCTTACACTAAAGGACCGACTCTCTCCTTCTGGTCAGAATTGCACCTTTCTGCTAGAATGTTGAAGCATTGGAGTGATTTCTGTTTTTCTTTTTGGGGTGGGGAGCAAGCCATTCCCCAGGTGGGTCAGCAGGCCAATGGCCAAGGAAAATCTAAAGATTGGGGATGGCTGAGCAGTCTAGAAGGTTTTGTGTGTAGACACTGATGATCAAATCTGGCCTGATCAGAACCAGGTACTTGGGCAAAGCAGGAAAGACCATATCTAAAAGATTTGTAGGCTGAGAGTGGGAAGTGAACAGAGAGATGAGTAAGTCTAACTCTCATTTGAAAAGAACCCTGAACTGGTTAAACAACCTGCACAGTTAATAATGAAAGGTCTCAAATTTGTGTCATGCCAAAATGTGGGTACACAGATTGGTACAGGAATGGAATACAAGTAAATTGAAGAAAGAGGAAAAAAATAAAGCCATTATCAGTGAAATAAGCACATTCCAGAAAAAGTTTACTCAAGAATGAAATTATTTGAAATAAAATTTCATTTTCCTTTTGATTTCCAGCATGAAGTAGAAAAGTTACCACTAACACTGCAGCAAGAGTTAAAGTATATGAGTGTGTGTCTGTATTTCAACCAGGAAAAAAATCCAATATGTTTCATTAAATACTAAGAACAATACTCAGTTTGAAAACAATACATTATTCTACTCAAAATGAAAGCATGGATAGGCACATAGTAAGCAATCGATAAGTACTTGCTGATTGATTGGAAATAAATCACAAAATAAAAATACAAATTAGGAGTCCATGCTTCTGCTGATCGTGCTGTCCCCAAACTAATGAGTTGTTTATTTCACTGGCAATGACTTCTCCTTAAGAGTCGTTAGGACAAAATGGTGCTTGTTGAGGCTGGGCATGTGCTCATCAGTGTTAAAGATTAGTCTGTATCACAAGTGGTGGTAGCTACAGAGACAAGAGGGCAGGCACAAAATTTAAATTCCTTTCATTTTATAGTAAATTGTGACTTAATTCACCACCAGTCCCTTAAATGAGGGATTCTGCGATTGGCATTTCAGTAAGTGGAGGAGAGCTGTACCACACTTGGTAGCTTGGGGCAAGCTACCAAGTCATGCGTGTGAGTGGCAAAGAAAGAGGCACTTCCTGGTTAGAAATTTCAAACCAGATAGTCTGTGAGCAGGAGCTGGGAATACTCATACTGAATGTAGCCTGTGCACAATGATCATGTTGCCAATAACAACAACTATTGCAGTGGGCATTTATTATGTTTGCTTCCAAATATTTATTTCTCCTTCTTCTGATGAAAGGAACCTCAGAGATTGCTTGGCTGGGATGGGGAATGATGCTTCTCTTCCCACCTCTAATATTAGAAAAAATGAAGGCTTAGTAGCCATAACACAGAGACCCCAAAATGTAACACCTCAAACAAGATAAAAGGTTAGTTGTCTTAACAACCCAGAGCCGGTAGATAGGTTCTGCTCCACATAGTCACGCAGGGACCTAGGCTATGGGGGAAGCTCTGCCATCCTGAACACATGGTTCCATGGTTGTCCCAGGCTTTGCCATTTCTGTCCAGCAGAAAGGAAATAGAGCATGGAAGAGTGCCCACTCTGTGTCTTTAGGTCCAGGCCTGTAAACAGCTGTATATTACTTTAACTCAAATTCCATTGGCGAGAACTTCATCTCGTGACTACACTTGGCTGCAAGGGAGGCTGGGACTTGTAGTTTCTAGCCAAGCTCATGCCCCAAGTGCTCCAGGTAAATTCTAGTTAAGAGGTGGACATATAACCCAAACTAAGGTAAAAGATACTCTTCCTCAAAATTTGAATCTTGGGCAGAATGGCAAAAAGGCTGAACAAAGTTGGAGCTACCCCATCCCAGTGGCAGCATCTTGAAGCTATCCTCCATTGATTTCTTCCTTCTAGACTCCTGAAACTGCCCTGATTCCTGTTGTCTCGTTTTTCACTTTTCTCCATGGCAAGGCTATAAGTACCATCTCTGCATAAGCTAACCAAAGTTGGTGTTTGTTGCTTGCCACAAAGATATGTTTAACTGATACTGTTATGGTAGATAGCTACAGTAGATAGCTAGTCAGACATGAGCAGGGCAGGAGAGGCCCCCAACCAGGAATGTCAGGCAACCATCAGGTGAAGGTCAAGTGGTTGTTAAACTGCTTCTCTAAAATAATAATTGGTCACAGCACCAGGGAAAGGCAGTCTCCCAATAGATAGAAAAACCTGAAAGTGGTCATCAGCTTCCCAATAAGCTCTCAGGAATTGGGTGAGTGGGCTCTCAAGCATGTGCACTAAGAGGAAAAATGATGGAGTTTAACTGGCACATGACCTTCTAGGAACATTCTAACTGGTAAGGGAGGAACTGGTAAGGGGAGAACGCCTCAAATGAGCATGCATACAACTCCAGTAAATATACTGTGCATGCTCCCCTCCCAAGTACTGGCAGGCCACTGCACATGCGGACAGCCCACCCCAAGAGAAGAACCAGAGGAGAAGGGACGCAATCCCCCAGAAGCATGCTAACATATAACACCCGAAGTCAAAGGTCAAACCACGTACTTGATTTCTCAGTTCACCCACTTGGCCCTCTTCCAAGTGTACTTTACTTCCTTTCGTTGCTGTTCTAAACTTTTTAATAAACTTTCACTCCTGCTCTAAAACTTGCCTTGGTCTCTCATTCTGCCTTATGCCCCTCAGTCAAATGCTTTCTTCTGAGGAGGCCAGAACTGAGGTTGCTACAGACCCACGTGGATTCGCCACCAGTAACAATACAACTATCTCTCAGTACTGCCTATTGTTTAACTCAATAACAAATATATCTTGTGTATTTACCATGTGCCAGACAATGTGTAGGGACTGAGATACATCTATGAATAAAACAGTTACTACCCTGCCTTCCTTGTGTCTGTTTCACAGCCACCTCTTCCGATTTCCAGCCAGTGAAACTCCTACTGTAGGGCTCTCGCCTCTGTTTCCTTGGTACAGACCTAAAGCTCCAAGACAGGCCCAGTCAGTTTCCCACAAGGGCAAGTGCACAGTGAGGAGACTACCAATACCGCTTGAGCTTTCCTTGGGCATTCTCACTTTTATTTTGTCTTGTTTTTATGTTTGCAATATGTAAATTAATTACCAGTGCATCTTGCAAGTGGGTTATGCCCAGCCACAATTCAACTGTTACTCTGCAGCCTTGACAATTCCACCAGCTATAGGCATAACTGTGGTGACAAGTTGGAATTTGCATATTAGCAGCCATCAGTATACTGCTTTACCGTGAACCCAAATGAGAATTCCAGCCCCCTCCAGGCTGTTATTACAGGCACCCAATACCACAAGCACATTCAAAAACAGATGCCTTCATTAAGGTCTCCCCTTTACCTCATTGTTATGCAAATCACCCAAATGAAGGAGTCTAAAAAGTGCTGGAGAGGTGATGGAAAAGCATCTTAAGTAAGTAACAAGTCAATGTTCCGGGCATTCCTTGATTAATTGGGAGTTATAGCAAAATACACCAGGCTTTAGCCAATGGGAACTTGCTGATAACAAATTACCTTTGAATACCCTCCAGTAATGTGAGAAACTCCCTTTTGCTACTTATGTAAATTCCCTGTGGGTTTTTTCCCCCCACTTTTCCTTCAGGAGCAGAGGTGGAAGGGAAGAAGTGGGGAGGGGAAGGCGTGGCCAGCTGCAAATATTCAAGCTAATTAGCCAAGGGCAGTGGTGCAGGCTTCTGGGCTGTGTCAGGACAGGGTGGACCCGCATGCTTAATAATAGCAGCCTAATGGGTTCCACCCCTAAAAGATGTATGATGGAAAGATGGCATGAATAATTCAGCAAGCATGAGGTCCCGAACCCACAGTTTCTCTGATAAAGTGGAAAGCCACAAGCCTCAGGTACCAAGTTTCAAACCCATCAGGGCTTAATCTCCTTCTTTCAGAGCTTTGTAACTAAGTGCTGTGTAGGTGTGAAAAGCCTTATTACCATGTAATTTTGTTGGGAACAGATTTCCAAGTACCTGCTTTACTTTACATTCACATACACAAAAAAGATCAAAATGCATTTTATTTCCTAACAATAGCCAATTTGGCTATAATTATAGTAAAATACCAAATTTTAAGGCATGGCGCCCAAGTGACTCCCCACGTCACTCCCCTCCATACATGAATATCTTCTTATTTATTGCCTTTCCCATAATGAACTTTGAGATAAACAACAGAAAAAGTAATTTGTTTTTTGACAATGCTGAACCTTTGAATAGAGAAAATCACACAGTTGAACACAAGAGTGCAGTCCTGTGTGGTAAGTGGTATCCATGGCAACCAATAGATTTTTATGCTAAGTCTGGCCTTTAAAAACATTTCACGTTTACCACTGAGAAAAAGATGGCCTTGATTTAAAAATGATACAACAAGTACCTCGAATGGGCATGCTTTCTGCTCTGCGCTGCAAACACAATTAAGAGGCATCTCTTCAGCACCAGATCACCTCAATAGTATCTGTGTCATCCTTGACGTACATCGTGGCCGGCTTGGAAAAAGAAAAGGTTGGATGTTTTGTACTCTGCGGCGGGGGCCAAGGTAGTTTGTTTTTCACTTGTTCTCCTTGTATTTAACACCACGAGTAAAAAATAGGGAGTAAAAATAGCATGTTGGCCTCTTATCTTAGTCTGTGATCATGGTGACAGTGAAAATATTATGGCCTGCTTCTCTTGGGAGCAACTCCAATCACACTGGCTTATTATAACTTGAAATAACGGATGGAGAAATACCTTCCATACCAGCTTCAGACTGAGCACCCTAAATTAGTTTCTGTTCACATTTAGAAAGTTGGGTGCCAAAAATGGAATGCAGTTGTGGCAAAGAGAGGTTGTTGCTTTAATGGTATCTTTGAATAAAATGAGAAAGGAGAAGCCCCCTTTTTCTTTTAAAAAGAAAAAGAAAGAGAGAGACTTGATCTATGCTGCATCAAAGGAAGGAAATGAAATTAATGTCCTCGAAAGGAGTTTGTTTTGCTGAGCTGTTTTTCAGTTCTTTGATAGCTTCCTTTCTAAGGTGGCATTTCTGTTTCCTTTTGCAAAGAGTGTTATATTTATTCCTCAAAATGAGATTATTTTGGCCACATCAAGTGTTAGAGAAACTCCTCAATGTACTTCCTCTGTAGATATTTTTCAGCTGGAGTGCTTCTGCAGTCAATTGGTATAATGGGCTGAACTACATCCTCCCCAAATTCCCCCCCAGAGCCCTAACTCCCACTACTTCAATGTGACTGTATTTGGAGACAGGACATTTAAGGGAGTGAATATGTTAAAATGAGGCCATTAGGGTGGGCCCTAATCCAATCTGACTGGAGTCATAAGAAGAGAAAATTTGAATGCACAGAGACAGCAGGGATGTGTGTGTGCACAGAGGAAAGACCATGTGAGGACGCAGTGAGAAGGCGGCCGTCTGCAAGCCAATGAATGAGGCCTCAGAAGAAATCCCATCTGCCAACACCTTGATCTTGGACTTCCAGTCTCCAGAACTGTGAGAAGATAAATTCCTGTTGTGTAAGCCACCCGGTCTGTAGAATTTTGTTATGGCAACCTGGGCAAACTAATACAACTGGGGTGGGAGCGGGATGTCCCTTTACAGAAAAGACAGCTTTTCAGAAGGTGGGTTCGTCAGGACACCAGGGAAGGGAGCTCAAGTTTAAAGAGAGAAAGCATTCGGCTGCTCTGTCTTCCCTAAGGTATGGTTTTTTGGGATATGGGTCTATTTCATAAACACCTCTCCTGCCTCCTCTGACTCACCCATCCATAATTGTCAGTGGCAAATGGGACCGATTTACAACTCCTCACTGTTGGTTTTGATGAATCATGGATAATTTCTGAGTCGTCAACATTTTATAAAGAGGAAAGTTAACATTTCCTTCATACCACCAAATACCTGAGAGATGACATAGACCCAGGAGGGTGGTGATGCCAAAAAGGAATGGGGAGGGAGGAGGTGCTGCACTTGGTCCTCACATCAATAAGCTTTACTTGATGCCTGGGACTTGGGCCCAGGACCACACATCAGCCACCTGCCCAAAGGCACAAGCCATTCATCTTTCCGAGATAATTTTCTCCCTTCAGCCCACAGAGAGCTCTGGGCTATCTTTGGCCAGGGAAAGAAAGTTGACTGTTTCACTCAGTAAAACATAAATCACTCTCTTTAGGCCTTGTTAACTTTTACTTATAAACTGTTTTAATGTAGAACTGTCAGGACCCTGTGAAAATAATGGGTGGTGACAGGTTTAGGATTAAAATCTTCTCAGGTAGTTAGGATGGTGAGTTAGGTTATAAATTGTTTTTAAAGAGCTGAGGCGTGGACTATGGGCTTCATATGCTTACTTCAAATGGACACCAATGAGCCATCTGGGATAAGTATATGCTAGTAATACATCTTAATTATTTGTCAGCAAAGCCATCTTAATAAGAGATGTCTTTCATTTTGATTAAAATGACCCTTGGTAATCTCTAAAGTGTCTTGACTGAAAAAACTCCATTGAAAGGGAGAAGCTGAGTCTTCCAGGGCTTGGGATTTTATGTCTCAAGCAAGGAGAACTGACTCAGAAAAATGGATCAACCAATGTAAAGAAATAGCTCAAGTGTCCAATTATATGGATGTGTCAGTAACTCTCAGATGATCTTATTTGCTTCAGTGCCAGGGCATCAGTAGGCTCATGATTTCTCTCAAAGCTGATCCTATCTCAGGGCTTGCTGGACAGGCATGGCTGTGTAACCACAGGGAAGCAGGGTTCGAGAAAGGGCCAGGACATGCTATTATACCCCAGAGAGGAGGCAGGTGCTACTGAGCATCATTTGTGGAATATGGAAGTTCAATGGGTTGGCAAAGCAAACAGCAGCCATCTCTAGCCTTAGGGAAGTAAATGGTGTTCTCAGGAGACTAAGAAGAATGGATTTCCATCATGTGAATGAAGCTCAAATGGGAATCTGGGCAAGACTGGGCTGAGTCCTGGGTTGAGAGAGGAGCCGACCTGTACTCTTCAGAGCTCAGGCCCAGGAGTTCGATGATCCAGTTCCTCCCAGCAAGCACTTCTCAGTGCTTGGGGAACACACAGGGGCATGATAGTCACACAGAGGCACCCCTGAGAGGTCAGACTCCCAGGACTATTCATTCATTCATTCATTCATTCATTCATTCTTTAACAGTTATTGTATCCCTACTCTGTGCCAGCACGAATCAAAGGCCTGGGGTACTTCCATGAACAAAACCAACTAAAATCCATCTCCGCATGAATTTACATTCCAGGGGGGTCAGTTACTCCATATCAAGCAAGTCTCATCCATCCGATGGGACCAAGGCTACTTACATGGTTTGTTCCTTGACACCAGAGCAGCCTGGGAAGGGCAGCCGCAGGCATCTGGGAAAGCTCCTGCCAGGAACTGAGCCAGGGGGTTGGAGAGCCTTTCTGTGGCATGGAGAAGCTCTACAATTCAATAACAATTCACTAAGATGTTTCTGACTTTTAAAACATGTAACTATAGTTACAGGGCTTTGGAGAACCATCTGCTAGACTTTAATTTGCTTCTTAGGATTGAGAGGATCATAAATCATGCAATAACACATTCAGGAATATTCTTTCCTCCATATTTGCAGCTTAAAAAAACCAAATGCAGTAGCATCAACCTACCTGAGCATTCTGTTCTTGAGGAATTTCTCTCCCATGACCTCTCATGGATGGTCAGGAACAAAATGGAACCTCACTTGTATACTGTACAGATTTACTAATGTGATACACTATATGCAAATATAAAATAATAAAAATATTAAGAATTTTAAATATTTTTTTCACTATTAAATTTATAAGACTATTTCTATGTGATTCTAAAGGGTCATTAGCAGATGCCCAGACCCACAATTGAAGGACCTACAGGATGAACATCTAAAGCCCACAGGGAAAATTATGTAAGAAAGATTAGGCTTGCTAGTCCACTGTCATTATAAAATGCACTTATGGTTGTATTTCTAATAATCAAATCCTCCCCTTAGTAAACACTTGTTAAGCACCTATATTGTGACAAGCCCAGTTCACCTCTAGGAGCCCCAAATTTAGTGAGGGAGAAACACGTAAGCACAGAAATTTCATGAAATATCTTATACTCTAAAGAAGTACACTTCAAGGTACTATGGATGTACAAAAATGGAAATCCTTAACTTTGCCTGGCACTTGCTTCCCAGAGGACAGGCCATTTTACTTCTTCGAGAAATTCCCAGCAACCGCAAACAGCATGTGTAAAAGTCAGAAGGAAAAGAAAGAACCTGGAACATTCTGGCAACTGAAGGCATATGAGCAAGGCTGGAGCCCAGGGTTCATATGAAAGAGTGATGAAAGAAGAGGATGAAAATATTGACAAAGGCAGATTATGGCGTGTATTTTCTACTATGCTAGGAGATTTGGACATGATCCTAAAGATAACAAGCAGTCTTTGAAGGAAAGCAACTTTCTGCTGACTCATCCGTGCTTGTTGACTCCATCCTCTTTGAAACAATGGTGTTCCAAGATGGTGCGCTTTTGTGCCCATGGCACAGAGGGAAGCTAATGTATCCATTTGAGGATCAAGTCTTGACCGCAGCTTCATGAACCCATGCCTTTAGCAACTTCTTTAACTTGGAAAAATAATGCAGTGATCTAGGAAAGAAGGGGCCTTATAGGTAAAAGAGTCAAATGAGATATGGTCCTGAGTTAGAAGCTTGAAATCCAAGGTCTGGGAAGGCTAGGTCAGTCAGGACTTTCTGACCTCAGAGATCTGAGATTCCTGAATCAGGTCCATTGATTCAGACTATGTCTCTTAGGAAAGTCACTAAACCAAACACTATAAAATTTGCAGGACAAAAGCTTGGGATGGGAGAGGCATTCAACTAATACATTCTGGTTTATTTTTAAGATATATTTATATCTGCCTCTTGGTACTTTAAGAAAAAGTCATATAAAGAATAATGTCCAGGAAATATTTTTCTTTAGATCTTGCCCAAACTACTTTCAGATACGATGAGGTGACAATCTGCCTTAACAAGCCTGGAAATGAGGAGTAAATGCATCGATATCATTGGAGAATTTTGAAATCCTTTCTTTAAATGGCACTTATTTGTTTTAAGGCATCGATGGGATGAAATTCAGCAAATTAAACTTGCCTTTCAATGTGGAGAAGATTGGAGTCTGTTAACTGAATATTTCTACTTGGACTTTCTCTTGTAGTTTTACTTCAAGCATCAATTAATTGCTCTGGGTGCTTTACACTTTTCTTTAACTGCCATTTTCTGACTTCCATGGAGGTATTTCAGCCAACTAATACTTCTGTGGAGAAAGATGTTGGTAGATTGCAAAGGCCCTGTCAGTTCTCTCTATTCCATTCTGGGCTCTGACAGTGTCTTGATTCGTAGGGTGGGACAAAGCACTTAACCTTCATGTCTCCAAAAGCCAATGATGAATTCTGTCCCATTTACACTGTTTATTAACAGATGGGAGTTGCACATGATTAACTGCTCTGTTCCCTCACGTCTTTGACCTTAAGATGCCTGCCTCACCAAGGGGTGGCTATGCAGAGATATGTAGCATGCGGAGCCTCAGAGAAGGTGATCAGCAAATGATCGAGATAATAATGATAATGATGAAGCTCACTCGACTTCTCAACAAATGCCAGACTTCCCACAGGATAACACCTGTGCAAGACAAGCCCTGTCTACTTTGAAGGACTGGAGGAAGCTACGTAAAGTGGACAAGGAAAGTGGGGATTCACCAAAGCTGAACATAACTCTACCATTTTGTCTAGCAAAGCCACTAATAATGAGTATGTGGGTTCAAAACCAAATGGCAGGTCCGATCTTTGGTGAATTCTTAACGATCAAATGAACTAAGTGCTGTTGACACTTGGCTACCAAACTCAGTGGGGATTATTTGACCTGGCACAACTATCATTAATATCTCTGTAGTTGAGGAGAGAAGCAATGAAGTCATGAAGAGTTTGGCCCTCCATTTTCCACTCCCTTTATGAATCTGTTTGCCAGGTTGCTTGCAAAATCTTCCACATAGCAGCAAAGGATACTTCTTTATTCCCAGTGCCTGATCAGTTGAACTGCAATCCCCCTCTGTATTTGTATGTATCTCTGAATCCACATGAGATTACTGGGAAAGATTCAGGGCTTTCTCTATACCAGCGTTTTCCAAAATCTGTTCCACCCAATACTAGTTTCCCCTAGGTGTTCTTCAAATTAGGATTCCTTGATCAAGTAAGTTTGAAAAATGCTTTCAAAAAAATATGTTACTTTGTTCTGGGTATAAGTGATCAACAAGTCATTCAACACCCAAACTCTCTGGGTCATTGCATGAAGTAAGGTCAGAGAAAAGACAGAGAATGGATCATGTAAGTTCTTGTAGACCATGATAAGGACTTAGATTTCTTCCTGATTAGGACAGGCAGTCACTGGAACACTTTAAGCTGGGTTTACCCAGTGTGTAGTGGAATATTAAAATCTTTAGGAACTTCTGAGAGGAAGAAATCTGTAAAGCTTTGTTGAACCCAATTCTATGCCAACTTATTTGATGTCTAATACATATTAGCACGCTGGCAAACACAATTTTGAACTTTGGAGAAGGATTTTTTTTTTCTTGCTCATTTTGATGTCCTTGCCCATTATGCTTCTTTAACATTAAGATACTGCTACTGGCACAGGGCTTTCACTGCAAAATTGTTCCAGTTTTTAACCTTGACCACTTCCATTCCTCTTCTTTGTTCACAATGCTGTGTTATTGAATGCATTTATTTTTTCTTTTATGTTAGTTAGGGTAGGTTAAATGCTATAATTAGTAGACCTTAAAAATGTAAACTGCCATTGTGTATGACTGATACATAATCATTGCACATTATTTTTGGGGACAACCTCATGTCTCAGTACATGTATAAATTGTGCAAGTGTGAGAAATTTATTTCTTCTTGATATAATAATGATAAAAGGCAGGTGAATAAGTCAGTAGGTATCCTTCTCCACATAGTTATTTAGGGACCCAGGGCGATGGAAGCTTTGCCATTTTCTTTTTTCTTTTCTTTCTCTTCTTCCTTTCTTTTTTTTTTTTTTTTCTGTCGCCCGGGCTGGAGTACAGTGGCGCAATCTTGGCTCACTGCAACCTCTGCGTCCACGGTTCAAGCAATTCTCTGCTTCAGCCTCCTGAGTAGCTGGGACTACAGATGCCTGCCACCATGCCCAGCTAATTTTTGTATTTTTAGTAGAGATAAGGTTTCACCACGTTGGCCAGGCTGGTCTTGATCTCCTGACCTCAGGTAATCCACTCTCCTCAGCCTCCCAAAGTGCTGGGATTACAGGCATGAGCCACGATGCTCGGCCAGCCATTTTCAATATGTGGTTTCCTGGGACTCATCTTCATTCTGCCCAGACAGAAAAGGAAGAGAATTTCATATGCTCGTGCATATAGGCGGTGGGGAGGGGGCATTCTGGAAGACATAAAACAATTCTGCTCACTTTTAGAGCTAGAAATAGTCACATGGCTTCATCTAGATGCAACGAGGTTAGGAAATGCGATCCCTGTCATTGGGAAGTAGCTCCCAATGACATTCTACATTACAGAGGGGCTGCATGAAGTCTGTTGGACAGCAACCCATTTCTCCCACAGACCTGCTATACTACCAGCTCTTTGAAGGAAAAATGAAAGTTTTAAAACATTCATTTTTTTTAGCTTCATAAATATATCATGGTGCTGGCATAAAAAAGATGTTTAATAACTTTCTTTAATTAAGCAGTAGTACATCTAAAACAAATATCTGAAACCAGGAGAATGAAAAAAGTTGTGGTGACCATCAGAAAACAGAACAAGGCAGTTCTCATGGTATTTTTGTTCCAAAAAGATAGGCATTTGCAGAGAAAGTGGTCAAATTTGAAATTTAATTTTTCCCTACCTAAAGAAGGCCTTAAGCAAAGCAGAGATGGATTTAATGATGGAGAAGAGATTTCCAGGGGTTTATCTGCAAGTGAGAAAAGTTCCTTCTACATTTCTTCATTGCATTTTTGGCCTGGAACCTCACAAAGCAGCCTAAATGCTGTCAAACATCTTCTGGGTCATAAATCATGACCAGAAGCATGGTGAGCGCTAAATCAATAGCGCTTCTAATTTTTCAAAAACTAGGAAGGTGCTTATGTAACCCTGCTGGGGAAAGGGAAGGCCATTGGCAGCTTGCCTTGTTTATCCTGAATTGGATTCACGCTTGGAGGCCTCTCTGCTTCCTGGAAACCCCTTTGCTCAGATGGCACTGGGGAAAATGCTGAAATCTGCAATCCTTGGACATCCAATTTCCCCATATTATCTTGTTCTAGCCATAGTTCATTCTGCAATTGGAACTGACTGAGGAGAGGTGTTTACAGTGTTGCACATTGTAGCATTGCTAACATTTTCTCTTCTGTAGGAGTGAGGAGGTGGGAGCTGGAAGAGAAAGAACATTTATCATATGGGACAATTTCCCTCCCAAATGTGATCTTCTTACCTTTTCAGAGAAATAAAACACTTCTGGCACCTATTTCCTAGGAAATTTAAATTCCTAACCCCTCACACTTCTATGATATAATCTTAAAGCAAAGACATCTGAGCAGAAACACAGCCTGTACTCCAGTCCTCGAAGCTTCTCGGTCTTGCCTGTTTATTATCTGCACCCAAAGTCTGCTGAATGCTCTGGGCTTTCTTTATCAGAAAAGTAGGGTGAAAATGTTTTTTTTCTTTGCAGCAGAACCAAGGTGGGGAATGGCACTGGCAGTTTAATACTCCAGATACCTGGTCTATTGTACCAGTTCAGCAAATTTCAACAGGGCTAGATATCAAAGCTGCCCTTCATGGACGAGGGAGAGTTAAGTGAGAGAGAGATAAAAAGATATGACATAAATGATCAAAGCAATAAAACTCACTGCTCAATTAGT
This sequence comes from Homo sapiens, assembly GCF_000001405.40. Classification (NCBI taxonomy): domain Eukaryota; kingdom Metazoa; phylum Chordata; class Mammalia; order Primates; family Hominidae; genus Homo; species Homo sapiens. The sequence goes on along the minus strand of NC_000004.12, from coordinate 151,983,336 downwards.
CAGTCAGAGAGGCAGAAGATAGAGGGAATTGGTGGTTGAGGAAAAGTGTATATTTGCTCTGCAGGGATCCTATTCATTTCACAGTGTCACCCTAACCTTCTTGAGCATGCCGCAGAATTCAGGCTGGTTGTTAATTTTATAGGAAGTCCACCTACCCGCCCACCCCTCTTTCCTATTACTTTAAAACATTAGCTGGTTAACCAAAGAATATTCATCATCTTATACAAGTTATGCCTCTCTGTTGTGATGGCTGTAAGAGCAAACAGCCTTGCTCCTACTCCAACTGTTGCCGATGATTTGAGTTTCGTTCATTTTCCCAAGATACCATTATAGGCGACACTGAAAGCAAAAGTCCTTTAGGGTCCATTTGGCAACTGCTAGAAATTTATATGAATACGTGTTTTTATAGGCTTAACATGCAATACACAAGTCCTGATATTAGGCATTTCTGACAGCTGCTCCTGGCTTGACCCTAGGAAATCCAGAACTAGGACAACATTAGATGTGCCCCAGAAAATTTGATCTGTCATCGAGAAAGAGCAATTTATATTGGGAGGAACTGGTGGAAGCTAATAACTACTTTTGAATTTTTCCAATCTGGTCTAAATTAGCCCTAGTACTTCCAAGGTCTAGCTACCTAATGAGAACAATTATTTCTGGATTTCAATTCAATTAAATTGAAGAAGTATTTTACTCATTTTTATTTGAAATTTTTTCATTATAAAAGTAATATAGCCCCATTATAGAGAATATGAAAAATATATTGGAAAAAAAGACTGCCATAATCCCCTGCCCTAATGAGATTGGTATATTAATCTTGGTGTAACTGAATAGTATTTAAGGAGCATCCACAGTGGTAGATGCAGTGTGGTGGAACAAACAATCACAGCAACAAAAGCATAAAGTAAGAGGTTTGCAGGCTGGCTGGGGAGGTCCTACATGGGCATGTCTCTCAAACATTAGGTTGGTGCAAAAGTAATTGTGGTTTTTGCCATTGACAGTAATAGTAAAGTAATAGTAAAGTGCAATTGTTAAGTCTCTCATTATCTTCAAATTTGAAGACTCTTGAAAATGACTTGCAAGACCTTCTATAATCTGAGCACACCCTTTCCTTGATTTATTTAGTCAAAAATTATTGATTGAACGTCTGCTTTTTCCCAGACACTATGTGGGTCACTACACATATATCCATGAATAATAGAACAACAATTTATTAAGTGCCATTGATAGTAATGGCAAAAATCGCAATTACTTTTGCACCAACCTAATAACAAAATGGGGTCATGCATGATGGTATGACTGGTTTAGGACTGTAGGGGCTTATGAATAAGGCCTAGTATACAAGCAGAGATCCACAAGGTCACAGGAAATGAGTAGCACCTTAAAGAGTGGACAGATGTGGTCAGGGGAGAGGCTGCTGGAGTCACAGACCAGGGCAGAACTAGGGAATGAATCCAGCATATTTGTAAGGAATAAAGAATTGTGGCTGATGGATTTAAATGGGGGAAGTCATATATCATATGGTAGAAAGTATCAGCCCTGGCAACATAGCCTGAAAAGTCCTTGTGAGATGGAACTATGTTATCTTTTTCCCCAGCACAGCATCTGTCACATAGTAGGCACTTAATAAATTGTTGTTCTATTATTCATGGATATATGTCTAGTGACGCACATAGTGTCTGGGAAAAAGGAGACGTTCAATCAATAATTTTTCACTAAATAAATCAAGGAAAGGATATGCTCAGATTATAGAAGGTCTTGCAAGTCATTTTCAAGAGTCTTCAAATTCGAAGATAATGAGAGACTTACAATTGCACTTTTTGAGTTAGGGTTGGGGGTGGGGAACAAATTGAGACTAGCAGTCTAGAAAAGTGAATGTGGTAGCAGAGTGCAGAAAGGATTGGACAGGGAAGGTTTGAAGGGAGGAAGAGCAGTTAGGACATTATTATAATAATTAAAAGAGGCCGGGCGTTGTGGCTCACGTCTGTAATTCCTGCACTTTGGAAGGTGGAGGCGGGCGGATTGCTTGAGGTCAAGAATTTGAGAACAGCCTGGCCAACATGGTGAAACCCTGTCTCTACTAAAAGAATACAAAAATTAGCTGGGCGTGGTGGTGGGCGCCTGTAATCCCAGCTACTCGGGAGGCTGTTGCATGGGAATCACTTGAACCTAGGAGGTGGAGGTTGTAGTGAGCCAAAATCACGCCACTGCACTCCAGCCTAGGTGATAGAGCGAGACTGTGTCTCAAAAAATAATAAATAAATAAAGAGAGAATGTGATGAGAAGCTGGTGGAAAGTAGAGGCAGGGAAAATAGGAAGAACTGGAGATAGTGAGGGAGGCAGAGATCTGAAGAATAATTGGATATTGGGCAGAGACGGTCTTGACGAAGGCAGAGTCAAAAACTCTACAAGTCTTGAGCTTGGAAATCTGGAGATACCAGTGAGGGAAACTGGGTAGTCAAAACGTGGATTCTCTTGGAGGAGAAGGGCTGATGCCATTTTAAACTTACTGGGTTCAGAGTGACACTGGCACATTGAGACCAAAACACTGGGCTACCAGACTGCAACTAGGTTGGCTCTAGTGGTACTCTCTAGCCCGGTGGTATTCATACATTTTCATCAAACACCCATCAGGAAAAAGTTTTGAGCATACAACCTATGGTTTATTGTTACTTATTATTGTTATGTATATGTACACTCTAATATATTAGATACATTACAAACTATACATAAAATTTAAATTAAAAAGGAAGGGAAGATTAAGTTGACAAAGACAATATTTTAAAATATTTTGCTAATGTGATGCTTCATTTGAGTAGCAAATGCTAATATTCCAGAGTGAGAAACTCTAAGGATGAAATGGATTGTGAATGGTAGTGATATAAATTCATATTTAAAATCTCTTTTTTAATAACATCAAAATATCTTGATTAGCTTCTTGACAGACCTTATTGTAATCTGCATGTTCTTTGCCTTGAATGTGGCTGAGGAAGAGCTTGTGTCTGGAGAAAGGGTGTCCGCAATGCTTTCTCTTACTGTTTGCTTGTGCTGCGTTATTAGTGGAGTGAACATGTGTCCCAGTTTGCTTAGGACCTTCTCAGTTCACACCTGTTTCCTGGCATAATGATTAATAGTTCCCCCTTTAACCTCAGAAGTGTCCCTGTTTGGATGATAAATTAGATCGCCCTAATTATTAGTATTATCTCCAATTTATAGTTTCATTTCAGGAAATTTTTTAAGCCGCTTGTCCATTTTTGTGGGTTGGTTTGGTTTAAAAAGGATGATGCAATCCACAAATCTGCCTAAGAAGCACTTTAAACACAGTGGGCTGCAGTGAGCTGCAACAGCCTCCATGGCTGTGGGGCTTAAGGTCAACCCTATGTTGCGTGGACATCCTTTCAGCCCTAAGGGCCACCATGAACCAACATACGTTCAGCCCAATGGGCCACCATGCACCACACATAACCCACAACTGTCTGACTTTTAGACTGAATGAAGAATCACTGTCCACACAAATAGGGACTATTAATAAATCCTCACTTCTATCTCAGTTTTTGCCTGAAAAAGAATTAAATATGCATGAGAACATTCCCTTCGATGCGCTGCCTTTTGCACCTGCTGGGACTATTCACCTCACATTGAGTTCTTCAAGGGTCTCCCTACTCCCGTCTCTATCCCCAAGGCTTGGCACTGCATTGGGCAAATAGGAGTTGTTGAGTGAGTCCAAGGAATATTGAATAAGTGAATGATGTATGCAAATGAATGAAATTCAGGTGAAATGCAAAAGTGGAAGTGACGAAGAAGAGAAACTAACATCTATAGTACTTTTCTTGAACCCAACTCTTTTACTAATGTTTTCATTTACTCCTTCCTATAATCCCATTAGGTATGCTTTTTTTAGTTCCATTTTTACAAATGAGATTGAAATTCAGGAGAGTTACATAACTTACCCAAAGTAAGTGACGAGGCCTGGTCTGCGTGACTTCAAACCCATATTCTTTCTCGGGCTTGGCAGCACAGAGGTAATATTTGAAGGCATGAAAATCAGTGAGTTCTTCAGTGCAAAGAACGTACAGTCAAAGAAGAAGAGGGCTAATGGTTGGGTTTGGGGAAATGCCTACAGAAGGGATTACCAACTCCCGGGCCACGGACTGGTACTAGTCTGTGGCCTGTTAAGATCTGGGCCGCACAGCACATGGTGAGTGGTGGGTAAGTGAGCATTACAACCAGACCTCCACCTCCTATCAGAACAATGGTGGCATTAGCTTCTCAAAGGAACAAGAGCCCTATTGTTAACTGTGCATGTGAGGGATCTAGGTTGTGTGCTCCTTATGAGAATCTAATGTCTGATGCTCTGTCACTGACTCCCATCACTCTCAGATGGGACCATCTAGTTGCAGGAAAACAAGCTCAGGGCTCCCATGGATTCTACATTATGGTGAATGGTATAATTATTTCATTATACATTATGATGTAATAATAATAGAAATAAAATGCACAATAAATGTAATGCACTTGAATCATCCTGAAACCATCCCCCAAAACGTCTGTGGAAAAATTGTCATCCATGAAACCAGTCCCTGGTGCCAAAAACTTGGGGACTGCTGGCCTACAGGGACCAGGAAGGACCAGGAAGAGGAGTAAATACAGAGGGGTGAGGGAAACCAGGAAGAGTTGGATGAGGACATCTGCTTATGGAGGAGGGAATTGCACCAGGAAAGGAAGGCTGACATGTTCAAGGCCTGCAGTGAACTGAAGAAATGGGGGCCATGAGAGAGAGTGACTGGCGACCCTCAGAGTGGCTTGTAATCAAACAAGGCAGGGAAAGGCTGCAGTGCAGGGTAAGAGAAAGACAGGCTGATGAGGAAACACACAGAGGAGAAGCACACACTTCTTTGGGATGCTTCTCACTGAAAGGCAGTTCAGGTCCAAGAGGGTCAGGCAAAGCTTTCTCAAGTCACAGGAAATGTGTGCATTTGTGAAGGAGATAGCAGAGACAGTTGGCATTCACTTCTACATACTCACTCCCATTTACCAGCCTTCTTTGCAAACAGATGAGGGCCATGTAGTTATTTCTGGCCAGAGGATTGCGAGCAGGAGTGATGTGCAGAGCTTTTGGTGGAGCTAGGAAAAGCTGATGTGCCTTCTCCATCACCTTCTTTCCTTGACTTGGTGCCTCTAGAGACCACGTGTTCCAGATACATAGTTCCAAAGCAAAGGAGGGCCATCTAGCCTTTTTCAGACTGTGAAAGTGAGACATTGGTCTTTGTTGTGTTAAGCTTCTGAAATAGTAGAGTGTTGTCTGATAAAATAGCTAATTTCCATTATTCTGACTAAGTGAAACCAACCCAGTTGTCCTATAGAACTGATGTTTATGGTTTCTTTTGAATAAACATAGAGATTGACCCTCCTTGTCTTGAAATTTGAGAAAGTTACATTTGTCTTATCTGAGTTCCTTTCTTAGGAAACCAATCATCAGGCCTCCCTGATAGTATCAAGGAACTAAAACTTCCCAGATCATGGCACCTGGACAATGATCAGACCCCTCACCTGTCATGATTGCCTAACCCATCACCTGCATCCTATTGACCTACTCTTCTTCCTCACCCCTCCCTAATTCCTGTTTCCCCTCATGTAGTTACATTTGTTCCCTGCTATATAAACCTCTAATTTTAGTTGGTCAGGAAGATCGACTTGAGACTTATCTCCCATCTCCTTGGCTGCAGCACCCAACTAAAGCCTTCTTCTTTGGCAATATTCATTGTCTCAGTGATTGGCTTTCTGTGGTGTGAGCAGCAGGACCTAGACCAATCCCCTGATGTTTTGGTAACATAAGGAAATAAAGAGATGATAGAGAGAGAGGGAGAAGTCTGTCAGGATTCAGGAAAGAGTGGGATTTAGAAGGGAGAACAATTCTTGACCTGAAAGCAGAGGAAAGGCTGAGAGGACGAAAGTCGAGGTTGAGGGCTCCTGTAGGATGAGCTGATCTTCTCACTGGTGGAAGGTGAGGGGCTGATCACTGAGCTCACTAGCTGGGGAGTGGTCATAGGAGCTGGGGCTGGAGAAGAGAATCCATGATCTGAAGCAACTGCTGTCAGGCCTGTGCTAACTAAAGAATCAATAAGGGATTATCAAAGCCCAGCTGAAGTTGTATTTCTCCTCAAGAAAGATATAAAGAGCTGGAAAACATCCAGAGGAGAATGAAAATGATCAAGTAAATGTGATTTTTGTACAAAGAGAAGCTGAAATGATTGGAACTCTTCAGCCTGAAAGCACAAAGGCTGAGCAAGATGTGATCAAAGGGTTTATATTATGAAAGGGACAGAAGGAGAGGAAGACACAGTCTGGCTCACTGAAACTTGCAAAATTCTACAAAGGAACACACCCTGAAACCTGAAATAAGTCGTTTTAAGATAAAGAACCAAAATACTACTTTCTATAGCACTTTAGTTATTGGCATAAGGTATGGTGTAAGATAAATATAGCAGGAAATTGAATTCTGAGACTGGATTTTCAAAAATGTATACAAACATTACATAGAAATAAGCAAGACTTGTGCATGGTTGAAAGCAGAGTGGAAAAAGAATATGGTTTTGAGATAGAGAGACCTGGTTTTGAGCTCCCCTTACCAGTGTGTTCCATCATTCATCCAACAAATACATAGTGCTGTTAAACACCTGCTATGCATTTGCACTGAGCGACACAGCAGGGTTCTGGTAGTGTTTCTTGATTTGGTGCTCCCGGAGGCCACATGTTCCAGATAGCGTAGCGTCAAGATGGAAGAGGGCCTGTCAAGACATGCATGGTTCCTGTCTTCATAGGGTTTAGTGGAGAAGGTAGATATAAATAAATGATTGCAGAAATAATTATTTAAATTAAAATTTTGATAAGTGCCTCCAGGGGCAAGCACAGGGTGCTGTGAAAGCGTCCAGAGGGACTAAACTAATCCGGGTGCATGAAGGAAGATTTTTTGAGGGGAGTGATATTTAAGCTGAAATTTATAACAAAACCAATAAGAATTGGCAAGTACCAGGTGTGCCGGTTCATGCCTGTAATCCCAGCACTTTGGGAGGCCAAGGTGGGCAGATCACCTTAGGTCAGGAGTTTGAGACCAGCCTGGTCAACATGGTGAAACCCCATCTCTACTAAAAACATAAAAATTAGCTGGGCATGGTGGCAGGTGCCTGTAATCCCAGCTACTCAGGAGGCTGAGGCAGGGAGAATCGCTTGAACCCAGGAGGCAGAGGTTGCAGTGAGTGGAGATTGTACCACTGCACTCCAGCCTGGGCAACAGAGCAAGACTGTGTCTCAAAACAAAAAAACAAAAAACAAGAAACAAACAAACAAAAAGAATTGGCAAGCTTCCAGGAAGGTGAAGAGAGTTCTGGGCAGAAGAAAAGGCAAGAGTGAAGGCCTAAGGCTGACAAATTCCTTACCCTCTCTGAGCCTCAGTTTCCCCATCTGTAGTAAATGTTGCTGGTGGCCCACACAAGCCACAAGACACATCCCACAGTTGCTTGGAGGGCTGGCTACCAACAGCCCACAGCTGCCCCTTTGGAGAATTCGTCCTCTGCCTGGAGAACTGCATCACCTGAAATGCCTGGGAAGTGATGGTACCCCCATTCTATCTTCACTGTGGGCAGGTAGAAAGGGGTGGCTGCAGCCCAACCCAAGGATTGACTGGTACAGGGAAACAAAAGGCCAGCCCTTCCCTCATGCTGTGGTGTCACTCATGCTCCAGACATATATGGGATCAGCCTAAGCCTGGACTTCAGTGGACATGACACCTTTGCTTGATTTCCTCTCCTGTCTTCTCTGGAGACCTCTCCTGAGAGTGCTGTCTCCATGTGCACTTACACAAGAGTCTCCATCTCAGGCTTTGCTTCTGGGAATGCCACCCAGGATGGTCACCTTAAATGAAATCATGGATTTAAAGGACCTGAGAGGGCCAGGCACGGTGGCTCACGCCTGTAATCCCAGTGCTTTGGGAGGCTGAGTCAGGCAGACCGCTTGAGCTCAGGAGTTCAAGACAAGCCTGGACAACATGGCGAAACCCTGTCTCTACAAAAAATATGAAAATTATCTGGGCATGGTGGCATGTGCCTATAGTCCTAGCTACTCGGGAGGCTGAGGTGTGAGGATCACTTGAACCTGGGCAATCCAGGCAGTAGTGAGCTCAAATCATGTCCCCTCCACTACAGCCTCGGCACCAGAGAAAGACCCTGTCTACAAACAAACAAACAAGGGGGGCCTGAGACACATACTGATGGTCATGCAGTGGAAGAACACTGGACTGAGAGTCCATGGCACTGGCAGAATGAGCCCTGGGAGCATCTCTTAATACTTCCTTCCAGATATCTGGATACTTTGCTTTGTGCAAGGAAGTTAACTGTACTGTTAACAAAATACATTCATATCCATCATCTAATTTGTCTTTCAAAACAATCCCTTGGAGTAGGAGGCAGCAAGTATCATCGCACGCCTCATGGTCCAAATGAGGAAAGCTAGGGTCAGAGAGATGAGTGACTTGCTGGAACTTACTCATCTGTGTTGCTGGGACTCAGAGCTGTGACCTTGGTCACCAAGCTCTTTTACCTCCACACACCTCGCCCATCCTGTTGATTGGTGCCCCTGTACGGATTGAGCACAGATGGAGATCGAGGACTTGGCTGACTTGATGTGGCATTTTCATGCTCTCGTGAATTTGCTTTCATCTTTGCTAATTCGACCTTGAGGGAAAACATGTTAATTATGTGAATACATATAACACTTTCAAAATGTGTATCTGTGTTTTCTTTTTTCCAAACTAAATGACATATGCTGGCTTCCTTTACCTCTGAGATTCAACTAGTGCATAACAATCTAAAGGGGAAAGTAAATGAAATGGTTTGGGTACTGTTTCCGTTAGAGAATTAAGGAGGTCTTGAAGAGCCCCAGCCTCTCAGGCAAATTTGCTGAAAGATGCCGAATGATTCCAGGGAAGGAGTCCCACTCATTCTCTCCCGCCTGTGAGCTTTGAATAAGAGGGCAGAGTGACTTTGTACGTAACCTATCTGGTCCTGAAATTCTATAGGCAGAAAAAAGAATGCGTTGGCATTTGTGTGATAGCCTCTGGATTTTTCTTTCCCTGCCTCCAAGTGCACAGAAACAGGACTTTCATTTCTTGAGAGTTAATTTGCTTCAGCAGCTTATTCTCCATCTAAAGTCACAATCCTCTTTGGGGAAGCAATTGGTTATTGTGTAAAGGATTTTGAAGTTACATACTAAGGATTATGTCTCTATTTGGTGAGTAAGAAGCAGTGTCAGGAGAACTCTTAAGCACCAAATACCCAGTTTTGATGAAAATGTTCCTAGTGGAGATAAATAAGGGAAGGAGCAGTAAAATCTATGAAGTTGTTATAAGAGGGAGAATTGCTAATGAGAACTTCATCCAAATGTGGCACATCATTTTATCTATTGAGCACTGCAATGTGTTTCTGCCAGGTGTACTGGGACACTCTGGTTATAAATTGAACTTTACTGGTTTTATGAAACTCTTTTTTTCTCATTATTTTTATCACATCACTCTTGCCATAAACATAATCCCTGCCCTGCCTACCTCTGAGAACTTCAGCGAAGAACAAACGAGAAAATGTGCAAAATCACTGCATTTCTGCAGAGAAGTCTTCTCGTCACGTGTAGCTCATCACAAAACAGAAAGTCCACAGTATGGTTGTTTCACATTCCTGAGTAGTAGCATTTTAACATGGTTCTACATGAGCACTGTTTTATTTAAACATGTACACGAACCTGACCGAAATAATGCTCATGATATTAACTTAAGAAATCTAACCCAAAATGCATGATGCGGGAAAATTGCAAATTTCATAACGCTGATCATTCAGTGTCTTTCACTACTGTTTAATTTTTTATGTAAGCCACCTATTTGCAACCAGAGTTTGTTGGCCTACAATTCAGAATGTTAACTTTAGCATCACATGGTTCCAGGGAAGCCGGGCCTCTTTGCTCATGGGAGGTACGTGTGTTCTCCCATTTAGCTCTCTGAGTTAATTCATTAAACAAAAAAATGTGTCCTTATCCTGCAGGTCCCCTTTTTCCAATGGGTTACCACGGCTTCCAGCCAAAAGTTATTTTGATTAGCCTCCTTGCTTTAGTTTGGAAATAAATTCTAAGGAAAAGAACTCCAATATACATCCTGAAACCATGTGACTCCACCAGATCAGAAAATGCTACACAACTAATTGTGGGATGGACTCTGAAGCCCAGAAGTACATGCCACTCCTATTTCTGCCCATTTGCTGTAGAATATAATCATATTTTCATGAGGTGAACAGGCACACTATTGTGCTCTTAGTCAAAAGGTTCATATTTCCTCTGCATTAAAGTGAACTTTCCACCATTTTGAGCTCTCATTAGTTCTTATGAATCATTTTTCAAAGTCAGCCGTGAGTGCCCATTTATCCAAAAGCCCATGTGTGATGCTCAAATGGCTGTATATTTCCTGCACAGTGACAAGTGATGCTCTTAATGATGACTCCAAGGTACCACGAGATCCTGAAATGTCTGTACAATCGTCAGGGATAAAATAACACTCACTGCAAGCTTAGGATTAAGTGTATGTGATTTTCTTATAATTCATTGCAAAACTGATAACTCTTGTTGATATATAGGTAAGTCTGTGGTAGATAAAATATTAGCCAACAATCCTATTATCCCAGTGTCAAATAAGAAAAAACACCCAACTAATATCTTTCAAAAATAGAAGCTAGGAGAGTGACTTTTAAAACAAATCTCCGGAGAACTCAGAACTTTGATTTTTAATAGATATGTTCATGATGACTTTGCAGCCCTACGTACATTCTTTTTTTTTTTTTTTAATGTAGTCTTGCTCTTGCTGCGCAGGCTGGAATGCAACCTCCACCTCCCTGGGTTCAAGTGGTTCTCCTGCCTCGACCCCCCAAGTAGCTGGGATTACAGGCTCCCACCACCATGCCCAGTTAATTTTTGTATTTTTAGTAGAGACAGGGTTTCACCATGTTGGCCAGGCTGGTCTCAAACTCCTGACCTCAGGTGATCCACCCACCTTGGCCACCCAAAGTGCTGGGATTATAGGCATGAGCCACTGCACCCGGCCCCTATGTACATCCTTAACGCAACACAGACATGTACAAATGCATGGCCTTTTCTGAACACACACATAATTGTGGATGGAGGGAAGTGAATTTGCTGCCTGCCTGTAGGGAGAGTCAAGATGTGGCTTAGATCATAGCTCTGATCAGAAAACCCCAAGGAGGTCTACAGCCATACCACCAGTCTTAGTTTGTATTTTGTTGCTATAAAGGAATACCTGAGGCTGGGTAATTTATAAAGAAAAAAGGTTTATTTGGCTCACAGTTCTGCAGGACGTACAAGAAGCATGGTGCTGGCATCTGCCTCTGATGAGGGTCTTAGGAAGCTTCCATTCATGGTGGAAGACAAAGGGGAGCAGGAATGTGCAGATCACATGGTGAAAGAAGAAGGAAGAGAGACAGGAGGGAGCTGCCAATCTCTTTTTTACTATCAGTTCTTGAGGAAACTAACAGAGCGAGAACTCACTTATTACCATGAGGATGTCACGAAGCCATTCATGAAGGATCTGCTCCCATGATTCAGACACATTTCTTTAGGTCCTATCTCTAACACTGGGGATCAAATTTCAACATGAGATTTGGAGGGGACAAATATCCAAACTACATCACCACCCTGATCACACTCCATCTAGTCTGATCTTGGAAGCTAAGCAGAGTCAGGCCTTATTAGTACTTGGATTCGACAAAACCCCATGAGGCCCGGTTTTAGAAGGCTTTATACCCAACCCAGGAGAGTAACCACATCTTCCTCCTTACAGAAATATTCAGTGCTTCTCCATTGAGGAGTCTGTGGCCTGTCCTTGTGGGGTTGTCACCATACTGGTCTGTGGAAAGGTCTTCATGCCAGCTGGGACCCTTGGGTCTAAGATGACTTATCAGTCAGACCTATCCCCTTGGGGCAATTGGCAGTAGAGCAAGTGCCAGCATTGTCCTATGCAACACGATATATTCATTGATTTTCAGTTAACAAAGAATACTGGCTAATTGCATGGACTTTGGTGTTAGCTAGACCAGCTTTAAACCCCTTTTTTGCCAGTTACCAGCTATTTACTTACCATTGTCAAATTGCGTAACTGCTCCGAGCCTCCATTTTCTCATTTGTATATCAAAGATAATAATGCTACCAATAATATCTGCTTGCAGAGTTGCTGTGGATTAAATGAGATAATGTGTGCCACATCTTTGGCACAGTGCCTGGCACACGGTAAGCCCTCAATCAATAGTGACTTTTGACAATGAGATATCATCTCACCCCAATTAAAATGGCTTCTATAAAAAAAACAAGGAATAACAAATGCTGGTGAGGATGTGGCGGGAAAAGGGAACCCTTGTACGCTGTTGGTGGGTATGTAAATTAGTGCAACCACCATGGAGAACAGTTTGGAAGTTCCTCGAAAAACTAAACATTGAGCTACCATATGATCCAGCAATCCCACTGTTGGGTATATACCCAAAAGAAAGGAAATCAGTATATTGAAGATATATCTGCACTCCCATGTATGTTGCAGCACTATTTACAATAACTAAGATTTGGAAGGAACCTAAGTGTCCATCAACAGATGAATGGATAAAGAAAATGTGGTACATATACCACAATGGAGGTGGTGTACCACGTATACCACAATGGAGAACTATTCAGCCTTAAAAAAAATGAGATCCAGTCATTTGCAACAACATGGATGGAACTGGAGATCATTATATTCAGTGAAATAAGCCAGGCACAGAAAGAAAAACATCATGTGTTCTCACTTATTTGAGGGATCTGAAAATCAAAACAATTGAACTCATGGACATAGAGAGTAGAAAGATGATTATTAGATGCTGGGAAGCGTAGTAGGGGATTGGAGGGGAGAAGGGGGTGCTTAATGGGTACAAAAAATAGAAAGAATAAGACCTACTATTTGATAGCAAAACAGGGTGGCTATAGTCAATAATAATTTAATTGTACATTTAAAAATAACTAAGAGAGTAATTAGATTGTTGGTAACTCAAAGGATAAGTGCTTGGAGGGATGGATATCCCTTTTCCCATGATGTGCTTATTTCACATTGCATGCCTGTATCAAAACATACCATGTACCATGTACCACATACATATATACACCTACTAAGGACCCACACAAATTTTTTAAAAAATAAAATAAAAACACCAAAGCGGGTAAAAAAGAGAGAGTGACTATTGTTTTTATCTGGCAACTTTCCACAATCAAATATACATATATACATGTGCAGGCTTCCTTTATTCTTGCTGATTTAATAACCTAAAATCATTTTCTCACTCATTATTATAATAATAATCACTATTACAATTACTGCTTATTCATGACACCTCAAATTATGGTAATTATTGTTTTTATCCTGCTCTCACAAATGTCATTAATAACTACCAACCATTAGTTGTCATTAATAATTTCCAACTTAATGACATCTCACCTCACGTGCAGGATAAATGAGGTTTGTTTTCTTAGTGCCAAGGGCTGGCCATAAGTGAAGGATGTGTCTCTATTAAGCAAAAATCCACTGCAATGTTCAAAGTGAGTTTGTTTTCTGCTCTGAACTAAACACAATAACGGACTGAATTTAATGTCCAGCCTAAAACATTTGAAAAGATCCTCTTCTGAAAGCAAACATTCAAGGCTATGAGAAGTGTGTGAAATCATGTATACTGGGCAGGAGTATGCCGCCCACAGTTCTGTGGGCAATATTCTGGAAGAAATAACTGGGTTGGTGTGTTTGTTTTAAAGCTATATGAAATATCAACTCACTTTAATAAACTCTCCATAATAAATGCATGAGTCTATGGGTATATAAGCTAAATCTCATTAACTTCCATATTTTTCCAAATTATTTTATTTACTAGGATTTTGCTAAAATTAAATACAGTACGTGGGATAGAAACCAGAGCGTGGGGCTTCAGCTTCTGAGAGAATAAACTACAGTGAAACGTGGCTTCACTTGAGCCGTGAAATGACATGTTGTTAGAGCGACAAATGAGAGATGAAGAATGACCAGCATTCCGTGTGGGTTCTAGACTTTTGATTTCCTTCCCCACCACGTCCCATGCAACTTTCTTTAGCTGCCGGGGTGAAGAGACAGTGGCAATCAGCATGTCCTGGAGAGGACACAGGATGGGGAGGGACAGGCAGTGGGGCTCAGGTGCCCTTCCTTCACCCCCTCTTTGAGGGGGTACCCTAAGTTGGCATGGCCATTCTCACATGTGCAAAAGCAGCTGGATCCATCCCTGAAATGATTTTCCGCTCATGCAATTTCTATACTCTTGCTTTGTTCCCTGAAGGGTAATAATGCGGACTTCTCAAGGTCAGGGACTAAGTTGTACTCAGGTTGGTAACTCCAGCGCGTCACACAGGGCCTGGTGAACAGATGGTGCCCTCTAAAGATTCCTGAATAAAAAGGCAACTGTGCAGAGTACATCCAAAAGTGGGTGGGTGTAGCATGGAAACGTGTGGGGCAGAAGAGAAAAAACAGCCTGGGGCTCTTTCTGGTCCTATAAAACAGACTCAGGTCACCGTGGGTCATGGCTACCTTTTCCCACTTTGATTTCTGTGTGGTAGAGAGAGGTTTTCGGTCAAACCATTTGAAAATCCATCCTTGTCAATCAAAATGTTCAAACATCTACAATTTAAGTTTCAATCAAATGGTAGGCAGAGGGGTTAAAAACACTTATTTCAGATGCAGAAATCTGAGTTTGAATTCTGACCTCTCTGCTTAGAACCCATGTGACATTGAACATGTTACTCCACATTTCTCAGCTTCCATTCCTTTGTGGACCTGCGTAGTTGTCAAGTTGTAACAATAACACATTGCCTGTTTAGCTGCTACTATACCTTCTCCAAGGTTTTAGCACTCAGACCTGGTTCTATTCCTTTTTTTTCTTTTTTCTTTTCTTGTTTTTTTTTTTTTTTTTTTTTTTTTTTGACTGAGTCTTGCTCTGTCACCCAGACTGGAGTGCAATGGCGCTTTCTCGGTTCACTGCAGCCTCCACCTCCCAGGTTCCAGCAATTCTCCTGCCTCAGCCTCCCAGGTAGCTGGGATTACAGGCACGTGCCACCATACCTGGCTAATTTTTGTATTTTTAGTAGAGACGGGGTTTCACCATGTTGGTCAGGCTGGTCCTGAACTCCTGACCTCAGGTGATCCATCCGCCTCAGCCTCCCAAAGTGCTGGGATTACAGGCGTGAGCCACTGGGCCCAGCTGGTTCTATTCCGTTTTATTTGTCCTCTATAGTCCTAAAGGTAGATCATGGCCATATTTTGTTAGTTACTACCCCACTCTGCAGTGTACTTTCTGCATGATGTTAGTCATTATACTGTTTGTCATTTTAAAATAAGATTGAACTAGAAGCTTAAAAACAGTCATTCTGTTGGTTTTTCTATTAAAATCAGAAATTTTAATACAGGCGGAAAGTATTTTTTGGTATTTAATTATTCAAACTAATGGGATTTTTAAAAACCATTATGATTGACAAAGGGCTGAGGCTTACAATATTTTCTTTTACAGATATATGCTGCTTTAATGAAACCCAATATGCAAAAATCTAAACTTAGGTAAATTGGAAGCTTTATCTAGGCTTATATTGTTTACATTACAAAAGGGCTATTCTGCTTCACTAAAGCATTTATTTCAGTGTTCCTTAAAAAGTGAGATCTCTGTGGTGCATTTAGAATACAACTTGAATGATTACCAGGTTATTTATACACAGGTGTTTTGTGTAAAGCAAGGTTCACCTGGGGAGAGGGTTGGGCTGCACTAGGAATGACTCTGTATTGTGTAATCAGCCAATGAAGAGGAATTGAGAAAAGATTTTGAGTGACATCCTCGTAGAAGGTAAGAAAGGTTCAACATGCGACTTTCAGGGCCCTATCTCATCTTGATGTGAAGGCATCTGTCAAATGTACCATTATATCTCTTTAGCTTAAACGGAGCAGTGTTTAGCGATTAAAGTAATGGAACATGATTCAGGAGTCGTGTTTTCTGTTTCTGTCTCCTGTAGCTTCCAAGTAGGTAGTCTTGACGTGTTCACTTTAATGCCAGTTCACTTTAAAGCAATTATTTCCATCCTAGGTGAGGCAGTAAAATCTTGTTAATGTTTTTAATAGCCTGTGAACTCTTCAGATGAAATATCTGGCCTTTGTGCCCTCCTCAGCTTGTGAACCAATTGCCAGCAAGCCCTCTATTCACCATGTGTCCTCACCTTTAAAAAGAAAAGAAATGGTTACACACATCAAATCATGAGTAGTGGAATTAAGAAACAAAAAGAACTGTCACCCAAACTGTACATAAAAACTTTCCCAAACAGCTTTAGTAAATAAAACTTTAAAATCTGTTAAGTGGACAGCAACCTGTCACTAAAGCTGTTGTACAGGCTATTTTATTCAGAAGAATTTGTTAAACATATATCAGCAAGTCAGGGCCAGTTTGTGTAGCTAGCGAAAAGACAGAAATATCCTCATTATATAGAAATGGGCAAAATACTGACTATATCTCACAATCTAAATTATGAGCGTTTGAAAGTAGAGTTTTGATGATTTCAGACCTATGGTCTTTGAAAGTAAACACTAGTTCTAGAATTGCAGTAGAATCAGATTTTTTGATATAATCATTTAAATATATAATTGCTTTACTTATCTATGAAGGGAAAGCAAACTATCTTTAAAAGAAAACAAAAGGGATGTGATAGATGTGTATTCAAAGGAAAAGGAAGAAACCCACATAATGAATTAAAGCTAAGGCTTAAGTAGATAAGCTATCTCCCTTCCTTTTGCTTCTAAGAGTGGAATGTATTCATTTATTCCTACTTTTTAAATGTAATATGAAACCAACCTCCTCAGAACACAGAACAGTTCCTGAAACAGAATAGCCACTCAATAAACGAGTGAGTTGGCATTTTTGGAAGTGCTGTATCTCCATATGCTCAATGTGGGTATGGTGCCATACAAAGGCAGGATGGGAAGTGCAGACCAGGCCCTATCCCAGTCACACTAGCAGCTAGCACAGGTGGTTGGTTAGCAGAGACCCAGGACCCATCATTGCACCCCAGCTAGGGGCAGCCACCCATGGGCAGCAGAATTCCTGGGCAGGGTATTGATGAAAGCAGGATTTTTGAGTCCCAGAGAGAATGGACAGAGAGACATGGGAGTAAGGAGAGGAAACCTGGTTGCAGCCAGGCTAGAAACCAGTGAGTCTTGATGCGGAGTCCCTGATATCTGAGGTCAGGACCTGTCCTGGGAACTCACATCAAGTTGAACTTGAATATGGAAGACCACTGTTCCCAGCTCTGGGGCAAGGGACTACGTTAAGGTTGGGAATTTAGCAATGACATGGAGTTAGCATGTCTATGGTTTCCTAGGTGGTGAAAGAAATAAGAAAGTTTTTAAAATCTACGATCTGATTATGTCTCACTGAGTGCTACTAATTTACATATCAAAACAGAATAATTATGAACAAGGGTTATTTAAATTAAGGCTTTCTCTAAGCATTCCATTAATGCTGGTCCCAGAAATAATCTAGAATAAATATTTTGTTTTTTCCTTTAATGAAGAAGGCTTTCCCTACTCTCTATCAGGAAGGCATGAAATAGACAGTACCCTTAAGCTAGGTAATTTGAGGAGGGTTTAATAGAGGGACTATTTACAAAAATGTAAATTGGATTTAGGAAACCAAAAGGTATAGTGCAGTTCCCCTTACTCGCAATAGCAGGCAGCCATTCCAGCTTCAGACATGAAGGGTGGTGTTTGGAGAGGGTTTCCTGCTTAAGTCTTTGTCGAGAGATAAAGGATGGGAGGCAGTGGGGAAATAAACACCCCAATCATAGTATCGCCTCACCCATTCATCTCCCGCCACCCCTCTCACTGGCTGAACCCAACCCAAAGCCAGAGGGCACACAGACCAGCCTCCCAGGCAGAGCTGGATGGAGAAGGGCAGAGAGCGGACCTGGCGGGCAAAGGGAAGCCAACACAACTCTCTGGGAAATTAATCCATATTAAGAAACTGATACTGTTTAGCTGCATACCAGATACCAGGAAGAAAACTTTAAAAAAAGAAAATATATATACTGCAAAGACATTGCAGAATGGATAAAAATATTAATTTGGAGAAATAGATGAAATCAGCTCTATTTGACTTTTCAGCACATTTAATATTGGTAGTACATTTCATAAAAGCACCCAAAAGGTAGGTGTCTTTGGTTAGACTGCAAACTTCCTGAGGGCAGGACCTGGACTTTATTCCTCATCCTTCACAACCAATACTGTGCCTGGCACATATCATGTGTTCGGTAACCACTTGTGGAGTGATTACATACATGAATAAATTAATGAATGAAGTATATTCTGGTTTATTTTTCTTGTCAAAGGAAGCCTTATCCAAAAAGAAAAACAATCACAGAAAACCTCATTGACCATCTACCCCCATGTTTGAAAATTCTTCCTAAACTATAACATTGGTTGTTCCTGCCATTCTAAGAGGATTACACTAAGCATGAAGGAGTATTTTTTGGTTGACTTAGAATCCAGCAATACTTGGGGCTGTCATTCTAAATTGTAGATGTGGGCAACAGGGCTGATTTTCAAGATACTCATGGCTTTTAAACACAAATAAATAAACATGTGGGAATTGCCATACCAGATCAGACTGATGGTTTATTCTGTTAAGAATTCTCTGCTAGGGGCACATGTTCCACACTTTTCCTTAAGTGTAAACTCTGATTAATTTAGGATTGGAATTAGTTAGATTCCAATGGGTAGAGATTTTATTTATCCACCAAAAAATTTTTTTTTTCTGACGCTATCATATTTGAGTTCTCTTCTGGTGTTTTTCCAATGTCACTAAACAATTTAACTTAAATTGTCTCTGGACTGTATTTTTTAATTAATATTTTTCCTATTTGAAAGAGAGTCAAACAATTAGGTCATGTTATCTTATTCCTTCTTCCCAATAGTAGATGAAATAATTGCAATTCTCTTTTAAACTTTCTGTCTCTATGATTCAAGTTCCCTAGTAATGTCGCCAGTTTGATGGCTCTTTGACAAACTCCTCCAAACCTCTCATAATCTTGAAAAAAAAATGAGGGCCATTGACCTGGCCACCTTTGGTGTTCTGAGGACAGTCTGGGCCAGGGTTCTGTCACAGGTGTGGATTGATCAGAGAACATTGACTTTCACACCTAAAAAGAAGCTTATAACTCAGCTTATGTGGGTTTCCCTGGTTAACTTTGTTTAATGCTAGGGTAATTTTCTGACAGTGGCCTCTGGTAATTTTCTGTGGTCTACACCTCTTGTCCTTTCAGAAATCTGGCTTTTAACACTGATTCTATTCTGTTTCCAAAGTAACAAATCATTGCAGGCACATGGAAATCTCCCAGCTTTCACAACTCTTTAAGTCTCCCCTTCCACTGTTTCTAAAAGAAAATTTCTCCTCCTATTCCCTATACTAGACTTTGAAGTCACTTCTATTTTTTGGTTGCTGTAGAAAGACTGATCCCCCTGCTGCGGGAAAGAGCCTTTGTAGACACACAGATTCATCAAATCTCCCCTAAAACCTCTGGTAGAACTAATGATGTGGCCTTTTTAGTCTGTGTCTTTTATCCTTCTCTTCCCTTCTTCCCAATCCCATTTCTACTTCCCATCATACCCAAGCCATTTTTGTGGCTAACCTTTGAACCCTCTACAAACCACCATTTGTGGCTTCATTTTGAACTCTCTACAAGTTCTTTAATTCCCTCCCTAGTTTAGTTCTGACTTCTTGAAGAAGTGACAAACTATACTTTAATAAGAGGAGAAAATAAAATCTAAATTATACTATATATATGAAGATATGCATAAACAAAAAAGTTAAAAATCAAAAAATAGATCAGCAAAAAATTAATAAGATAAAAATTTCATCTAATCCTATTATTCAGAGACAACCGTTGTTTCCATTTTGATATATACAAATAGTCTTTTCTCAAACAACCATATGTACGTGTTTTTAATAAAATAGGACAATACTATTTATAACTGTCTTTTTATCTCTTCTAAATAATACATTGAAGATATTTTCCATGTCAATCTTTTACATCATTTGAAGTGACTGCATCCAATTCCATTTTGTCAATGTTCATAGTTTATTCAACAACGATCTCATTGTTCTGATTTTCATCTCATTACAGATGCTCTAATGGTCACCTCTATGCCTAATATTTGCACTTGCCAACATAAACAAATAGCTCTAGGTGGAATTACTGTATCAAAGAGCATGCAAAATAGTGGGGACTTCTATACAAATCAACCACGTGGCTGAGATTTGGAATCTGATCTCCTGGAAATATTGAGAGTTTGAGGTAAGGGGAAAGATAAGAAAAGGAGGCTGTTTTGGAAGAATGGGAAGAACATGATTAATGAAGGAGGCCTGAAGGCATTCAGGTAAAGAAATCAGAGATTTGGAAGCTTCACTTATAAACCAAACATCCGGAGGAATGGGGTTCATAGAACACTTCAGAAATCTTAGTCTCCTCCCTGACTCAACTGAAAAACCACCTTTATAGATGGACGACACCTCAGCACTTCCCCATTTATCTCTTGGCATGTTTCCTCAGTGAAACATTTCTCAGATGAAAAACAGATTGCAACATCATGGTCTCAATAGAAAACACAGAGAGAGAGAGCGAGAGATTTTAAAAAGAGAGAGGATTTTAAAAAAAGGAAATTCAAAAGTCAGCATTGTTGATTTCATATAGCATTGCAAATTCCACCCCAACAAATCAAAGCTGCAGTAGGGTGTATACAACCACCATTCTCATGACCTTTGAAATTAGAGATGTGGGATGGCTGTTCTGGCATGTTTGTCTCCTTTGTGACTAGTCCAGTAAGGGTGTTGTCCCAGTTGTCTTAACATCTGATTGAAATAGAACCTTGGAATAAATATAGCAGACTGAGATTCTCCTTTCAGAACAGTTCACAAATACAACTGGGCTGAGGGAGGGACTTTGAGACTGTATCCAATGATGCCATTTTAACCACGGGTTGAGGAAATTAATAATAAAAACTAACATCCTTTGTCTTAGGTGGCCATAGAACATGTCCTCAATTCTGGACCCACATATCGCTTCAAGTCTGAATGACCCTGGAACCCAGAGCAAACATAAGGCACACCCACAAAAGAAGGAAGAGAAGGCAGAAGGAGACTAAGAATAGGAGAAAAGTAAAGAAAAGAGAAGGAGAGAAAAGAAAGAAGTGCAAATGGAAAGAAAGTAGAGAAACTGCTTCACTGCCATCAGTGGCATGAGAATAATGATTTGTTTATCCTGCTCTAAAGAATTCCTGTGCCAGAGGCCTTGAGATATTATAGTCTCTTCTCATCCATAAGAAAAAAAACATTTTCATACAGTTTGCAGTTTGCATAGCACTGGCCCTTAATACACACACACACACACACACATACACACACACACACACAGAGTACTTAAATGGTCTCCCAGAAACAAACAGAGTGAATGTCAAGTCCTTGATGAACTGGTCTGTGATAAGCCAAACATGGAAACGCAGAGGGAATGTACTTCTAGGAAGTCCAATCATTGGTACATTGTGTTGCCTTCAAGGGCGTGGTTCCAACACAACCTGAGTGCAGGATGTTTGATACCCATTCTTTTTGAGTGGGTTCTTTAGCAACAACTTCTCCTAAATGGTAAGCCCTACTTCTCAACACTGTCATCCAGGGTGGAGAGATGCTACAGCTGACAGCAGTGACTGGCAGGAGCCTGGAAAAGTACAATAATATTCTAAGTTGTCTTTAGTCTTATTTTTATTTAGGCTAATTTGCATGAGTGGTTTATGCCAAATGAGGATATTTTTCCTTCTCCTTGGAATAGCTTTATGTGAAAATATCACTCTTTTCAAAGTGCCCAAATATTACTGTGCTGAATAATGAGGCAGATGGAAAATAGGAAGGGTGGAGCAAGTTCAAAATGCTTTATGGTTGGCAGAATAGATGAGCTTTTCAGATTTCCAGCCTCCCTCTACTTTATTCATCTGACAGCACTGTCTGCTCCACCCTGCAAGGATGCAAGGACCAGAGAGGTTCCTGGCTCTCAGCTTCCAGAGGAGCCACATCAACCTCTACAGCCTCCTACACACAACCTATTCAAAGGACATGTGGCAGCTGTCTGTCCCCGGGCTTAGTGTGACGCATTCTAAGGAGTGAACACGCCCAGGGAAAGCTTCCAGGCTGTGGGACATTGCTGCTTGCAGAATTCTGCCTGAAGCATCAACCTTTTTCCAAAAAGAGTATCCAAAATTCAGTGCATTATGGATTCTTAGAAAATGGAAGATTACAAGGAGTTTTTAATCCCTTTCTGAGCAGACAGAAGCAGGAAGCAACCACCAGCTAAATATTTGACTAAATCCAGTTCACAGTTTTGTGTTGCTGGTAACACGGGTATGTCTGCTCCATCCCCAGAAGGGCAGCTGCCATATAGACGGGTTTCAGTGTTGTTCCCCGGCTCCAGCGTGCCTGCCTCTTCTCCCTCTACCCAAACCTAAGCCACCCACCGAGGCCCACGTGAAATGTCAGCAGCAATTCCAGGAAACCTCTCCCGTGTAGACGCCTCCTTTCTGTACCAGTCCTCTCCACTAAACAATTTAGAGATTAATAATGTAGCAACAAGAGAGAGATTAAAAAGCCATCTGGTAAGCAGGCCCTGACACAGCTTAAAATACCCACAAAACCAAAAAGAGATGAGAACTCACAGTAAAAGCAAGAACTTGGGAGTCAGACAAGTTTGAGTTCAATTTCTAGACCTGCTACTTACTAGTTATGCAGTTTTGGGGGTGTTTACATAACCATTTCATGCTTCAGTTTTGGAATAATAATAGTACCTACTATTTTTTGAGATCAGTTGATAGTAATTCTAAACAGTCTAATATAAGTAGCATAAAGATTCGCTATTGCAACTACTGCTTTCACGGCTGGGATGGACCACCTATTGCCGATCCCTCAGGGGAGCCCCACTAACTTCATGACTGATGGAACTAGATTGAAAAGGCTCTGGGTGGTCCACTCATGTCTGACTGGCTGATGTAATCAACAAGAGCCTGCACATGGGCAGGAGGGTCCCTGACCCTCAGTCTCTTCCTGGATGTCAAGAGCTCACAGGGCCAGAGTTCATTCATTCATTCCCTCAATGTTTGTGCTATTATGTGCTGGGCACTTATCTAGGAGCTGGATATAGAGCAATGAACAAAGCTGATAAAAATCCCTGCCCTCGTGGACCTTACACTCTAATTGAGAAAATAGGCATAAAAGTAAAATCTATGGCATCCCAAAGGCATAGGCAGTGCAAGGATGGTATCATCTATTTGAGATAGGGTGGCAGGATGACCTTAGTGAGAAGGTGATGTTTGAATAAGGCTATGACACCATCCCACTTCCTCCCAACATCCCTTCTCCTCAAGAGTTCTTCTCTTTCTATATCCATAGAACTTAGCAAGCACAGGAGCCATGAGCTACTTCTGCAGGCACAACACATGATCAGGAGGGGGAGAGATGATCCAGCTCCTGGCCAGCCCCAGTGTAGAGAGAAATGGTCCCATTAGTCCTGATAGAGAGAGACATGTCCTGCTGATATGGCAGGGACAAGGAGGGTCACTGAGGGGCCCCAGGCAGCAGCAGCAGCAGCAGCAACAGCAGGTGGTGATCAAAGAGTTCCATGTAGGCATCTCCAAAGGAGTTCTAGGGTGGGGAGGATAGCCCTGCAAAGTGGTTCTGACCACTTTTTGGGGAGACAGGTAAACATCCCTTGGCAGCTATGGCTCAAGAAAGTGGAGGGTGGTGACTACAAGGACTGAGAATGCTGCGGACTGAGCCCTCTTGCAGGCAGCGCCCCCCTGGAGACCACAGAGCCTGATGCTGCTAGCACCCGGTTGTGCTGGGAGGTGGAGACGCACAGCTGAGACTTAAGTTTGGTTGCCATCATCATTCCTTCCACCTCTTGGCTTTCCCTTCCAAAGTGGTGGCCCAAAAAGCATCCGTCACGGAAAATGTCTCTTGTTGTTTTTATTTATTAGATTTATATTCTATGTAAGACGACTTTAAGCATCTTGAGGGCAGAGACCAATTCTTACACTCCAATGCCCAAAAAAACTCCCTTAGGGCTAAGTAATCATCATAATAGCTGACACTTCTTGAGCATTGCCACATGCCACTGTCCCAAGTGCTTCATGGGGATTAGGGCTTTTAACTCTCACACCTCTCAGTGAGGTGGTAGCTTTATTATCTCCAGGTGAGGAGATGGAGGCACAGAGAGGTGAATACCTTGTCTGAAGCCACTCAGCCAGGAAGTGGCAGTTTGGCTGTAGCAGTAATGCTACTGGCTGAGTCTCACCCCTGCCGCCCCACAAATCTGTTATTGAAGTCCTGAGCCCTGTTACCTCGGCTGTATTGAGAGACAGGGTCTTTAAAGAGGTATAAGTTAAAATGAGGTTGCTCCTGTGGACCCTAAACCAATATAGGTTATGTGGTGTCCTTACAAGAAGAGGGAATTTGGACACAGACAGATACAGAGGGAGACCCCGTGAAGGCACAGGGAGAAGATGCCATCTGCAAGCCAAGGAGAGGCCTCAGGAGAAACCACCCTGCTGACACTTTGATCTTGGACTTTCTGCCTCCAGGACTGGAGAAAATAAAGTTCTGTTGCTGCTTAAGCCAACATGGTGGCTTCACCCAATCTGTGGTATTCCATTACGGCAGCCCTAGAAAATTAATGCAGGTACCTAGTATTTTAGAAAGACCTGGAAGGCATTGCTTTATTTATGAGGTCACTCAATCTGGCCCTGCCGTCTCTCCTGTGTTACTGTGTGGAGGTGGCGTCTCTGGGTCCGAGGCATCTGGCATCCAGCAGCCTGAGATGCCCATGGTTTCCTCAGTGCTACATGTGCCCTACTAGGTAGAAACATTCATCCTCATCACACAGAAACTGTTATTCACTGGCTTACACCTGATACAAATCATGGAACTTGGCTTTTTCATTCATCCGTTCATTAATTCATGGAACCAATAATTATTCCATGCCTGCAATGTCTCAGGCACTTTCCTGAGTACTGGGACTGTAAAGGTGACCAGAAACGTGTTACAGTCTCAGGGAAGTAATCGTACAAATACATGTAAAATGTATTTTAATCAAGTAATCAATCAAGTAATATAAAATAATCAATGTGGTAAGAATTTAAAAAGACAGACGCCATGTGATGGAAGCAGAAAGTAGGGGGAGTTGGCCAAGTAAGTGGGGGTCAGCAAAGGCGTGAGCCTCTGGAGATGGGGAAGATGGGCTGTAGTTAATTACACAGAGAAGACACAGGGAGTATCCAGCAGGGGAGACAGCAGGGCCGAGACCCAAAGGAAACAACCCAACACACACCAGCCCTGCCTCTCAGATGCTTGCAGAATGGAGGGAAAAGGGAAGGAAAGGAGGAAGGAAGCAAGATGAGGAGAAGAAAAGATAGAGTAGAAGAAGGAAAGTCAAAGGGAAGAAGGAAACCAACATTAATTGAAACGTACTACATTCCCGGCCATGTGCTAGGCATCTTCACATGGTTCAGTTCATATTTTCAGCCATAATAAGAAACAGCTCAACAGGACCGAGAGGAGAATGAGTGCCTCCTTATATTTTAGCCCCCAGGTGCCTCCCTTGCCTCAAGGTCACCCAAGCCCGCAGCTCTAGACTAGACACATGTTTCCATATCCCTGTGGCCTGGGCCACCAGCAGGAGGCCACCCCACTGTGCTGCAGCAAGCCCTCTCTCTGAAGCCCAGCACAGGAGCAGCGTTCTCTGAAAGCCTCACACAACCAGTTAGGCGCCTGGACAGTCCCCGCAGCTGAGCTACCACAGCCTGTGCATTCCATTGTCTCTGCAGCCTCCCTGCAGGACTTTGAACAAAGCCCGGGGGGCTGGTGAGGATAACAGAAGGTCAAGAATTGGTGGAATGTGATAGGATGTGCTGAAGGATTCAGATTCTCAGGAAAAGTCCAAGATAGCAGCAAGAATTTATAGCTCAAAACCAAGACCTGGAATACAAGCAGAGAGATAAACTGGGCTATTTTAAATTGCTGCCCAAGAAGTGCTTTTGTGCTATATATATACCAACAGAAAAAGAGAGAGAAAAGCTCAGATCAAAAATATTTTAACATACATTTACTTGCCACTTTCAAAAGGCCTGGTAACACTTAGGTCAGAGGAATTCCTTCTATTTTCTATAATCTATCACAGTGCTTAGCACTGTCATTCTCCCACCTCCTTTACTAAAGAACACAAGTAACAGCTAAATGAATTTTGTTAACCCAATATCTCCAAAAGTATGATTGAGAGCCTTGTCTTTTACCTAGATCAGCATCTATATTAAAGTCCACAAGATAATTTTTTTAAACATCTAAAGCTGGGAAAAGCTTTGCTTCCTTTCCAGTAATAAGAGCTATAGAACTTGCTAAGTTTTCCCTTTTACCATGGCTCGGAGTCATGATTAAAGTTCAACTGTTGCAATTATGTTGACCGTTATGCTTAACAATTACCATTTCTTTTATCTGGTTGTGGTTTTCTCTTTCCTATTTCTCTTTGCTATTTACCATATTCCTCTTTCCTATTTACCATATTCCTCTTTCCTATTTACCATGGCTTCCATGAACATATTTTTGTTGTAGGTTGTTGCACCTTCTTTGAGAAGGGAGTGTAAACAGAAATCAAACAAGTTCTATTATCTGCCCCTGGGCCAAGCTTCTCAAACTAAGAATTCCTGTCCTTGGTCATTGCTTTAAAAGCCTTAGCCACTCTGACATGACAGAGATACCTTACCTTTCACCTCTAGTTCTCACAGGAAATAATTTGAGTGCAGAGTATATTATCTATTGCTATATAACAAATTACCCCAAAGCTTAGCAGCTTAAAACAATAAACATTGATTATCTCACACAGTTTTCGTGAGTCATGAATGTGGGAGCCACTTAGCTGGGTGGTTCTGGCTTAGTCTCTCATAAGATTGCAGCAAAGTCATTGCCCACGGCTGCAGCATCTGAAAGCTTGACTGGTGCTGAAGAGTCTGCTTCCAGGGAGGCTTGCCACACTCCTGGTAAGGGAATATCGGTTGTGAGGGGTGCTCAGTTTTTTTCCACATGGGCTCCTCCATACAGCTGCTTGAGCATCTCACAACATGGCAGCTGGTTCCCCCCAAGCAAGTGATCCAAGGGAGACAGCAAGAACAAAGCTGCAGTTCCTTTTATGACCTAGCGTACGGGGTAACACATCATCATTTCCACCACATTCTATCCATAAGAAGTGAGTCACTAAGCAGAGACCACACTCAAAGGGAGGGTAATTAGCCTCCACCTTTTGAAGGAAGGAGTATCAAAGAATTTATGGACCTATTTTAAAACCACCACTCAGATTATAAAACTATTTTCTTTTTTTTTATGTAGGTATAACCAAGGCACAACTTGGTATTTGACATTGCCTTTACCTAGCTGCAAACTGGGGTAGAAAAAAACATGAAGGTTGGGCACGGTGGCTCACACCTGTAATCCCAGCACTTTGGGTGACTGAGGTGGGTGGGTCACCTGAGATCAGGAATTTGAGACCAGCCTGGCCAACATGGTGAAACCCCATCTCTACTAAAAATGCAAAAAAACCTAGCTGGGTGTGGTGGTGGGCACCTGTAATCCCAACTACATGACAGGCTGAGGCAGGAGGATCACTTGAACCCAGGAGGCGGAGGTTGCGATGAGCCGAGATAGCGCCACCACATGCACTCAGCCTGGGTGATAGAGTGACACTCCATCTAAAAAAAAAAATAAAAGCATGAAAAAGAAAATGTTTTTTTCCCAAATGATATTCTGCCAGCCATCATGCTGAAACTGCATGGATCTATGACATTCTAAATATAGTGTCTTAGTCTGTTCAGGGTGCTATAACAAAATACTTAAAACTAAAAAATTTATAAACAATAGAGAATTATTGCTCAGAGTTCTGGAGTCTGGGAAGTCCAAGATCAAGGCACCAGCAGATTCACTGTCTGGTGAGGACCCATTCCTCATAGATGGTGCCTTCTGGCTGAGCCGTCACATGGCAGAAGGGATGAACAAGCTCCCTCAGGCCTCTTTTATAAGGGCACTAATCCCATTCATGAGGGCAAAGCCTTCATGACCTAATCACCTCCCAAAGGCCCCATCTTTTCATATCATAACTTTGGGGGTTAGGTTTTAACATACAAATTTTGGGGGGACATAAACATTTAAACCATAGCACACAGGCATATGTGTGTGTGAGAGAGAACATGACTCCAAATGGAGTGAGAATAAGAGACAAGACAAAGATTTTGAAAGGAAAGAAAGGAAACTATGTTCTCAGCCAATCTTAAAGGTCAGCCCCACTTGAGACAGAATAGAAGACTAAAACTAAGGTGCCAAGGTCTAACGTATCCATAAATTACTCTCATCTTTTGTCAAACCTTCTAGTTAGACCTCGAGAGAGAAACTAGAAGGTAACCAGAACAAGGTTACCAGTAAGAACTGAGTTCATCTCTGACGGGAATTACAGATGCTGGCGAAGGGGAGTGGGAGGCCTTAGTCCCAGCTCGGATTGTTGTAGAGCCATGTTGCCAGGGGAAATCCTGTAACTCCAGTTGGCCAGATGCTGAGTGCCTGATACCTCCCTGCTGCTATTCTGAATCCATGTGGCAGTGATACTTAGCATCTCATTCATCTAGAAACTGACCCCTCATAGTCAGGGAGGCCTCAAGAAAATGGGAAAGCTTTCTTATTCATCTTAATAGGCCACCACTCTGCTTTCGTTTGATAGTGAACACCCTGATGCTAAGGTGATTCACAAGATAGCCAGGTTTTCATTCTCCTTAAAGTCATCTTCACTCTTGCAAAATTGCCATAAAATACTCCAAGACACACGAACTAAGTAACCAGCTCTGTGAGGTGTGTTACATTCTTGTCATGTGGGAATTAACTAGCCTAAAATATGGGCAAGCCAGAGAGCATATTATGGAATAAAGCATGCAGCTTGGAGCTTTTTTTCTTTATTCAGAAATTCAGATGCCTAGGGACATTAAATTTATTCATTCAATAACATGAATAACTGCACATTCTCCCCACCCCTTGGGTCACACTTCCACCACCACCACGTCCAGCTTCTGACTCAGAAGAGGACACTTCCAGACTCACTGAGGCTGAGTTCAGTGCCCTCCCCTGGCCTTCCATAGGAGCCCTGTGCATATTAAATGCCTTCCCGGACCGCGGTGTTTTACATTTATCTGACAATGAGTCTGTTTCTACTTACAGAACATGAGCCACAGAGGGAAAGAACTTAGGCATGCATATTGCATTTGTACGAGATGCTAAGGCTGAGACAAGTGCTGGTGGCTGGTGTGGATACTTTACTTTGGGGAGGAATCGCAGGGATAGAGAAGGGGTGTGGGGAAGGAGACACAGGAAAGGAAGAGAGACCAGTAAAGGAGGGGTGTGTGCTTGAGGTGGTCACCAGTGTGTAAGGGGAGCATGCATTCATGGTTTCCACTCCTCACTGGTCAGGGTGCAATAAATCCCTGACTTTTCCCAGTCCAGTGGATGTGCCTGAGTGAAGGGCTTCCCAGCAGACACCAAACACCCTGGGTGAGAGAAGCCTTAGGGCAGCTGAGGGGAGGTGCTGTTGGATGCTGCATTTTACAGCAATGGCTCATGTAAAAGGAGGACCAAAGGATGTGAGGCAAGGTTCAAGAGGTGACCAGTGCAGTGATGAGTCAGGGAGAAGGGATAACAATTTGAAGGCCATTGCAGTCACCTAGCAAAAGGTGGTAAGGACCTGAATTCAGACAAAGGTTACACAGATGGTGTAAAGGGAGCCGGTGAGAGGGCTGTTTAGGAGACAGCATTGGTGGATCATGCAGACTCCAGCTTGAGGGAGAGAAGGGCGCTGACTACAGATGTCTCCCTTTCTTCTGCTCTGACTTGCAGAGGGTGAAACTGGGAACTGAGGAGGAGTGTGGGACCTGAGAAGCCTGGTGGGGGTTGCAGGAGTCATGGAGGAGACTGAGAGCAGCTGAGGACCAAGGCTTAGGAAAGAAGATGAAAAGCGCCAATAAGGGCTCAGCTGAAGGAAGAGGCTGTGATTTCCAGTGGCCCCCAGCCACGTGATGGTGACGTTTTCTGCAGACTGGATATAGGAACAAGTCATGTTGACAGCGGATCTGATCTAAGTTTGGGATTTTGTTGGATAGGTCTGGAAGGACAAGAGAGCAAGGGAATTGAGGATACTAACAGCATGTAAAACCCTAGACCATATGGCAAATTATATAATGGGCTGTAGATGATTTTTGGAACCTTTTCATATGTTCCAGATTCTTAAATTAATATGTGCAATATGGTGACGTCTCCTGTCTGTGACCTGAAAAAGAAAATTAATGTGTCCAGTGTAGGTGCTATTATTTATTGCCAGAAAATATATATATTTTTTGAAAATGACAGTGGCCAGAGGTTTCTAGCAGGCTTCACAGGCAACTGAAATGAGCTCCTGGGTGCCTTCCTTGGAAGGGGCTGAGGTCATGAAAGTTTACAAGGCTTCTCGCAGTTGGGACTCAGCTGTCTTAGAAATGACAATGGATATCTAAAAGCCAAAGGGCTTTAAGCAGCCTCTTTCCCTAGTCAGATCTCCATTAGCAAACGTTGCTCTGGGTCCCGTTTCATTTTGGATTTTCTGAGTTTCTCCCCTCCCTTTTCCCCTCTCCTCCTTCTCTTTTCTCTATCCCTGCTTCCGCTAGTCCCTGGTGCTGTAAGGTGACAAGAATATACTTGAATCCAACCCAGCATGTCCTGTAGGTCATTCTTTGAGTAAGTGCTCTAATTACCCTACAGCTGGACATGCCCCCAGGGCATTTGTGCCAGCCACACACAGGCTGGTTCTCCCCACGATCACACAGTACAGACCCTTAAGGTTGGAAGGCACTGCTGTCCTTTGCCCTGCAGTTGTGGGGATGGGAGAGGGGGTGGGGGTGGGGGAGCAAGACCTTAACCCATCTCTGCTGAAAGCCCTGGGGTTTTGTTTTCTTTGGTTCTTTTTTTAAGGCCTTCTGTGTCCATGCCAACGTTATTCCATCTAGAATGAGTTTTCAAACCTTTGGCATTTGCTTTAAAGGTAAGTCAGCTTTGAAGATTCTGGTAGAAATTTCAATCATATTCCTATTCATAGTCAAAGAGTGAGTGGGAACTAAAAATATCAGCATTTTTATTTTTTTTCTTCTGAAGCCCTGAACAGAACCTCCCCAAGTTCTCCGAGGGAGCCAGGGAGTGGCGTCTGGCTCCTGCACCAACGCTGACACCCTGTGTCAGTGTCATCTGCCGGTTCTCAGAGGCCCACAGGCCTCTTGACAAAGCACCACGTGTCTCCAGGGCCATTTTTCTAAACATGTAAAATGAAGTTCCCTAAACACATTACAAATTTAACAGGCAAGACAATTTGGCTACAGAAAAACCTCAGAGCAGTCA